>NC_000003.12:53949393-54252424 GCF_000001405.40 Homo sapiens
TCTAGTGTTTGAAAGACCCAGTATTATTAAGATGCCAGTTCCTCCCAAATTGATCTATAGATAAACGCAATCCCTATCAAAATTCCGGCGGGATTTTTTTTTTGGCAGAAATTGAAAAGCAGATCCTAAAATTTATAGAAAAATGCAAACACCTAAAATAGCCAAAACAATTTTGAAAAAGAAGAGTAAAATTGGAGGATTTTCATCTCCCAATGTCAAAATTCACTGTTAAACTACAGTTATCAAGATAGTGTGGTACTGGCATAAGGACAGATACATAAATCAAAGGAAGAGAATTAACAGTCCAGGAATAAATCCTTGCTTCTGTAGTCAGTTGGTTTTTGGCAAGATGCCAAGGCAATTCTCTGGGGGAATGGATAGTCTATTCAACAAATGGTGCTGGGATAATTAGATATCTATATGTAAAGAGATAAACTTACATCCTTGCTTCATACAATATACAAACATTAACTCAAAACGAATCATAATTTAAATGTAAGAGTTAAAACAGTAAAACTCGTAGAAGAAAACATATAATTTTCTAGACCATGAGTTAAGAAAAAATGTATTAGATACAACAATAAAAAAAGCACATCAGTAAAAGAAAAAAATTGTTAAATTGGGCCTCATCAAAATTCAAAACTTTTGAACTTCAAAAAACACTATTAAGAAAATGAAAGGACAGGAAACAGACTGGGAGAAAATATTTTCAAAACATATATCCAATAAAGGACTTATATCCACCATTTACAAAGAACACTTACAATTCAATTATAAGAAGACAAAAATCCAATTAAAAAATTGGCAGAAGATATAAATAGACTTTTCACCAGCAAAATGTGTGTGTGTGTGTGTGTGTGTATGTGTGTGTGGTGTATGTATGTATGGCTAATAAGTACATGGAAAGATGTTCAATGCTATTAGTCATTTTGAAATGCAAATTAAAATCACAGTGAGACAGCATTTCACACTCACTAGAATGCCTATCATAAATAAGACAATAACAAATGTTGGTTAGGATGTGGAGAGACAGGAATTTTTATACGCTGCTGGTAGGAATGTAAAATGATGCTGCCACTTTGAAAACACTTCGGCAGTTTCTCAAAAAATTAAACATAAAACTACCATAGGACACTACAATTCTACTCCTAGGTAGAGAGAGATGAAAGAAAAATGAAAACATAAATCCACATGTAAGGCTTGCATACAGCTATTCATAACAGTGTTATCCATATAGGCCAAACCTGTAACAACCCAAATGTTCATCAACTGGTGAACCGATAGACAAAATGGGGTATAACCATACAATGGAATACTATTCAGCAATGAAAAGCAATGAACTACTGACACCACATCACAGATGAAGCTCAAAAATATTATGCTAAGTGTGAGAAGCAAGACACAAGAGACTATATATACATGATCCCATATATATGAAATGTCCAGAAAAGGCAAATTTATACAGACAAGGTGGATTAGTTGTTGCATGGGGCTCAGAGTATTAGTAAGAAGTAACTGTAAATGGGCATGAGGGATCTTATTGGAGGGATGAAAATGTTCCGGAACGGATGTATGGTATGGTTGCACCACTTGGTAAACTTACTAAAAATAATGAATTGTACACTTGAACTGGGTGAATTTTATGATATGCAAAAAAATTGTGAAGTTGTTATAAAGAAAAAGCAGGTGACTTTGGGCAGGTGACTTAATCTCTCTCTGCTTTAGCTTTTTCACCTGTACAATAGAGATACTGAGCGTGTTCGCCTCATAGGGTCATTGGGCAGAGTGAGTGAGATAGCATATACATAATGTTTAAAATTAGAGTGCCTGACATGTAGTAGTCACTCAATGAAATGATTATTCTGAAATCACTTCGGAATGATTATTCTGAAACATTGGAACACAGGTTTGAAGGAATAAGAAGTTTGTTTCTTTTATGGGAAGATACTAGCATGTTAAAAAACACTTACCTCTTATTTGACACTAAACTCTGTATCAGTGGCATAGAAAAACTGGTAGGAAAGAAAAAAATATTTGTGGGAAACTGATAAAATTTGGCTTAACAGGTCAAATAGACAAAGAATTAAGTTTCAGGGATAATGAAACTAGAACGATTTATCATTTCTACTTATTAAATTCCAACTTAGTAGAAGTGAAAGATATTATTAGCCAAAATAAACTTCAATCAAGATGCAGTAAATGTTTTTCTTTTTTATTTAAAAATTTTAAGTATATAAAACATTTATACAGTTTCAAAGTCAAAACTACACAATAAAATACATAAAGAAGTCTAGCTTCTTTCCCAATTCCTTCTAACTTGTCCCCTTCTTCCCTCACAGGTAACTTTTTTTTTTAAGTTTTTGGATTATCCCTTGCTTTTTACTTTTTTGAAAATAAAAGCAAACATATACATATGTGTGTGTGTATATATATATACATATATGTAAATATATATGAAAATAAAAGCAAACATATACACACATATATGGCCTTTCAACCAGTTGACCAGGATAAATTTATTTATTTTTAGAGAGAGCATCTTGATTTGTTGCCCAGGCTGTAGTGCAATTGTGCAGTAATGGCTCACTGCAGCCTCAAACTCCTGGGCTCAAATGATTTTCCTGCATCAGCCTTCCAAGCAGCTGGGACTACAGGCTCATGCCACCATGCCTGGCTAATTATATTTTTTATTTCTCATAAAGACAAGGTCTTGCTTTATTGCCCAGGCTGATCTTGAACTCCCGGCCTCAAGTAATCCTCCTGCCTTCGCCTCCCAAAGGCAAACATGTATTTTTATCAATTAATTAATAACATGTAGTGTATCAAGTCAAATGCCAGGTTACTTGGAGTTTGACAGAGCCATAGATATGTTTCTCCCCTCCCCGTTTCTTACCAAAAGAAAGGTACCTTACTATCAACCTTGTCCCCATGCTTCTTGCTTTTTTCGTTTAACAATATATCCTAGTCATTATGCCATGGCAGTAGAGATCTTTCCCATTCCTTTTTTTGAGTGACATAGTACTCCATTGCACAGCACCATGGTTTATTCAGCTAGATTCTTGGTGATGATCATTTGGATTGCTTCCAGTCTCTATTATACGTAATGCTGCAATGCATAGCCTTGAAGTTGCAGCAAATTTAAGGTGCAAACTATGAACATTCCTTGGCATCTGAAAAAGTTTGTTCCTTAGTAAGCCAAGTTAGCTACTGTTTATATAATTGATGCAGCACTGTTTGTGAAGAGATTCCATTTGGAGCACTTGTTGGTTTGAATCACCTTGGAATTATTCATTTTTCTAAGCTACTAGAATGTTTTGGAAACAAATCCCTGATAGTAAATACCATTTCTTATTAACTATGTTATGTAAATATTGAATTGTTTAATATCTATTACCAAATTGTTTGACCATCTTTAATTAGTATTTCAGGACTTTCTGTTTTGTTGTACTAGGCATCAACTCTGTGAACTTGTTTCATGTATTGAAGCAGGGAAATTGTGGGAAATTTGGGATCAACAAAATTTATCAAGTCAAATGTCAAGTATTTAGAGTCTGACAAAGCCCTAGATATATTTTGTGAAGACTTTTAAATGTCTTGACACTTTTACAAACATTTATAGTTTTCAACTTTGATTGCTTTTTACACATTATCTGTGTTCACTGGAGAAAAATTAAGGAGTTCAGACAAACAGAAAAATAAGTCCCTGTAATTCCAATCCCCAGAGATAACAAATATTAGCATTTGGGTACATATTTTTCTAGACTTTTTCAATGAACATAAATGGCTCCCTTCTTCTCCAATACCCATGCACATCTAATTTCTTTATCTCTTATTCCCATATATAGTTCAAAGGAAATTTCATCTTTTTTTAAATTAGGTTTTATCCTTTAACTTTGCTTTTTTTTTTTTTTTCCTGAGACAGAGTCTTGCTCTATCGCCAGGCTGGAGTGCATGGGCGCGATCTTGGCTCACTGCAACATCCGCCTCCCGGGTCCAAGTGATTCTCTTGCCTCAGCCTCCCAAGTAGCTGGGATAACAGGCATGTGCCACCACACCCAGCCAATTTTTGTATTTTTAGTAGAGACGGGGTTTCACCATGTCGGCCAGGATGGTCTTGATCTCCTGACCTCAAGTGATCTACCCACCTCGGCCTCCCAAAGGCTGGGATTACAGGCGTGAGCCACTGTGCCCGGCCACTTTGCTGTTTTCCTAGCATAGCATATAGATGCTTTTTTCCTGTTTCTTCATCAAAGTTAGCTCTTCATATTTCTTGAAGTGTTTACTTTAGAAATAGAAAATCACATTTTCTTTTTCTTCATAAAAAAGAAAAATACGCTGATAAATACATTGAAAAAAAATACATGGATAAGTAAATTGAAAGCCCCTGTAATTTGTTTTCCATAGTCTTCTAAGCCCATGAACTACCCACTGTGTGTTTGCCTAGGGACATTTTATTGATTCCTATAGGGAGATTAGTATAAAAGTCCAGAGAGAGATCTATTCTTGGAGTGATTGGTTATGCAGAAATTGAAGTCAAGCAGATTTTTCATGATCATTGTTCTGCTATGAAAAGGTTTGTGGGGGAAAAATTCTTGCAAGTACTTTCTGTGATCATGGTTGCCTACATCTTATTCTAACTACTAACACTGAATATCTAATTAAAAATGGAAAAGATTAAATATTTAGATGATTCAGCATACAGTACCCCCCCCAAAATTCCTGGTAATGACCTGAGTTTTTTACTTTTTTTGTGGATAGATTTTGATGTTTTGGACACTAGTCTTGTGTATCTAGGGTGGAAGGGGGACATTTTTTCCTGCCATGGGTCATTGGAATTAAGGGCCACATGAAAGTTACTTATTACTGTGTTTTATTGTATGTTTATAGAGAGAGGTATGAAAGATGAAACTATCTAATTATGTATTTGACAAAAACAGAAAACTTTGCTCATAACAAGTTAAAGTTTGAAATATGGCTGAGTGTGGTGGCTTCTACCTGTAATCTTGGCACTTTGGGAGGCTGAGGCAGGCACATTGCTTGAGCTCAGGAGTTCGAGACCAGTCTAGGTAACATGGTGAAACCCTGTTTCTACAAAAAATACAAAAATTAGCCTGGTATGGTGGCGCGTGTCTGTAGTCCCAACTACTTGGGAGGCTGAGGTGGGAGGATTACTTGAGTTTGGGGAGGTCGAGGCTGCAGTGAGCTGTGATCACGACACTGCACTCCAGTCTGGGTGATGGAGTGAGACCCTGTCTCAAAGTAAATAAATAATAAATAAATAAAATGAAATTTGAAATATGTCTTTGTGTCATGTTATAATCAGGTAAACAGGGCAGTAGAGGGATGGGGGGTAGAGGTAAACAGAAGTGGAGAGAAGGGCAGGGAAGAGGGAAGGAGACAGAACTGAAAGGAGAAAGGAAAAGTGAAGAAGACAGATAAGAAAGGCCAGAGGCAGGAGACAGAGTTTAAAGACTATACCCCAAAGCGGAAGAGGAACACATAAAGACAAAAAGAGGCTGGTTAGGAAAGTTGTTTTAGCAATTTGATAGTATCTATCAAAAAATACAAGTTCCCTAACTCTTTAACCCAGCAGTATTACTTCTGGGTATCTTTACTACAGAAATAGTCACATAGGCATGCAAGGATATTTACTGCAGCATATTTGTAAGAGCAAAAAACTATAGACAATTTAAATAACAGGAGGAAAATGGTTACGTGAATAAAAGTATATTCATTCAGTAGAATTGTAGGCAGACATTCAAAAGAATAAGGTAGGGCCAGGCACAGTGGCTGACACCCATAATCTCAGCACTTTGGGAGGCCGAGACAGGTGGATCATTTGAGGTTAGGAGTTCGAGACCAGCCTGGCCAACATGGTGAAACCCCGTCTCTACCAAAAATACAAAAATTAGCCAGGCGATGGTGGCCTGCGCCTGTAATCCCAGCTACTGGAGAGGCTGAGGCAGAAGAATTGCTTGAGCCTGGGAGGCAGAGGTTGAGGTGAGCTGAGATAGCACCACTGCACTCCAGTCTGGGTGACAGAGTGAGACCCTGTCTCAAGAAAACCAAAAACCAAAAAACAAGAAACAAAAGAATAAGGTAGAGTTAGGCATACTGATGTGGAAAAATATACATATATTTGATTAAGTGAAAAAAGCATGTTGCAGAACATTATATTTGATTTCAATTTTGTAAAAACAGAAAGTGTATGTGTGTATATATATGTGTATATGTATGTATATAGAAAAAAGTCCAGATAGGTACATATTAAACTCTTAACAGTTTTGGATGGGAAAGTTTGAATTGTTACACAGATATTAATTAGTTTTTGAGAAGATGAAAATGAGAGAATAATGTGTTTGAATGTATTGAGAAGAAATTTCACAATTGGGATGGAATTGTTCTCTGAGTTCTAGTAGGTGCCCAGACAAAATTCACTTTAGGGCTGGGTCAAGCCTGTGACTTTCTGTTTCCCATTTCTAATAGACACCAGCAGAGCTCAGACCTATGTAATTCTATTCTTGACATTAATAGATAATTTTCATTACATTTGTGGGATTTGGGGTGAGCCTTGGAAGGACAGGAGACTGCCTCTTCTATAATTTGGTGATAACAATACTCCTTTCCATAAAGGATTATTTTGAGTATTAAGTGTAGGAAGATGTATAAAATACATAGCCCAGTGCCTGGCACATGGTAGGATTCATAAATGGCAGCCACTATTGTTATTAATTTTTTGGAGAAGTTCAGGATCACATTCCCATTTTTCTTGGCCCTCATTTTCTTGTTCATGCTTCCAACCCTTATAGCATAGAAAGCAGTTTGATCCATGGAATTGGAAGTAGACAAAGTTCCCTAAGATTTCTTGCTATGTCATCACAGCTTGTGTTCTAAATCTATTGTGAAGAAGAATCTTTTGTTCATTTTTGACTTCCCTCTCACCACTGCTCAATTACTTAGCTGGCATTTTATATCAGTCATCAAGGCAGCCCCCCAAATGTATCTTTTCATTTCCTGAGTGTAGACTTTTAATTTTAAAGAGGCTTATATAATTTTTAGACATTTTTATTATTTTTAAATGAAACAACTTTCGGTACATTAGATTTATTCTGAGAGGTGACATTAGGCCATGTTCTTGTGTCTGTTCTCTAGAATTTAATGTACTTCCACATTCTTAAAATGTTTTTATAATAGCTTCATAATTACAAGTGATGCTTTTTAAATGTGTTGCCCTCTCAAAAAAAAAAGAGTGATTCTGCCTTGCAATTTTTATGAATTTTGCTAGTTTCTTAATGCTTCAGCTTCACCAGCTTGTCGGAAGAAAAAGGTCGTGTTCCACAAACCGCCAGTTCAGCTGTAGCAATCAGGACGGCCAGGCAGCATTTGCACATGGTTAGCATTGCGTAGCAGGAATGAGGCTGTTGTGTTCCTTGTCATATTTATTTAATAGTTTAGTCTAATAACTGACGAAACTATGTACTTAGGAAAAATTGTCCTTCAGTGGAGAAATGTAAATAGTACATTTGCTTTTTTGAAACAATTTTTTTTTTACAAAGGACCAAGGATTCCCTTAAGTGCAAGAATAATTCAGTACCCACTCTACAATATTATGAGCCTCAGAGGCATTATCAGTGGTTCCATGCCCATAAGAGGGAAATATGATACCGTACATGGCACAAGTGGTGCTCCTCACCCCCTCACAACCCCTACTCCTCCTGGCCACCTGCTCTCTTCCTCTCTCTCTCCCCTCTCCCACATCCCTGATGAGTACAACTAGTCATATTCATTATTATTATTATTTTTTTTTGAGACCCTGTCACCCAGGCTGGGACACAGTAGTGTGATCATGGCTCACTGCAGCCTCAACTTATCAGGCTCAAGTGATCCTCCAACTTCAGCCTTCTGAGTAGCTGGGACCATAGGTGTGTGCCAACACACCGTACTGATTTAAAAACAATCTTTTTTGTGTGTAGAAATGGGGTCTCTCTATGTTGTCCAGGCTGGTCTCAAACTCCTGGGCTCATGTGATCTCCCTGCCTTGGTTTCCCAAAGTGCTGGGATTACTACCATGCCCGACCAGCATCACCAATCATTTAGCAAATGTTTTGTCACTGAGCCTGAGTGTGACCTCAGAACACCTTTAAATACTGAGCTCCAGATAGCTACTTCCAGTTAACTGCTGTAGAGAAAGAAATCTATCAAAATTCTAGAATTTATCAATATATTAACAACATATCTAGCCAGTGTAGGCGATTCACCTCCCAAATAAGTTGGTTCAGTTTTTAAAAATCAGCCACATTATCTTTTGATATGCTGTAAATAAAAATAGCTAATTTGGGGGAAAGATTTTTACTTTTCAAACCATTGTTTCAGCATAATGTTGGCAAAGTTGGAAAAACTAACTCCATAATTAAATACAGTGTACAAGTAGCATCGCATGAAGTTCATTTGTGAAATAGCTGACACTTAATGCAGGATCATATCAGCTATGTGTGAATGTGCCCAAAACTTCTCTTGCTTTGAGACAGATTTCTCCCTGACCTTCATTTCATTCTTTGCCATCCCCCCTGCATATAGTATAGTTGTTTTCTACCCCATGAAAATTCATCACCATATCTCAGCATTGTGGCAGATGGAGAGATCTGTGGCTGGCATCGTTTTGGAGGCCTTCCCCGCCTATTCACTACTGCCGAGTAGTTTCACGACTTGGGTTCGTGTAGTACAGAAGAGAAACTACACCTTACCTTCATGTCATATACCAGTCGCAGGCATCAAAATACCCCCGATCCATCTCTAGCGGTGTGGTCGAGGTAAAAGGCCTCGGAGAGCTATGGAATGTGTTTCCTTCTCTGTTGCCATTTTTCCAGAATTTGCAACAACTGGCAGTCCTCTAGACTGGACCCCTAGGGATGCAGGTCCCCCTTGGGCTCTCCTTAACCAATCCCTCCTCAGTCTTCTTCAACAGGTACAGAAACAAGCTGGGAGGAGCAGTGGTTGACACTCCTTTCCCCAAACACGTTCTCTAAGACTTGAAATGTGGTGACAGTTGTCACTGCAATATTGTTGATATGATATTATTTAGACTATGAGGAAAACACATGAAAAGAGATAGTATAAAATCAACACAGGAGGCCAGGCATGGCAGCTCACATCTGTAATCACAGCACTTGTTGGGAGGCTGAGGTGGGAGGATTGCTTGAGCCCAGGAGGTTGAGGCTGCAGTGAACCGTGATCGCTGCAGTAAGCCATGATCACAGCACTGTGCTCCAGCCTTAGGGACAGAGTGAGCCCCTGTCTCAAAAATAAATAAATAAATAAATAAAAATAAAGTTTTAAAAAATCAAGCATGAAGTGCAGAGAGATGTCAAAAAGGGGTTCTGTTTTAGATGTGTGCTGCCTTGCCAACCACCAGGGCCCTGGCCCTGTCAGGCCCTACCCCAGGCTTGGGCACGTCTGAGTAAGCTCCTGGCTAGGCCTCTGATTGGCTTCTGTGTGAATGTGCATGCCCTGCCTATTTGTGAACTTGAGACACATTGCAGGTGTAAATCCAGATGAGCAGGTGTGTGTGAGCACACTCAGTATGCTGTCTGTGTCCTTCTGCAAGAGCTGCCAGCTCCTTCTCTCTTGTTTGTTGCCCCATAAAGTGCCCTGGCAGCCCGAGGCTTGAAGCAGACACCCCAATTTGCAGTTTGCAGGACTGCTCAATTCCTCTGGCAATGGAGGTCGTGTAATGACTGACTAATTCATTCTCTTTTATTTTGAATATTAGAGAAGTTTTTATTAAAGTAAAATTTTTACAACAGGACTTTTGATCTAAAGTGTCTCTTAATCTTGTGTTTGATAAATAATGAATGGCTCACTGCTCACCAAAAGTGTTGCATCCACTAGTCGGTGATTGCTAATGCCTCATTTGCATATGAAATTAATATTCCATATGGTCGGTCTGATCATGTAGGCCGAAACCAACAGGAGGAGGCATGCTGATTTGAGCAGAAGTTTGGGTTGCAATGGAATATACTTTTGAGTCAGTGTCAGTACTTTAATGCTCTGATGGCCAGTCCTGGAGGCATACAACATGAGCAAAATTTCCATTTTTTTGGTGGTGTCTTTGCAATAGCAAACTTATTTTGAATATCAGATGCCATGAAGATCATTCAATGAATATTTATTAGATTCCTACTGTGTACATACCACTGTGCCCAGAGCAGCTGTGTTAGGTGCTTATAATGGTTATTAGAAATGCAATAAAGAAAACAGAAATTTAACTCTGCTTTAGTATGGAATTGGTCTCTGGATTCCAAGCACAGACCATGTCAGTGCTCTGAAGTCCCGTGGTCGCTTGACACTTGTCAGCATGAGCCATATAACCAAAAGGCCTTTTTCCTGAATCTTTGGTTCACCATCAACTATGATTAAGTTCATCATCAATACTCTGCTAATAAGCAAAGAATATTTTGTTATATAATGGGTTCCGAAGCTCATTTTTATTAATATCAGAATACAAAGATTAACTTTGTTACTTACCGTATTATAGTGGACCTTCATAAATTTTTTTTTTGAGACAGAGTCTCGCTCTGTCGCCCAGGCTGGAGTGCAGTGGCGCGATTTCAGCTCACTGCAAGCTCCACCTTCCGGGTTCACGCCATTCTCCTGCCTCAGCCTCCTGAGTAGCTGGGACTACAGGCCCCTGCCACCACACCCAGCTAAGTTTTTGTATTTTTTTTAGTAGAGACGGGGTCTCACTGTGTTAGCCAAGACGGTCTCCATCTCCTGACCTCGTGATCCACCCACTTCGGCCTCCCAAAGTGCTGGGATTACAGGCATGAGCCACCACTCCCGGCCTCATAAATATTTTAAGAGTAGAATGTGATGGCTTAGAAAGTATGTCAGATAAACTCCAGCTTGGGTTTTGTGCCAGTAAAATGATGTAGTTATGATTTCCCTTCTTTTGGCGGTGGTGTTGAAGAGGATAATTCTAGTTCATAGATGGGCCATGTATTAATCAAGGCAGGCAATATTATGTTATGATAACAAATAGCCCCAAATTTTAGTGGCTTAGTACAGCAAAAGTTTCTCACTTATACAAAGTCTGTTGCAAGTCAGACAAACTCTCCAAAGCACCTACCCTGCATATACTGACTCAGCATTCCAGGATGTGTCAATCATATGCCATATCCATGCTAACATACTCTTCTGTGATCACTGCAGCAGTGGGAGACAGGGCTGGAAAGTGGGGCAATGACAGTTAAATGCTTCTAATAATGAGATGTAGCAGAGGAGACGTGTGTACTTTCCAGCTCACAAGAAGGACTGCAAGTCACTTGGCTATGTTCAACTTGAAAGGAGTAAGATGCCATTCTTATGAATGAACCTGGAAGTAAAGGATACCTGGGCATTGATGAACAAGATGCTTGTCTGTTGGCCTATGTCAGACTATTAGAAAATCCAGGAGAACGTTTGTCCCTCCTTTGATTAATGAATTGGAAAAAAATGAATAAATGTCTCTGAATGACATTTTCTTTAGTTTGATGGTGATTAAATAAATGTGGGAAATGCTTCCAGATTATGGAAAAGGTTGTGCCATAAAAATTAAAAGTAAAGATAATCTATATATTTTGGTAGCTTCAGAAGTATGACCTGGTTAAGGGAGACTATCTTTGCACTCCCTCTTTGAGGACTCATGTGCTGTAGTTGGCAGAATGATGGCCCCCCTGAAGATGTCCAAGTCCTAATCCCCAAAACTTGTGAATATGTTGTCTTACATGGCAAGGAGGAGCTAAGGTTGCAGCTAGAACTGAATCAGCTGACCTTAAAATAAGATCCTGGATTATCTGGATGGGTCTGATATAATCACAAGGGTCTTTGAAAGTGGAAGAGGAGATCAAAAGCAGAAATATGACTGCAATGAGAAATACTTGGCCTGGTATCGCTAGATTTGAAATTGGAGGAAGAGACCACAAGCCAAGGAATGTGAGAGTCCTCTAGAAGCTGGAAAAGACAAAGACATGGTTTCTCCTCTGGAGCCCCCAGAAGGAACACAGCCCTGCTGACACCTTGAATTAGCCCAGTGGGACTCATTTAGGGTTACTCACCTCTAGAACTGTAAGATCAGAAACTTGTGTTGTTTTAAGCCAGCAAATTTGTGGTAATGTGTTTCAGCAGCTGTAGGAGACTGATACATTTCCCATGACTTCTCTAATAGGAAATTATATTCTCTTCTTGTCAATATCCCTCCAAACAGCCTGCAAAGTTTCTGGAGGAAGGAGAGAAAACTGGAAAGGCACAATTTTCTGGGAAAGCTATAAAATGCATCTTTTTAATTCTACTCATAAGTAGGCTTGTCAATCTTTTGAGACACTTATGCAGAGTAATGGAAGAAGAGGAAAATGCAAAGTTTCAATTTTATCAGAATTTTATTAGAAATTCAATTTTATTAGAATTTCTAATTTCAGGCATTAAAAGAACTAAGACTTTGTGGCTAAAACGCAGCAAGTATTCAGAAGAGTGACTTATGAATGGCTTTGGGGCAGGTGAGGGCTGGGGTTGGTATATTAGGAAATGGCTTTGTATGTGATCTATTTGGTTAGAAAAAAGGTTAGGATTATGGATAATGTGGACAACCTGTCTGTCTTGAATCTAGTGTGTAGCCAAGGCCAATAGCAAAGCTCTAGTTTTCAGTGAAGACTGTGTACTGTTACAAAAATATCTTTTCATTAATGCATCTCTTTCTCTCAAAATGGTTATTTAGAATAACCAGCAGTTGTAACACATACAGAGAAGCAAGAATTTGGCTCAGAATAAAGAAGTGTTGAAGGCTCTGTTCAATGAAAGCTCCCAAGGATCACCAATGGCAGACACCCAACTAGACTAGTGGCAACAATTATTTATATTTTACCAATTCCCAATAGACGAGGATCCTTTTCTGTTTTATTTGCTAAAATTCTGCATTGAACAGAATTAGAAAATATCCCTAAAAATCCTTTCTGTTTGGGCTAACCTATGCCACTTGTCATTATCCTCCTCTCCCTTCCTATCCTCGTTACCAGGAACCATGTTCTGCTTGAGAGTGTCATGTATTTTGATCATTAGTAGCTGCTTTACAATAATGATGGCAAGAGATGGCTAATAGTTCTATTATTTATTTATTTTCACTCCCACCTTGTTCCAAAAAGGATTTAAGGTGGGCTGCAAAAAACATGCAATCCAACAAGATGAAACCAAAATCAGCAAGTGAGGAAATTAGAACAAGAGGAGAATGAGGGAGGGAAAAATAAGAAACTGGGAGTACAAAATGTGTCCCACCAGGCTCTGAGTCCTAGCCAGGGTGGACCACACACTTGGCCCTCACTTTCTAAAACCATCTCAAAACGGTGTGGTCGGGGGTAGTGTGGTCAGTCCCATGAGTCACATAGCAGTTGGTCAGAAGCAGCACAATAAATTCTGGGATTTAGACCAGAGAGAAATTTCTCCCATGGGTCTCTGTAAAGAGGACCCCCTGTGTAATTCAGAGAGCAGTGGCTTCAAGAGCATCCCCGAAGATATGACAAATTCCTCAGAGCTATGTTTTGTCACATCCTTTAGTATAGGCCTGTGACATCACCTCCCAGTGGAATTCAGCTAAGGTACTCTACAGGGGATCAGAAAGATGCATTTCAGTTTCTCTATGTGTTGCTAGTTTAACTAGGGGATAGCTTAAGAGTTTCTACAGGAAAGGATGGATGAAGAATCCTCCACATACATTTTTCCCTCTCAGCTGTGCCCCTGCGGAAGTTAAACTTGTATGTTTGTGCTTCTCTACACTTTAGTGAAAGGGTACTAGAAAGGTGGATGACATTTGCAGTTAAGATTCAGGTCTGCGAAAGAGCTTCACTCACCCTTTTGGGATTTGGGAGCTCTAAAAGGAGACTGTGCCAGGCCCAGCAGAAGAGGCTGGAGGAAGGAAGGGGGCCTGAGTATATGCCAGGAATGGCAGGGTGGTGGTTGTGGTTCTCAGGTGGCGGCCGGGTGGGAAATCTTCTCCCAGCATCATGAGCACTGCAGTTGTTCAGTGCTGTTGCCTTCAAGGGGGCGGGTGTCAGGTGAGTCAGTGGGCAGAGGAGTTTCCCTTTTGTGTGCTGAGGATCTTGATGGAGGCCCCTTGAGCTAGGTTGGCTGGGGTCCTTCAGCCTTCAGTGAGGATTGGAGGTCTCCATCTCAGGCTCCCTCCCACGGGCAGGCCCCCTCGAGGCCCCACATGTTCACCTGGCATCCTGACATGTTGTAAACAAAGATCACTCACACTGCCCTCCAGCAGCCCAGCACTCTGTCCCCCAAAGTCCTGAGGCCACAGTGGGGTTTGGGAATCCCTCCAGGCTCCAGCAATCGGCCACTCACATTGTTTCAGTGGCCTTGTCCTCCTACACTTTTGGCAGGAAGAGGAAATAATGAACATGTTTTCTTCCAAGAATATTCCAATTTATTCTCCACATGGCAGTCGCCGTGATCTTTCTAAAACATCAATTTTATTGTGTCATTTCCCTGATGAAAACCCATCTGCAGCTTCCCAGGATCCCCAGGGTAGAGCTGCAGGGCTGTAGCATGGTTGACAAGGCCCTAGGCCATCTCCGCAGCCTCATTCCTCCCTGGTTCTCTTCTTTCTCTCCCCTCAATTCCCCTCACCACTGGGCTGTACAACTGGCCACACTTTTCAGTTTCTTGAGCTTCCCATTTTCCTCTTTCTTTCCCCAGGCCCAGGCACAGGCTATTCTTTCTTCTTGGAAAACTGCTTTTTACCCTTTCATCCATTAGGCCGGCCTATGCCTATGTACATTTCAAGTATAGGCCAGAAATTAATCCTCTGGGGCGTGGTCCTGGACCCTCAGACAAGAGGAGAGGTCCTCTGCTAGGTGCCCCATAGTATCCTTTGTTTTCTCCAACTATGGCCTTGTATTAGTTAGGAAAATGTCATCTGCAGAGACAAGGCCCATCATTTCCATGGCTCCATGCAATAGAATTTTATTTGTCACTCATCTAACCATCTTCTGCAGGTGCTCCTGACTGTTAGGTGAGTTTCTCCACAGGGTGAATCAAGGCCCCAAGTTCTTTCCATCTTGTAGCTCTGCCATCCTCTAGGGCCTCAGAGTGCATAGCATCCAGCTGGAGCAGAAGGGAGGGGCCGCAAAGTACATCTGCCCCTCACTGCCCTGACACAGAGGCATCCCATGTTCCTTCCACTCCTGTTCCATTGGCACCAACATGGTACCCACTAGTTGCTAGGGACAGCTGTCCAATGATAAGGTTATAATACAGAAGGAGGAACACACATTTTAGTGGGCATACAAGCCCCTAAAACAGCTAATTGTAACTTCCTGTGATTCAACTAGACTCTGAGCTCCATGAGAAAGAAGGTGAGAGTATTGCTACTATTGTACCCCTTTTTCCCAGCACCATGCCTGGCACCTTGGTGCAGGGATTGCCCCATGAGTAAGAGCAGTTAGTGCTTGGCTGGAGGAGGAAGTGGGTCACATAGACAATTCATCCCCTCGAAGCCCTTCCCCTACACTGTGAAAGAGTTGGGGAGAGAGAGGCAGCAGGCAGATAAGCTTTCCTTATCACTGCTGCCAGCCAAACCCCTCTAAAAAGCACCGACTCCCTTCACAGACAGAGGCATTCATTATGAGCAGAGAGCTTCCATAATCACAGGTGCCCATGAAGGCATGAGCCCCCTCTTGTATGGTGAGGCCTTCTGATTAAAGACTTGTTATTAGTACTTTATGGGGCAGAGGGCTAATGTACTGCTGTTAGTACTGGCATTGCAGCTCCATCTCACATCTGGCACCTGCCTCTGAGTCCAAGGAGGTGGGTGGTGAATGAATTTTCCCTGTCTTTATCAGCTGGCTATGTCTTTGGAGTGTCTCTTCACAAGTCATTTTTTGTGTGTGTATTGGTGTGAGTGTATAATAGTAAGAAGGCAATCACCTACCAGATTGTCTGGATAGAAAAGAAGGAATGAATAGACATGATGTGTAATTGACTTATGAAATTGGAGAGATATAATTCACTATCACAAGCAGTGTGGTTCTATTTCTGAAAATCCTCAGGTAGGACAGTAATATGCTGACTTGTGAAATTTGGGTCATCTACTTTACAATTAGAGGCCCTAAAAGTGGCCCAAAGTAATGACACAGATGATTACAGTCAGGGGCCCCGTCCCCACCATCCTACATTGGGAGGAAGTCTGGTATTCTTCTCCCCAAGGGACCCCTGTTTCAATAACCCCAAGAACCCCAGGGCTGACTCAGTCCAAAGGGGCCAGTGTTAATTACTTTCTTCTGTCTGCTACTGTCATTGTCTTTGGTGTCACAACAGAAAAAAGGGAGTCTGACAGTCTCAGGCAGTCCCCAATCAGTGCAATGGACATTGTGGAGGTTGAGGTGCAAATGGCTGTTTCTGGTCTTGCCTATTTTCTCAGGGTTTGGGGGAAAGGAGCATGCCTTGCTTCTCCCTTCCCAGGGGTCCTTCAGAGGTGGGCACTGTAGGCCCAGCAGATGCTAGCCGGGTTACAGTTCCCTGGTGAGACAGTCATGTCCCAGGCAATGAGCTTTTCATCTCCAGTAGAACCAGGGCAGGGCAGAGTAGTCTGACTCTATGCCCACTCTGCTCATGGCCCAAGTACCAGCCCCCTGGACCTGGTTCTGTAGGCCTTCAGAGTTAAGTTGATTGTAATCTCACTGTCCCTCACTAGCCTTCAGGTTTGGTTATGGCCACTCCAGGCCTTACTAGGCACCTGTGACTTTGAACCTCAGAGACCTTGGTTTTTTCTTCCGGCAAGGTCCAGGATATCCCCTTCCCTGAGTCCCTTCCCTGAGACCACGATTTTCCCAAAACAGTGCAGCAACCTGCAGAGACCACAGCAATCGCCACGCCTATGCCCTGATTCCAATGGGGGTGAAGGGTGACAGCAGTAATGGGTGGCACAGGGTGGGGATGGGGAGTCCTGGTGGGGTCCAGAATGCCAGGGGCTGATAGAGCAGAAAACTAGAACCTGCCCAGGAGGCTGGAGGCTGGAATGTGGCTCCACACCTCCAGCACATACTCCATTGTCCCTTGGACTTCACTTACAAAACACAAATTCAAAGATAAAATTATTAAGAATTTTGATTTGGTGACTGCAGAACATTAAGCCTTAAGTGTGAGCCCTTCTCTGTGTGTGGCAGTGGTTGCAGGAAGCCTGAGAAGCTGGCTCTGATGTGCGTGATTGGGAAACTACCTTTGCAAAGATTATGACTATGAGAGAGATCTATCATAGCCATGCTTGCTTCTATTGTACTCCATCCTGCTTCTAGCTTCACAGGCTGGCTGTCCTTGCTCATGCCTGGATGTAGGGCAAGTTAAATATGGGAAGAATTTAGTTTCTAGTTCAACTTTAAAGCAAGGAAGATAGTATTCCCTGCCTAAAACTGATCCCCTCTTTGTTTAGGGACTGAAACTGCTTTTGTAAAAGTAATTGATAACCATGTGATTAGGATTATGGGAGAGGCCTGAATTCTGCTAAAATGCAGGCATAATTTCTATAATCCTTTACTGCTCAGGAGTCATATGGCCAGAGGTCACAAGATTTGTTACTTCCCCAATTGTTCTTATACATAACATCACTATTGTAGAACCTAAGATTATCACTGGGCACTGTGGCTCATGCCTGTAATCCCAGCAATTTGGGAGGCTGAGGTGAGTGGATCATTTGAGGTCAGGAGTTTGAGACCAGCCTGACCAAGATGGTGAAACCCCACTTCTACTAAAAATACAAAAATTAGCTGGGTGTGGTGGCAGGCGCCTGTAGTCCCAGCCGCTCTGGAGACTGAGGCAGGAGTATCGCTTGAACCTGGGAGGTGGAGGTTGCAGTGAGCCAAGATTGCACCACTGCACTCCAGCCTGGGTGACAGAGATTCTCTAAAAAAAAAAAAAAAAAAAAAAGATTGGTCTTTGAGATGTTTTCAGACTTGTACCTTCTGGCAACTGACTGATCCCACATGGACTGATGACTCATCACTCAACTGGTCCTGTGGCCTCCCACCCAGAGGCAGACTCAGTGCATGAGGACTGTTTTCCACACCCCAATGATTGCATCCCCAACCAATCAGCAGTACCCATTCCCTAGTCCCCTGTCCAGCAAGCTCCCCTTGAAAATCTCTAACGTCTGAGCCTTGGGGAAACAGATTTGAGTAAGAAAACTCTGGTCTTCCATTTAGCAGCTCTGCATTTATTAAATTCTTTTTTTCTACTGCAAAACCCAGCAGTTCTCAGTGCATTGACTTTTCTGGGCAGAGCGCAAGATGAACCCATAGAGAGATTACACAGTGACCTGGCAGCAAGACTGTAGCAGTGTGGGTATGCAAACCCCACACCTACTTTTGACCACCAAAAACTGCTGATATTCCCAAAAGGAACTTGAAAAAGAATTGATGAGGCAGCTTTGCTGTATCTTTCTTTTTTTTTTAGATGGAGTCTTACTCTTTTGCCCAGGCTGGAGTGCAATGGCACCATCTTGGCTCACTGCAACCTCCCCCTCCCAGGTTCAAGCTATTCTCCTGCCTCAGCCTCCTGAGTAGCTGGGATTACAGGCATCCACCACCACACCTGGCTAATTTTTGTATTTTTAGTAGAGCCAGGGTTTCACCATGTTGGCCAGGCTGGTCTTGAACTCTTCAGGTGATCTGCCCTCCTCGGCCTCCCAAAGTGCTGGGATTACAGTCGTGAGCCACTGCACCCAGACTGAGGCAGCTTTGCTATATCTTTCTAGCCCTTCTCTATATTTGTAATCATTTTAAATATCTTTGTGCTTCCTTATATGTTGTCAACCCATTTTTTGTCTTGTCCTGAAGGTAAAGGCTTTGGCTGTTCCCACCATCTTCCTGGCCTCAGCAGAGTGCCTGGCTCTGACTGGGGCTCAGTACAGCATCAAGTACCTTCTAGTGAACAGTTGGTGAGACACTTGATTTGTCATGGCTGGAAAAGAGGGGAGACAGTTTCACAAATGTCCCTAAGAACCAACCAACCTGCCAGTTGTCTGGTTATGTCTTTGAGTCCACACCTAGTATTATCTTTAAGTTGCACTAAACTTCTGAATATTTCAGGCCGAAGTTAAAAGAATTCTTGCTTCAGTATGTGGACTACTTCTGCCTTCATCCATTTTCCAGGCTTGAATTGGTCTGAGATGGGAGAAGGCTGAACAAGTTTGATGCACAGTGCGAGGGCACAGAGGAAGGAATGAGGGATTTGGTATCAGATAGCCTTGAATTTGTACTCTGGTCTTTCCATTAAAAACAACAATATGCTAGGTAAGTGTTAAGCTTTTGTGAACTATGAATCTTCCCTGTAAAGTAGGGATAATGACACTCTCTTTGTAGGGAGATTAAATAAGATCATATATATTGAGATGCCAGGACAGCTTCTGGCACCACAGTAGGCAATCTGTATACAGAGCAGCTAATATTGCCTTCGGCATAAGAAAAAGTATTAAGTGACATTTGATTTGGGATTTTCCATTAGTTGCTCTCTTGTTCCCTTTTCTCTGATATTACCACCCAAAAATATCAGTGACTTAAAACAAGATGTTCCTCTCCCTTATACTACATGTCTGTAGTTGGTAGACTAGGTACTCTGCTCCATGTGGCCACCAGCCTTGCTCTGACACCCAAGCTGATGGGACTTTGCTGGTAGGGAACCCTCTGGTGGATCTCACACCAGCAGCTAAATGCTTGGCCTGAAAGTGACACGCATCATTTCTGCTTACAGCTCATTGGCCAGAACTGGTCATGTGCTTCAACCCCACTGCAGGGGACCAGGAAGTACAATCTTACTGACTTAGTCCGTTTGCGCTGCTGTGACAAAATACCACAAACCAGGTGGCTTATAAACAACAGAAATGTATTTCTCGTAGTTCTGCAGGCTGGGAAGTCTGAGATAAAGGCACCAGCAGATTTGGTGTCTGGTGAGCGCTGGCTTTCTGATTCATCTGGTTCATAGATGGTGCCTTCTTGCTGTGTCCTCACAGCTGGAAGGGGCAAAGCGTCGCTCTCAGGCCTCTTTCATAAGGGCACTAATCCCATTCATGAGAGCTCCACCTTCTTCATCTAATTGCCTCCCAAAGGCCCCACCTCCTAATACTATCACCTTGGGGGTTAGGATTTCAACATAGGAATTTTGGGAGTCACAAACACTCAGACCATAGCAGTTACCATGTGCTCAGAAGGGGGACAACTGGGAATATTTGGTGAAAAGTGAAGGGGAAAAAATAATTTATTCTGTCAACTCTCATAAGTTATTAGCTGGGACACCTCTGCAACAAAAGACAGGCCGGATGCAGTGGTTTGCGCCTGTAATCCCAGCACTTTGGGAGGCTGAGGCAGGCAGATCACTTGAGGTCAGGAGTTTGAAACCAGCCTGGGCAACATGTTGAAACCTTGTCTCTACTAAAAATACAAAAATTAGTCAAGTGTGGTGGCACGTGCCTGTAGTCCTAGCTACTCAGGAGGTGGAGGTTGGAGGATGGCTTGAGCCTGGGAGGCAAAGGTTGCAGTAAGTTGAGATTGCAGCACTGCACTCCAGCCTGGGCAATAGAGCCAGACCTTGTCTCAAAAAAAAATAGATTAACAAGAGAAAAGCAAGTATTTTTATTTTTAACATCCATTACACAGAGAAATCTCAGTTCAAAAGCATCTGTCAAAATGGTGACTTTGGGTACCAGCTTATATAGCATATCAAACAAAGGACAATAATAAACAAAGGGACCTCGGAGTCAAATGGGCCCCCATGCCATCCCCCTTTCCTCATTAAACTTGAAACTTCAAGGTGAATTAAAACATTTAAGGCCTGGCTCAGGCATTAGCCCATCTTCCCTGGAGCAGTCCAGCCACAGACATCTCTCCCTCTTCCAGACTCCTGTAACACAAGACACTTGTCTTGTCCCTTTATTAGCAATTGTCAAATATTGTCTAATTATTAAGATAAGTTGCTGATAAACATAGATTTTCCTTGGCATTGCAAGGTGCACAAATCTTAGCCTTGGTGGTTAGGTCACGCTGTACACAATCTGTGATTGCCCTTCTTTCCATTAAAGGTTTCATTATGGGCCATGTGGGATTCTGAATTGCGGACTGAGGCACAAGCAATGTCTTATGGAAATCACTGGAGACTAGCAGTGTAGATGGTAGACATGTGACACAGGAGAAAGGGCATATGAACATTTCTTTCTCACATTCTTTGTCAAATTTGGAGTTTTAATATTCCATCTCAAATAAAACCCTGCTGCACAGTATAGGTGTGGAGCTCAGGGTTGTTACACAGGGAACTAGCTGGGTTAGGGGAGGATGTCATTGAGCCCATTTTAGGGAGAAGATTAGGCCCAAGGGCAGGCCGTTTTGAGCCCTTCTCACTTTGAGGTTGCCATGGCCCAGATGCTGTTACCTTTAGCTCTGTCCACTCTAGGGGTGCTGAAAACTGCTCCCTACATCGCAGTGTCATTCAGGAAATCAGGAGCCTAAGGGACTGGAGTATACATTGGTAGTCCCTTCCCAGCATCCATTTCCCCTTTTTATTCCGAGGCACATCTGCTTTAGGGACTCCAAATGTCCTTCCAGTACCTGTTCTTCCTTTCTTACTTAGTAACACAATCCTGATTTTTATCTGAGTGCTTTGTCTTTGGGACAAAGACTATATTTTTCTAGCTTCCTTTGCAGCTAGGAAAGGCCATATGACTAAGTTTTGGTCAATGTGATATAAGTGGATGTATTGTGTGACACTCCAGAAGGACAACCTAAAGAAGCTGACTGAGCTGAAAAGTCAACTTCTCTTCACTCTTTCCCCCTTCATCTTTCTGCCTGGAGTACAGATGTGATGGCTGGAGCTCTAGCAGCTATTTTGGATGGAAAACACCTACTGGAATAGTAGAGCAGGAAGTTTAAAGGTCCTTGTTTCCCTGATGACTGAACTGTTAAAGCTGTCATATCAGCCTTGGGCTTTCTACCTTTGCACTTGTCTTAAACGAAAGAAAAATAAACTTTTGTTTATTCACTTTTATTTGGGGTTTTCTGACATATGCAGCTAATCCTATCCTAACTGTTACTGTCCCCTTCATGTCCTCTCAGGGGAGCTGAGGCTCTGTGGCTGGAACCTGGGACTTAGGCCTGAATTAATCAGAGCAATGCACTCCACTGGCCGTAAGTATATTTCAGGAGTGGGCATATGACCAGTCAGAATGAATCCTGGACTCAACAATGGGAGGTTGTGAAGCTGGAGCTGTTGGCAGCCATCTGGAGGGGACAGTTTGTCCTGGTGACCTTATGGTATGGTTCACTGTGTCCCCACCCAAATCTCATCTTGAATTGTATCTCCCATAATTCCCATGTGTTGTGGGAGGGTCCTGGTGGGAGGCAATTGAATCATGCAGGCAATTCTTTCCTGTGCTGTTCTCATAATAGCAAATAAGTCTAATGGTATCTGATGGTTTTATAAAGGGGAGTTCCCCTGCACATTCTTTCTTGCCTGCCACCATGTAAGACGTGACTTTGCTCCTCATTCACCTTCCACCATTATTGTGAGGCTTCCCCAGCCATGTGGAACCGTGAGTCAATTAAACCTCTTTCCTTTATAAATTACCCAGTCTCTGTTATGTCTTTATTAGCAGTGTGAGAACAGACTAATACACATTACTTGAATCCTGGATTAAGCTTTGCTTGAAGTTAGACCTATCTCTAGACTTTTCATATAAGTGGGCCAATATATTCTCTTTTTGTTTAAGTCAATTTAAGTTTTTGGTTGCTTGTCTCCAAAAGAGTCAAGTTTGATTCTGGTCTTTCTATTTGGTTTAATTAGTCTTAGTGCTTAATTGGTCTTTCTACTTTCACACTTGCCCTGACTGGTGTTGTCTTGGTAACCCTCAATGCTTTAACAAATGGACCCCAGATTTCTTGGATCACTTCTTCTCATATTATTTTGGCAAGACAGGTTAAAAGGCCACACCTAACTTTGAAAGAGTTTGGGAAATGTAGTCTAACTGCACATGCAGAAGGAAGAGGAGAGCCAGGACCCTGCAGCACCATTAGCCCTCCCTGCCATCCCACCCTCTAATCCCTCCTATCTCCTGCAGCCACAGTGGCCCTTTTGATATGTGAATTGTCACATGTCATTCCCCTGGATAAGGTTCGTCAGCAGCTTCCTGGGAACTCAGATTCTCCTCCATGGTCCGTGAGGCCCTGCCTGATCTGGCTCCTGCCAGTTCTCTAACCCCCATCTGAATCCCAGGAGTGCCCTGGCTCCTTTCCCATCTGCCACGTTGGCCTCAGGTCAGCTTCTATGGCTTGCTGGGCCTTTCCAGCCTCAGAACTTTCTACTGCTGAAATGCCTTTCCCCCAGTTTTTCATAAGGCTGGCTCCTTCTCACCCTCCAGGAACCCTCTTGAGAGTGACTTCCTCAGAGAGGCCTTTCTGGAACACCCTACCCAATATAGGTCTTCCCTCTTATTCTTTTTTGTTGTTGTGGTTGCCCAGGCTGGAACGCAATGGTGCGATCTCAACTCACTGCAACCTCCTCCTCCTGAGTTCAAGTGATTCTCCTGCCTCAGCTTCCTGAGTAACTGGGGTTATAGGGGCCCGCCACCATGCCTGGCTAATTTTTGTATTTTTAGTAGAGAAAGGGTTTCATCATTTTGGCCAGGCTGGTCTTGAACTCCCAGCCTTAGGTGGTCCGCCCACCTCAGCCTCCCAAAGTGCTGGGATTACAGGAGTGAACCACCGTGCCCAGCTTCCTTCTTATTCTTTATCACAGGACTAAATTAGGTAATGGTTTATTTGCTTCCTATTTTTAGTCTGCCTTCCACTCTAGAATATAAGGTCCAGGATGGGGTGACTGTGTCTGTCTGTTCCATTCCATCTGCAGAGCACCCACCTTGCAGAGTCTGGTACACAGCAGGTGCTCAAAGGGTTTTATTGAAAGAATGGATGGATGGATGGATGGATGGATAGGTGGATGGATGAATAGGTGGATGGATGAATGGATGGATGGATGGATGAATCGATGGATGGATGGATGGATGGATGGATGGATGGATAGATGGACGCATGGATAGATGAATAGATGGATGGATGAATAGATGGATGGATGAATGGATGAATGGATGGATGAATAGATGGATGGATGGATGGATGGATGGATGGATAGATGGATGCATGGATAGATGAATAGATGGATGGATGAATAGATGGATGGATGGATGAATGGATGGATGAATAGATGGAGGGATGAATAGATGGATGGATGGATGAATGGATGGATGGATGGATGGATGAAGTGTCTTTCATGCCCATCTGTGGATGCTGGAAAGTTAAAATGTACCTTCTATTTATAATGCTACATAACATTAAAGAAGTTTGCCAGGGCCTGCTCTAAAATGTCCGCCAGAAGGAAGGGAGGGAATGGAAGCCATTCATATTCCCCCACAGAGCCCCTGAGTTTATTGTATGTTAGAGGAGGGCTTTGCTTTTGCTTTATTTCTTATGCTCTGCATACTAGTGGAATGAAGCCCAGGGCACTGGGCAGTGGAAATGTGAGCACCTACTCCAAAAGGCACTGCATCAAACCAGGCACTAGGAGTTGCTCTCCTCATTCTGCCCACTTGTCACACATTTGTTTAGCATAGTTGCTGCCTCAGCATCCATGTTTAGGCCTAATCTAAGTTATTTGAAACCCGATGTATCCTGTCATCTTTGGCCTGGTTACAACTTCCCCTCCCTTTGTGGTTGTTTTTGATATAGCCTGCTCATTTTTCATCTTACTGACCCAAAACTCAACACAGCCCACAGCTGCTCACCACGATCAAACCTAAGGGTCAACACCAGTCACGTAAATACGTTTCCCACTTTGTGTATGTTTTCTTTGCACTAGCCAATCCACAACCCCCAAGGGAAAGCCTAAGGAATGATGCCCATGAATCTTAATAAAGTCCCACAGGTCCTGTCCCCGCTGCCCCCCAATGGTTGAGCTCCATGCCATCTCTGGACTTCTGTCAGCACTCCTAACCTTTCTGGGACCTGTGAGTAATAAATTTCTTCTGTTCATGCATTTTGGTTTCACTTTCTGTCGTTATCTCACATGATACACACACACAAACTTAACCCCCTCCCATCTGGCCTCTCTTAGAGAGCAGCTGTCTTGATTTATAGCCACTCCTAACAGGAGGAATCCTACCAGTAGTCTCTTAACTGAACTAGGAGCACAGCTTCCTTGCTTGTGTCTGGCCCCTGGAGCTTACATCTCAGAGGCAACTTACCTCCAGCCCTGTTCTTTTCTCCTGTGAGATGTCCCAGTGAGATTTAAAATGTCAGAAATCTGGACACTAAGACCATTTGGATTTTGGCCAATGGACCTTAAGATGCCAGGAAGGGTCTCACCTGCTCTTGAAAACAGCTTTTGAATTTTAATTCTACCTGGAAGGTGTAATGGGAGCATTCCCTTGTGCTTTTGGAGCTCACTCACAGGCATTGAGGTGTTCCTAGCAGCCGAGGGAAGGAGGGAGATGTCAGGCAAGTGCTTTGCCCAAGGTGACTTAATGAGTCAGGGCTGGAATGGGCATCATGAGGGCAGGCGCTGAGCCTGCAGACTGGGTCCTACCCTTCCTACGCACACACACACACACACACACACACACACACACAGACACAGACACACACACACACACCTCTTCTAATGGGATATAATAAAATACAGATAAAGAAGCTCCAGAAGGAAAATTCCTCCTGTTAAAGTTTGCTGTGTTCCTCCCACATGGCCATTCTGGCTCCTCAGAATGTAATACAACTGCGATCTTCTTTTCACAAAAAGATTACTCTATGTGTCAAATTTACAAAAGAATTAAATTAGGAATTGATTTAAAAAAGAATCATAACAACGGTTCTTTAAACAGAGAGGTACCTTGGAGGCATTTCAAATGATTTGATTTATAAACACTTAATTTGCACACAACCTTTCAGATAAATATAATGTGCAGGGAGGAAGGTAGATGGATGTGATTTGTGTGGGCGCAATGTACCTGCTGCTTCTAAACCTTGTATGTATTTCTGTGATTCAATCTATCATAATTTATGTGTTGTGATCACTTGTTTTCATGTCTGTTTTTACCATTACAGTGTGAGTCTCATCCTGGCAGGGAGTAGTATATCTTGATCGCCTTTGTCTCTTCAATACCCAGCAGGGTCATTGACAGCAAGATTTGTGTCTTATTTTCTTTCTACCCTTAGCACCTACCTTAGGGACTGTCATTCAGGAACACAAGAAAATGTTTTTTGAATTGAACTAGGTAAGTATGATTTTTCCTCTTAGAGAGTAGTGTAGATTTTTGTACTTGTAGAAGGCTTCTTATTGGGATAGACCACTAAAACTATTATTTAATGTTCCCAGTCATAGGCCATCTGTAGGAACTCTGGCTTTCTGCTGAGGGGTTCATTTATTGAATGCCTATCATGTGTCAAGCACTGAGCTATAGCTGGAGATACAGTGAGTGAGGCAATCAGATTTCTGCACCTGTGAAGCTTGCAGCGAAGGGGCATGGCAGAGAAATAAGAAATAGACAACAATGGTGGGTAAGATTGGGGAGAGGGTGCACAGGCAGAGGGGAAATAATGTTTACTGAAGGACAAAGAGGAGCTGGCCATGCAGTAGGAATGGCAAAGACATTCCATGTGCAAGGAATAGAAGGCAATTTGGCATAGCCAGAGCACAGAGAGGAAGGCACTGAGAGGGAAGAGACAAGTGGTGGAGGTTGGCCAGGGCAGGCTGGGAGAGGCCGTGTTGCCTGTGTGGAAGAGTGTGGAGTGGATCCTGAGGGAAGATGAGGGAAAGTGCGCATGGTGGCTCTGGCGGCAGTATGGAGGATGTATTGGAGAGACTAACACTTGGAGTTTGGATTTTTAATGTCCAAGGAAGCATTTTATTGTGGAAATAAACAAAAAGACCAACCAAATGAGAACAAGCAAAGGCTGTTTATTCAGAGCTTGCTCTAGCAAGGGACTCAATCTCTGTCATTTGAGTTTTGGCAGAGACTCAAAGGCAGGCAGAGGAGTGGGGAAGTTTTAGAGTGGAAAAAGAGAAGGCTTCAGTTATGCTCTGACTGGAGGCTGTTGGCCTGGGGAAGCTGCAGGTGAGCTAAATGGAAGCGGGCACCCTATGGCATTGCTTAGGGGAGCACATTTGGTTTACTGTGGTTGGTTCTGAGTTGGAAGCAGAGACAAAAACTAGGAAAGCTGTCAGTTATTCATGAAGTCCTGGCCATCTTGGGTTGATTGTCACAGAAGTTATTGTTTGGCTTCTTGCATTGTGACTAGAGATAGCAGCTTGACTTCCTCTAAGTCTGACTTGGAGCAGGTTGGCTTCCTGTGCTGGTTATTGTGGATAAGGGGTTGGTTTCCTGGGCAGGCTGCTGCTGCAGGTGTGAACCAGAGTTCTGTGTTTATATAGGATCTGGCCATTGTTTGTCTGGATATTCGGGCTCCCATTATCATTAATGAGAATTATTTATTTATAGTTACAGATATTTAAATTAGTGTTACAAATAAGAGCAATTACTTTCATTAATGCACATTAAATATCCTTAAAAATTATTCCTAATCATGAAGTTAACCAATTAAATTATCTTAAACATATTGTACTGTGTTTATTTATCTACTTATTATATTTGGCTTTTTTCAAGTACTCCATGTGCCTGATTGGGAAGATTTACAACCCTAAAAGGCAACAGTTTTCTAAGCATTGAAATATTTCTTGTAACTATAATAAATAAATAAAAATTTTTTTGAGATGGAGTCTTGCTCTGTTGCCCAGGCTGGAGTGCAGTGGTGCGATCTTCGCTCACAGCAACCTCTGCCTCCTGGGTTCAAGCGTAAATCAAAATTTTAAATGTTTCAAAGCATATTATTTTAAATATTCCAAAAATCTTTATCAACCTGATCAAATATTAGTATATCTTTAACAACTTAAAAAAAAATCCCAAATCTGAAAATCACATAGCTTTACCAATATGCCATATTAATCACTGTATTTTTTTGAGACAGGGTCTCACTAATAAGAATTAGAATAAGAATTATTTAATCTTTGTAGGGGTGGGTTGCCCCTCCACACCTATGGGTGTTTCTCGTAAGGTGGAACGAGAGACTTGGGAAAGAAAAAGACACAGAGACAAAGTATAGAGAAAGAAATAAGGGGACCCGGGGAACCAGCGTTCAGCATATGGAGGATCCCGCCAGCCTCTGAGTTCCCTTAGTATTTATTGATCATTCGTGGGTGTTTATCGAAGAGGGGGATGTGTCAGGGTCACAAGACAATTGTGGGGAGAGGGTCAGCAGACAAACATGTGAACAAAGGTCTTTGCATCATAGACAATGTAAAGGATTAAGTGCTGTGCTTTTAGATATGCATACACATAAACATCTCAATGCTTTACAAAGCAGTATTGCTGCCCACAGGTCCCACCTCCAGCCCTAAGGCGGTTTTTCCCTATCTCAGTAGATGGAGCATACAATCGGGTTTTATATCGGGACATTCCATTGCCCAGGGACAGGCAGGAGACAGATGCCTTCCTCTTGTCTCAACTGCAAGAGGCATTCCTTCCTCTTTTACTAATCCTCCTCAGCACAGACCCTTTACGGGTGTCAGGCTGGGGGATGGTCAGGTCTTTCCCTTCCCACGAGGCCATATTTCAGACTATCACATGGGGAGAAACCTTGGACAATACCTGGCTTTCCTAGGCAGAGGTCCCTGCAGCCTTCCGCAGTTTTTGTGTCCCTGGGTACTTGAGATTAGGGAGCGGTGATGACTCTCAAGGAGCATGCTGCCTTCAAGCATCTGTTTAACAAAGCACATCTTGCACCGCCCTTAATCCATTTAACTCTGAGTTGACACAGCACATGTTTCAGAGAGCACGGGGTTGGGGTTAAGGTTATAGATTATCAGAATCTCAAGGCAGAAGAATTTTTCTTAGTACATAACAAAATGGAGTCTCCTATGTCTACTTCTTTCTACACAGACACAGTAACAATCTGATCTCTCTTGCTTTTCCCCACAAATCTTCACATGTATTCTATTATTATTATGTTTAGATAGGGTCATATGGTTTGGCTGTGCCCTGACCCGAACCTCATCTTGAATTGTAAGCCCCATAATCCCCAGGGGCTTAAGGGGAGGGAGGGACCTGGTAGGAGGTGATTTGAACATGGGGGTGGGGAATCATGCTGTTCTCTTGATAGTGAGTGAGTTCTCACAAGATCTGATGTTTTATAAACGGCAGTTTTCCCTGGGCTTTTCTGTCTCTCCTGCTGCCTTGTGAACAAGGTGTCTGTTTCCCCTTCCGCCACAATTGTAAGTTTTCTGAGGCCTCCTCAGCCATGCAGAACTGAGTCAATTAAGCCTCTTTCCTTTATAAATTACCCAGTCTCAGGTATTTCTTTATAGCAGTGTGAAAATGGAGTAATATACAGGGTCTCATTCCCGTCGCCCAGGCTGGAGTACAGTGGTGCGATCTCAGCTCACTGCAGCCTCTACTTCCTCGGTTTAAGTGATCTTCTCAGCCTCCTGAGTAGCTGGGACTACAGGCACATGCCACGCCCAGCTAAGTTTTTGATTTTTTTTTTTTTTGGAAAAAGAAGGTCTCTCTATGTTGCCCAGGCTGGTCTTGAACTCCTGGGCTCAAGCAATCCTACTACCTCGGCCTCTCAAAGTGCTGGGATTACAGGCATGAGCCACCATGCCTGGCCTAATCACTGCATTTTAAATAACAGTGGTACACAGATTGTTCTGAAGATTACAAATCCTAGTCCTCTAGTTAGTGGTATTAAATTATAGATTTAAAAAATAAATAAATTATAGGTTTAGTGTATTCATTTTTAAACCTGTTTGTAAAGTCACTTATCCAAGTAAAAGAAGCAGTTTTTGCACATCAGGCAAGGTTACTGAGTCATAAAATTAGAACTACAATATTGTTACTTTTCAGTCAGATATTTGAGACTGTGACCTTGGGTGGGACCTGGTACTACATACTTCCTGGATGATTCTACTCAAGTCCCTGGAGAACTCTGGGTCCTTTTCTCCCTTCCCTTCCCTTCCCTTCCCTTCCCTTCCCTTCCCTTCCCTTCCCTTCCCTTCCCTTCCCTTTCCTTCCCTCCCCTCCCCTCCCCTCCCCTCCCTTCTCTTCCCATCCCCTTCCCTTCCCTTCTTTTCTCTTTCCTACCCTTCTCTTCTCTTTCCTTCCCTTCTCTTCTCTTTCCTTCCCTTCTCTTCTCTCTCTCTCTCTCTCTCTCTCTCTCTCTCTCTCCCCCTCTCTTTAAAAAAAATAAAGATGGGGTCTTGCTATGTTGCCCAGGCTGGTCTTGAACTCCTGGGCTCAAGTGATCCTCCTGCCTTGTCTTCCCAAGGTGCTAAAATTACAGGCATGAGCCACTGTGGACTTGGGTCTTTTTCTAGAGCCAGGTTCTGTCTTCCATTGTCGATGGGTAACCTCCATCTTCATACCTTCCACTGGGGTTTACTGCAGCTCAGTGCATTCCATTTCTTTTGGGAGTCTTTCACCATTAACCATTGTTTCCCTTAACTTGTTTCAGCCCTCACCTGTGTTGTGGCTGATTCCATCACCACTTGATTGGATTACATGAATCTCTTTACCATCTAATTGAATTCTGAATTCCTCACATATTTTGCTGTGCAACCTGTCTAAGGAGTCAGGTTAGGAGGCTGTTATAGTCAGAGGCAGATGTGGTGGTCACCTGGATGTGGGGGTGGAGATGACCCCAGAGCTTCTTAGGGCAGGGATCAAATAAGATTTAGTGACTGATTAGATGCTGGAGAAGAGGATGTTGAGGGAAGAAGAAAGAGTCAGAGAAGCTGCCCAGATTTCTGCATTAGACAACTGGGTAGAAATGTGTTTTACATAAAAATCACTGATCATTTATTGAAAACTAAGTACTTACATGAAACTGATTTAATTAGCCAAACAAATGGTAATTTGTAAACAGACAGATACAACCTACTAGAGGCAATGGGGTCAAGTGACCAAGGATTGGGAGTCAGGGAACCTTTCCCAGCTTTGCCACTGACTTTCTAGTTGCCCTTGGGATAAATCCTGTGTGCTCTGTGGGCTTCCCTCTCTTGTAAATAAGAACATCTGCCTAAAGCCTGAGTTCTGTTAACTCTAAAATGCATAAAACTGTCAAATGAGAGGGTTGGATTAAGCAAAGTTGCACAAGCTTCTCTGATAATTTGATGAACACCAAGCACCCTCTCCCTGGGAAAATGCAGGGAATATTTACATACGCTTTCTCCGGGTTCATTCCTTCCTCCTCTCACCCCCAACACTCATGGATTAGATGGACTTCAAAGCTCTTTCATGTTGTTACATGTCCTCTTCAGCATTTAAAATCTCCTTACCTTTTCCAAAGAAACAACATAAAAATGATGATGCCTTTGTTAGTTGCTGTGTTCTTTCTTTTCCCTTTGAATTACCCCCGCTATCTATTTAAAGAGGAGTCCCTCAGGGCAAAGGCTGTCTCTGTCCTTGTTTCAGTGGCTGGAATGCAGTTGGATGCTTAACAACACCTAATTATAATAATATGGATTAGGGTATAATGCCATCTGTAAACCTTGGTAAGCTTAGGATAGATTAATAATATTTTAACAATCTGTACGAAACAGTAGATGGACATCATTTAAGGGAGTGTAAAAGGGAACTTTTGCTTCTATGGTGCAATACAGGATTAATTAAACATCCCCCAGGAGTTTATCTCTAAGAATCCATGTCTCACAGTGAATATATATATATTTTTTTTCAAGAATTATTCAAAGTTATCAAGATGAATCACTAGACCTTCTGTTATTAAAACCCTTTATTCAGAACAGTAACCTGATCTTCAAGGTTAGCTTTCTGTATACTACCTGGAACCCTGATGGAAAGATTTGGTTTGGTTAGAGATGTTTTCTGGTTGACTGAGGATTTACCCCTTGAACAAAATCTTTTCTTTTTTCTTTAACCATTTTGGAGAAAGAAATTTCTGAAATGTGCTGTACACTTCACTGCCCTCTGAAACAGATGATCTGGAACATAACGTTCCCTTATGGGCATTGATTATTACATTGTGGTATGCGGTAGTCTTTAACAACTTTTAGGGCTAGGTAATCTTATTCCTATTGAAGTAGATGTAGAATTGTTTGCTTCAACACTACTTAGCCCCAGTCTACAGATTTTGATTTTTGTTGGAGTTATCCAGGCGCATAGTTCAAAGAGACAACCAGATCTTGTGGGTTTGTTAAAAAAAACAAGTCCCAGGCTGCCTTGCACCTATTTCCCTTCCCCTACAGGGAACCACTTTTTTTTTTTTTTGAGACAGTCTCGCTCTGTCGCCCAGACTGGAGTGCAGTGGCACGATCTCGGCTCACTGCAAGCTCCGCCTCCTGGGTTCACGCCATTCTCCTGCCTCAGCCTCCAGAGTAGCTGGGACTACAGGCGCCTGCCACCACGCCCGCCCGGCTAATGTTTTGTATTTTTTAGTACAGACGGGGTTTCACCATGTTAGCCAGGATGGTCTCGATCTCCTGACGTCGTGATCCACTCGTCTCGGCCTCCCAAAGTGCTGGGATGAACCACTTATATATATATATTTTTAGCTGATTAAAAATTACCTTCCATATCTTAAATCCCATGGTTGTATTGCTACTTTTTTACTTTCCTCTTTTAGACTCTATCTATTGAATCCCACTATGGAAGATGAGAATTTAACTCTTGCCTTATCCCATCCCTACCATGCACTCACTTCCCATCCTCCCAAGATAATTTATCTTTTTTTTTTTTTGAGACGGAGTCTCGTACTGTTGCACGAGCTGGAGTGCAGGGGCGCAATCTCGGTTCACTGCAACCTCCACCTCCAGGGTTCAAGCAATTCTCCTGCCTCAGCCTCCTGAGTAGCTGAGATTACAGGCACCTGCCACCACACCCAGCTAATTTGTTGTTGTTGTTGTATTTTTTAGTAGAGACGGGTTTCACCATGTTGGCCAGGTGGTCTCAAACTCCTGACCTCGTAATTCGCCCGCCTCAGCTTCCCAAAGTGCTGGGATTACAGGCGTGAGTCACCAAGCCAGGCCCCCCAGTTTATCTTTTTAATTAAATCAATATCCAGTGTTTACATTATTATGACTCTATATACTAGTGAGAGATCAGCCATGTATAAAACTCTAATTACTTTTTTTTCTGCGTAATTTTTTGGGTTTTTTTCTCAAGTTAATAATTGTTTTGTTTGTTAGATTATTTTTTCAATTTGCTTTGATGTTCTGTGTATTTAGTTCTGATTCAACCAATTGTCTAAATCAGTGCTTCTCAGACTATCTGTGATAAAGAACTAGTTTTTAAAATTGCTACTTTGTTACAGGCAGATACTTTTATAAAATACAATAAAAATATACTTCTAGAACAAACTGTTCACAGCACCAGTTGTCTGGCCACACTTGGTGTAGCACTGTTCAAGTCTTCTTTCAATGCATCTAAACACACTGGGTGTTCTCTCGGTTTTGGCTTTTTGAGGAAGCCTCTCTGGAGCCTTTTGATGTGACAATATGGATTGGTTGCCTTCAATAAACCAAGTGCATGTCTGTTTCATGGGTCAGATTCTCCTTTTCCTTCAGCCTTGGGCTTCTCTTTGCTTTCTTATTCTGGTTCCTCGATCCTGTGCCTTCCTCATTCACAAGTTAACCCTTCTTATGCATGGGCACATCCTCCAGTGGCTTCCTAGAAAAGTGTATGTGGAAAATAAATGTTTTGAATGTCAAAAAAAGAAAATATTTTTATTTTACTCTCTTGTCTGCTTATTTGCCTGAATATAGAATTCTTGGTTGGAACTAACTTTTCTTCAGAATGTTTGATTGTCTTCTGGCTTCCAGTGTTGCTGTTGAGAAGTCTAAGACCATTCTGGTTCCAGAACTTATCTTTATTTTTGGAATCTTACAAGGTTTTTCCATGAACATTGGTATTCTATATTTCACATCATGTAGATTTCTTTTTCATCCTTTATTCTGGGAACTTTTAATTCTCAGAAATGTTCTTAAATAATTTTCTTCATTCTCAGTCTTTCATGTTCTCTTCCTGGAAGTACTATTGTCTATAAGTTGACCTGCTGGATTGGTCTCTTATGTAAGGGTCCTCTGAGTCAATGGATTTGGTTCTCTGCTTTCCCCTCTGCTGACTTAGAAATTAGCATTTTCCAGGCTAAGTCATCTGTCCTTGTAGCTACCAAAATTATGCATGATTGCCTCCTCTCCCACCCTAGTGGATTTACGCCTTTTTATAGTAATTTTAGTGGAGTTTCAGGAGGGAACAAAATTAGATGTCAGTCTGCCGTCGTCCCCCAGTACCTGGTGTCTGCTTCCTATTGTTCTCAGATTGCCAACTGTACATTCCCTTCAACCAGGTAACATAATAGTTGAGGTTGTAGCTGTTGGATTCCAGCCCCACTGATGTCCCTTGCCAGCTGTTTGACCTTGGACAAATTACTTCACCTCTCAGAAATTCAGTTTGTTCATCTCTCTGATGGGGAGAATAATAATACCTACCCCATGTGATTGTTGTGAGCACTAAAGGATCGTGTAGTGAATACACCATCGCTGTTCCATATGTGGTAGCTATTATTGCCACTCCTGCGGGAGGCTTGACCTTTCCTCCTCTTCTCTATCAAAAATAGTCTATGGACTAGAAAATTGCATTGCCATGCAAGTTAGACTGAAGTAAGACTCCCCAGGAGCTCTCCTAAGGTGTAATGGATAAACATTATTGCATAGACTTTATGGCATCTATTAATAGTTTGGCTGCCCAGAAACTTAGATTTTAGTTTTAGCTATTCTCCCCAGAATGGTCAAGATACTCTCTCCAAAATGCTGATCTTGTCAGTGAATGTCCTGAGTCTTCATGATGAAGGCCAAGTCCCTAGCAAGGTGTCAAGGCATCTTCCTGTATCTCTGGCCTTGTGCGCCACCCACTGTGGCCCACAGGACTTGAGGTCCTGCTTATATCCTTCTCTCTCAAGTTTTCCTCTGCCAGCCCTGCAGAGTGCAGAGCCAAGCCTGCTCTTCCCTCAAGATTCAGTGTAGCTTTCACCCAATTCTGGAAGCCTTTTTTGGCCTTTCCCTACCTCCGCTTCTGTCTCTCAGTTCACACGCTGGGTTAGTGCATCTTCTGAGACTCATTACCTTCTGTGTGTACACCCCTCTGTCACAGTGCTTGTGACTATTGTAGGTGTTTACTTATCTTTCCCACCCACAAAACTGTAATTGCTCTGTAGCTAGTGGATGTGACCTTCTTATTGTTTTATTCTTAGAACCCAGTATGGTGCCTGCTACATCTTAAGTGTTTATAATTTTTGAAGTGAAATATTATTTACTGAATGAATGTATGAATGAAAAGGCCTCACATATTAGTTTGGTTTCACCTACTTGCAGAATAAAATTCTCAAATTGCGGAACTTGAAAATGTTATATATATATATATATATATATATATATATATATATATATATATATTTTTTTTTTTTTTTTTTTTTTTTTTTTTTTTTTTTTTTGAGACAGAGTCTCTCTCTGTCGCCCAGGCTGGAGTGCAGTGGTGCCAAGGCTCACTGCAAGCTCTACCTCCTGGGTTCACGCCATTCTTCTGCCTCAGCCTCCCAAGTAGCTGGGACTACAGGCACCCGCCACCACGCCTGGCTAATTTTTTGTATTTTTAGTAGAGACGGGGTTTCACCATGTTAGCCAGGATGGTCTCGATCTCCTGACCTCGTGATCTGCCTGCCTTGGTCTCCCAAAGTGCTAGGATTACAGGCGTGAGCCACTGCACCCAGCCCAAAATGTTGTATTTTTTATAGAACTTCAGTGTTCAATGCCTGCCAGAATAACAATATTTACTTGGCATTGTACTTAAAAGCCTATTTGGGTAGGGACATTACGATCGAGGTGCTGGAAATGCTCCAGTCCTCTTCTTCATGCTTACCAGCTGCCTGGTGCATCTAGCATGAGAGCGATCACCATGTAATAATGCCCTAAGCAGACTAATATGGTTTGGGTCTGTGTCCCCCACCAAATCTCATGTCGAATTGTAATCCCCAGTGTTGGAGCATGGTCCTCGTAGGAGGCGATTAGATCGTGGGGCCGGATTTCCAGCTTGGTACTGTTCTGGTGATAGTGAGTGGGTTTTCGTGACTTCTGGTCATTTAAAAGCGTGTGGCACCTCCCCTTTCTCTCTCTTGGGCCTGCGCCTGCCATGTAAGATGCCTGCTCCCACTTTGCCTTCCACCATGAGTCAAAGCTCCCTGAGGCCTCCCCAGAAGTAGGTGCTGCCATGCTTCCTGTATAGCCTGCAGAACCATGAGCCAAACACACCTCTTTTTAAGATAACTTACCCAGTCTCAAGTATTTCTTTATAGCAATGTAAGAATGAACTAATACACAGACACAGGCGGCAGCTCTGTAACTTTTCTAAGAAGCCCAGCAATAACATTTCAGTCACTTTTGTGGGTGCTCATTGCCCTTCCTAAAATACAAACACTCTGCATGCTGTTTCCAGCCAAATTAAGACAGGGCAAGCTTTACATGTCTAATGAAGGAACAGCTCAGAAGATTAGGAACAAAGCATTTCGGTCACACGAACATACGTTTCAGACATGTGAGGGCAGGGACTCCCGTTCATCCACCAATAGGTTCTATCAGCTTCAGCTTTTATCCTAGTTGCTCCTGAAGGAATCTGGATTAACATAATGAGGGTGCTCATGAACCAGCTCATTATCATTTTAAAAAACTTCAGGGCCAAATAAAACACCAGACTTTATTTTCAAGCTGTACTACCGACAGACTTTTATTTAATGAACTATTTTCTGCTTACAGATGGAGGTGGAAGTTGTATTCACAAGCTCTAAATGTCAGCCTTCATCTTTAGACCTAGTGGAAAGCAAAGAAGACAAAACGTGATGCAATGAACCTTGTTATGGTACCCAAAATATGGGGATCTAGCTTCTGTTAGCATGCCTGCATCCCTGTCTTGGCCCCACTGATGAGGAGCAGGCAAGATAGGGATTCTGAGTATGAAGGAAGTTACTGAAGCAATTAACAATCAGAGTGTCTGATTAGTGCTATAATTTCAAATGTAAACAACAACAAAAAACCTTTTAGATTTCAGGTGAGAATTGCACTCTTCAAAGATGGTTCCTCTCTGTGGCTGTAGTTAGTGTAGTGAATTGGATATTCTTGGATTGAGTCAATTTTATATCTCAAGTATATTTTTCTTTTCTTTCTTTCTTTCTTTTTTTTTTTTTTTTTTGAGACAGAGTTTTGTTCTTGTTGCCCAGGCTGGGGTATGCAATGGCACGTTCTTGGCTCACTGCAACCTCTGCCTCCCAGGTTCAAGTGATTCTCCTGCCTCAGCCTCCCAAGTAGCTGGGATTACAGGCATGTGCCACCACACCCGGCTAATTTTTTGTACTTTCAGTAGAGACAGGGTTTCTCCATGTTGGTCAGGCTGGTCTCGAACTCCCGACCTCAGGTGATCTGCCTGCCTCAGCCTCCCAAAGTGCTGGGATTACAGGCATGAGCCACCGTGCCTGGCCCCAAGTATATTTTTCATCTCTCAATATGCATTCATGTTTTACCAAAAGAAAGTGAAGACTCGTCTGGGCACGGCGGCTCACGCCTGTAATCCCAACACTTTGGGAGGCTGAGGCGGGTAGATCACAAAGTCAGGAGATTGAGACCATCCTGGCCAATATGGTGAAAATCCACCTCTACTAAAAATACAAAAATTAGCCAGGCGTGGTGGCGTGTGCCTGTAGTCCCAGCTACTCAGGAGGTTGAGGCAGGAGAATTGCTTGAACCCAGGAGGCAGAGGTTGCAGCGAGCTAAGATCGCACCACTGCACTCTAGCCTGGGAGAAAGAGCGAGACTCCATCTCAAAAAAAAAAAAAAAAAAAAAAAAAAGAAAAGAAAAAGAAAGTGAAGACCCATCTATAGCAGCGTCTCTTCCAGGAAATTCAAAAGACACTGACAAAGCAAGATCAAAATTACAAAATTGACTTTGAGGAACAAGTCAATGGTGTTAAGCAGCCTTATCATTATTAAATGGAATAAAAAACTATTATATGCATATGAGCCCAAAGCAAAATCGATCAGAAGAGTTAATCACCCTCATCAAGTCACATTTCTTGAAGTGCCCTCTGGGTGCAATTTATCACTGCTTTTGGATGCTGGCCGTTCATCTCTTCAAGGGCAACAGACTCAGAATAGGAAGCTGCTCTGGACCTTGGTTGGGACTGGAGGGAGAGAAGGAAAGAGAAGAGGGATCCTTGGATCCATGGATTCCACTTACTGCGTTTATGTTGCTCAAGATATCAGTGGCTCCACTGACTCCAACCAACTTGGACCCACAAGATATATTAAAAAGTAATTTCTGTATTGAAGGGCTTTTATTCTTATCTGGGAGATGTAGCATGTCCTTGTGTTCCAGGCAAATTGAATTTAATTGTTTAGTGCTTTGAGCCATGTGCATTCAGGGAGCTTTATTGGATAACCTGTTTATTGATTTATAGTCCCTTGGCCGTAGAAGAGGCACAAGGGAGAGCTAATGATGGTCTGAGTGTGTGTCTTCCACTCATCAAGCCCTGGGCAGAGACCGGTGGGCTATGGGTCTCCTCTCCCAGAGGCCTCTAAAGTCCCCAGACTTGTCCTGATGTGGCTTTGCTTTTGCTCATCACCTGGGAATTGGACCCAAGGAGGCATTACGTTTTACACATCAAAAATACAGGCATCTCCTTCTGTTTCCTAAAACTGAGGAAAGTAGTTACTATTGATCCATTGCCCATTCTGGCCAGGCATGTGCTAGTAGTGATTTTGCCCATTTGAACTCAAATCTTCACATTCTCATGGCAGATTTTATTATTTCCATCTTACATATGAGGAAACAAAAACTCAGAGAGGTGAAGTGACTTGCCCGCCACTATTTAAATGATATAGCCAGGGTTTAAACCCAGGTCTGTCTGATTCATTCTCTTTTTGCTCTGAATCAACAAGAGACTGGTGTGTGTGTGTGTGTGTGTGTGTGTGTGTGAGTGTGTTTGTGTGTGAGAAAGACAGAGAGAGAAAGAGAGAGGTCTGTATTTATATCTGCATGAAATTGGGACCATACTTTATATATGGAGAAAGTCTGGGTTCCATAAAAGTTAAACAGAATTACCATATGATGCACCAATTTCTCTCCTAGGTATATACCCCAAAGAATTCAAAACAGGGACTCAGATACTTGTACACCAATGTTCACTGCAGCATTATTCACAGTGGCCAAAGGTGGAAACAACTCAAGCGTCTATCAACTGATGAATGGATAAACAAAGTGTGACATATATATGCAATGGAATATTATAGCCATAAAAAAGAAGTTCTGATTATGCTACCACATGGATGAACTTTGCAAACATTATGCTCAGTGAAACAATCCAGACACAAAAAGACAAATACTGCATGATTTCACTTATATGAGGTACCTAGAACAGGCATATTCATAGAGATACAAACTAGAATAGAGGTTACCAGGGGTTGGGGGAGGGGAAATGGGGAAGTTTCTGTCTTGGATGATGAAAAACTTTTGGGAATAGATAGTGGTAATGGTTACACAGTGTTGTGAAGGCCAATGCCACTAGATTGTACACTTAAAAATGGTTGAAACGGTGAGCTTTGTGTTGTATATATTTTACCACAATTTATTTAAAAGCCTGGCATGATGCAAAGAGTCAAACACACCTGGATGTGACTCCTACCACCTGTATAAATTGGGCAAGTAACTTAGCATCTCTTAATCTGTTTTCTCGTTTTAAAAATGGAGATGATGATGCCTAGTTCACTAAGTTGCTGTAGGGCACAAATTGTCTAGCCAGTACTGAGCACAAAATATAAGCACTCACTATATGGTGCTGGTGGTGGAGACATTAGTAGTGGTAGTAAGTTATTATTCTTGTTAGTTTGAAAGCCCACACCAGGAAGGTTTAAACACACAGAGAGTATGACTCCTCACACACATTGACGACTGCTTAAACAATAACTGAGATTTTGCTCTTGTTTTGGAAGAATTTTTTTCAACGGAATGCCATTGAGGAACCAGGTGTTTGAAAAACGTGGCTGTGTTAAGTTAAATGAGCCTTTTTTGGACTCCAGATGGGAGCATAAAGCTGTTTGAAACCCCAACGGTCTTTTCTTGTTGATTTTCACATGACTGAAAAATGATTTGAGCACATTACAGAGGAGCAGTGATGTGTTCTTGCTGCCAGTTCATGGTTCCTATTTGGGAAAAGAAGAGATATTAGAGCAAAAACTCATAAGCCTTGAAAATAGGAGGCTTGTAATAGAAGCCTCTTTAGAGGCCTTTAATTATGGCATTGCTGAGGTGACATGCTAATTACAGGGCTCTCAGACAATTCCCTTCAGCTGAGTAGAGTCATCCATTGCCTCGTGTATCAGGAAGTGGAGTTCTGTGTTAAAAGAATTGGAAGATATCTACCAAGTTTCAAGAGACCCACAGAAGACATTTAAATACATGTAGTAGACTGTTTGATTTCTGTGCTCCGTAGAGCAGATGATCAACTCTCCCACCCGATGTATATTGAATCTGCTTTCAACACACGTGAATATTTTCTCAAATAAGCTATGCCAAATTCTTACGGGCTTTGGCTGCAGCCCCCTAATAAAGCACAGCTGTAGACCTGGAAACTTGTCCTTTGAACATTTGGAAGCATCGCTGCAGGCTACTTCCTTTGCTTGAGACACATCTGGCCACTGAAAAATAATGCGAGTTTGTATTTAACCCTCGGGTCTTTAAAGAAACTATTTGGTGGAGCTTAGCTTTAATTTATTTAGTGGTTCCCCCATGAACTGCAAGAGCGAACACGCCTCTAAAAGTAAGCCTTAGCCCTTCCTGTCACCTGTGTGTCATGGGAAAGTACTGCCTTGAATAGTGGCTAAATTTTCCTTTTCTTAATTTCCTGTGGAACTGGAAGTAAATGGGTTTTCAGGTGGCACTTAGTGTCTCACACATATCACATGCATCATACTTGCTGAAATTAATTAGATGCTTTGTATGAGAAAGCAGACTAATCATGAGAGTACAACCATTCACAGATAATTGTTGTTATATTTTGGCATAGAACTCTTCAGACTTATTTCAATGCGTGAATATCAATTTTCTTTTTTTTTTGTAAAAATGGGATCATATGGTATATAGTTTTAAAACTTGCCTTTATCAAATACCAATATATTGTGAACATCATTCCATATAATATGTTAAATGGCTGCTTAGGACTTACCATCTGGATTCCAAATAATTTATAATATTTAACTAGTTTTGCAATTGTTTGACTTTTCATTTTATTTCATTTTTTATTTTTATTTATTTATTTTTTTGAGAAGAAGTTTTGCTCTTGTAGCCCAGGCTGGAGTGCAATGGCACAATCTTGGCTCACGGCAACCTCTGCCTCCCGGGTTCAAGCAATTCTCTTGCCTCAGCCTCCCACATAGCTGGGGTTACAGGCGCCTACCACCACACCCAGCTAATTTTTGTATTTTTAGTAGAGAGGGGGTTTCACCACGTTGAAGGCTGGTCTAGAACTTCTGACCTCAGGTGATCCACCCACCTCAGCCAAAGTGCTGGGATTACAGGCGTGAGCCACCGCACCCGGCCTTCTTATATTTTTTGAGACAGCATCCCACTCTGTCATCCAGGCTGTGGTGTAGTGGCCCAGTCTCAGCTCACTGCAACCTCCACCTCCCAGGTTGAGGCAATTCTCATGCCTCAGCCTCCCGAGTAGTTGGGATTATAGGCATGTGCCACCATGCCTGGCTAATTTTTGTGTTTTTAGTAATTTGGGATTGTGTTTTGCCATGTTGGCCAGGCTGGCCTCCACTGTTTAACTTTTAGATTGTTGACCTGATGACTCATCAGCTAGAATTAGGTTCAGCTTTATTCATAGAAAACTCCAAAGAATAGGCTTAAACAAGATGAATATTTATTTCCCTTGAACATAAGATAGCCCAGAGGTGGGCAGTCTAGGGTTGCTATGGCAGCCATCAAGGACTGAGGATTCTTCTACCTTTTTGTTCTATCATTTTTCGGGATAGCTTCTGTTTTAGTTTACTTTGTCTTGCTGTAACAGTATATCTTAGGTTGGGTGGTTTATAAAGAAAAGAGGTTTATTTCACTGGTGATTCTGGTGGCTGGCAGGTTCAAGTCTGGACAGGTGCATCTGGTGAGGTCCTCAAGCTGTTTCAACTCATGGCAGAAAGTGGAAGAGGAGTGGATGTGTGTAAACAGATCACATGGTGAGAAAGGAATCAAGAGAGAGAAACCAAGGAAGCCAGGCTCTTCATAACAACATACTCTCTTGAGAATGAATTTATTCCCATGAGAGTGAGAACTTGCCCACCACTGAGGGAGGGCATTAATCTATTCACGATGGATCCACTCTCAAGACCCAGACATCTCCCACTACGCTGCACCTCCCAACACTGCCACATTGGGGATCAAATTTCAACATGAGTTTTGCCAGGGACTAAACAAATCATGGCAGCTTCAATCCCCAGGGTCACTTCTTGGCTCAAAAAGAGCTGGACATCACATCCAAGTTCCAGATAATGCAGAGGAGAACGTAATAAAGGGTCCAAAGCGTTCCTCCCCAGCCAAATCAGCTGCTTTTAAGTAGCTTCCCTGGAAGTCCCATGCAACACTTCTGCTTACCTATAGTTGGCCAAACTCAGCTGCAAAGGAGGGTAAAAGGGATGTCAAAAGAGTTCTTTTGCTAAGGAAAAAAAAAAAAATGGCTATTGTGTAGCAACTAGTGGTTTCTGCCACACCAATCTTTCCCCTTATAATCAATGCTATCATGTATCTCTTCTAGCTAAATCTTTTTACACATTCATGATTATTTCCTTATCATTTATGCTGAGGCAGTAAATTGTGCCAGGTCAAGGGTGAGAACACCTAAAATATTATCTATTTTTTTGCTATTGAAAAAGCAATGTATGCTTATTGAAAACAGTTCAAACATAGTAGACCTATAAACTTGAAAAATACATTTTGCCACTCTGAAATGTTGTGCCAATTCATGTTATTCAGTAGTGTACGAAGGTGTCAGTTATACTATATTCTTACCATTCCCTTTTGCTCTGTTGCCTTATTAACCAGTCTGATAAGTTAAAAAAATATTAATTTGTGTTTCTTTGAATACTCACTAGTTGTCTGTTGAGGTCCTTTCCCATTTTTCTATTGGGGTACGTTTTAAAAATAATTTATATGTATATATATACTTTTTTTTTTAATTCCTTTTTTTGAAAAGTCTCACTCTGTCGCCCAGGCTGGAATGCAGTGACGCAGTCTCAACTCACTGCAACCCCCACCTCCTAGGCTCAACCGATTCTCCTGCCTCAGCCTCCTGAGTAGCTGGGATAACAGACCTCAAGTGATCCATCCGCTCGGCCTCCCAAAGTGCTGGGATTACAGGTGTGAGCCCCTGCACCTGGCCTATATTTTATATTTACCTGATGACCGCCATATGTTCTAATTTTTTTTTTTTTTTTTTGAGACGGATTCTTGCTCAGTCACCCAGGCTAGAGTGCAATGGCACAATCTCAGCTCACTGCAAGCTCTGCCTCCTGGGTTCACGCCATTCTCCTGCCTCAGCCTCCCGAGTAGCTGGGACTACAGGTGTCCGCCACCACGCCTGGCTAATTCTTTTTGTATTTTTAGTAGAGATGGCGTTTCACCGTGTTAGCCAGGATGGTCTCAATCTCCTGACCTCGTGATCTGCCCATCTCGGCCTCCCAAAGTGCTGGGATTACAGGCGTGAGCCACTGCACCTGCCCTGTTCTAATATTTTTTCAAGTTCACACTTTCTTTTCTACAGTGTTTTTGTCATGCAAAAATTTTAAACTTTATGCACTCAAATCTGTCTTTTCCTTTCAAGGCTTTCCCTTTGGTGTAAATGCTAACACTTAAAAGAAAAATATATATATTTTTATTTTCTAGGTGAAAATTTAAAAGTTCTATGTTGCCTTTGGAATTAAAGTCTTAGTGTTGAGAGCCAGCCATAGTAAAACAGGCAGTTTGTTGAAGAAGTAATCTCCCTTCTTTTCTCATAACACAAAGCTTTGTGCTGATTATCTGAGGGGATAAAATCAGCATGTTTCAACAATAAAACAGGACAGGTGAGCATCATTTTCTGCAACAGGTTTCTGACAATTGGTATGGAAAGGAAGTATTTGTTTTTCTAGAATTCTATTTTCTTGTTATCCTTATTATCTTTTTATTATTTTATTTATTTTTCGTAGAGATGAGGTCTTGCTGTGTTGACCAGGCTAGTCTCAAACTCCTGGCCTCAAGCAATCCTCCTGCCTTGGCCTCCCAAAGCATTGAAACTACAGATGTGAGATGCTGCACAAAGCCTAGAATCCTGTTTTCCTTTAATTTACATTATGTCTAACTTTAGGGAGATTTTTCACAAACCAGACTCCAAAATATTTATTAATTCAAATCGAGCTTCCCTGTCTTTGTAGAGCAATGTGGAATCGTGAGACAAACATGAGTCTTGAGGTGAAACAACCTGAGCTAAACCCTACCAACATGTATTACTTATGGGACTTTAGGTCACCTACATGACCTGGATGGGCCTCAGTTTGTCTTGTTGATTTGCAGGATTAAAGGAAATAATAACCATGAAAGCACCTAGCACCATAATTAGCTCATGGAGATGGAGGCAACCAGCAGATGTTTCTCCAATCTGCCCAGAAACAAGAGTTTAAGTGTATGGTGTCTGATAGTTTCTTTTGTGCTAAGAATCCCTTTACAATGCAAATAATCACCCCCTATTTTTTCTGTTTGGTAGTTACATGTTCAAATATTAGGGTACTATATAGGACAGTGCCCCCTTGGCCATCTCTGCTCCTGCCCTTCAGCATGGAGGCCAGTGTTACACGTTCTAGAATACCCTCTCTCCACCCTCAAAATAAACTCCAAAACCTTTGATAGATTTTGTTTAAACTGAAATATTTCAGTTAATGTGAGGAGAAGGGGCATGGGGGAGCTTGGCTAATAGGTACTACCTACACAGCCATATAGCTACAAGTCCTGGAGCCAGCAAGCAGCCCCACATCGTTCGATTCCTTCTCTTGCTTTTTAAGAACCTAGAATTTGTTCAGCTGTCTTAGACTGTATAGCATCTTAAGATCCTTGCAGAGGGAAGGATGAGGAGTTTTCATTTATGCTTGTGCTGGACCTGGTGAAACTCAGGCCTGGAGAAAGAAAGAAAGGACTTGGGTAAAATAGTGCAGTCAGTGGTCGAGCTGAAACCAGGGTGGCTGCTCCAGGCTCCCCAGCCTGCCCTCCAAGTCCTTCAGAGCTGATGACCCGACATGGTTAGTCGCTCACAAGCTTGAGCATTAGAGGTCAAGATGATCATTAGTTGTGGCCTGGAGAAGAGCCATTTTATATCCAAGGGAATAATATGCCAGCTGAATAGGAACATTAGCGATTTTCATTTGCTATGTGCTAATTTGTCTTGCAAAAGGTGATCTGACTTCTTTAAGCCTCAAGCTGGCAGATTTCAGTCTGTGCTATTTCTGAGGTCTTGGCAGCAGAGCTCACTCTCCATCCCAGATCTCTGAGAACTCCAAAGAATCTGGTACAGGGTGTTCCTGTGAATTAAGATTTTGACAAGCATCAACAGAATCTGGGTGATACCGAGTGGAACAGGAACACGTGGTGAGTGGCTCAGGCCCCAACATCCCCTTCGGCTTTCAAGCAGATGGGCTGTTCAATAGCCGTGGGACTCAGGAAAACCTTTCACAGGGCTCTTACTGAAGAGATGAGCATGGAGGGAGCATGGAAGTGAGACCTGCTAGGAGCAGGCGACTCACCACGTGCCAGCCATGTTCCCTCAGCTGTGGAGGATATTGTTTATAAACATCAATTACCAATTATTCATCTGGGCCTGGCAGGTTCCATGAGTTTACAAGCCACATAACTTTAATAATTTCATCTCTGGAATTCACTGATCTAGCGCTTTTGTTTACTCTCCAGTAAGTTCATATAATGCACGTTTGTGTGTCAAGTGGGTAGGTTGTGGCACATGCTGGGAAACAGAGATTTGACCCCAAAATTTATCAACAAATTTAGAATGAACAAAAATTATTTTGGCATTGGCAAAATTTGCACTGGCTTCTTTATCTTTTTGGAATGCCCAAGGAGTTTAGTTTGTTGAGTTCATCTTGACTCTAAGCCCTCTGCTATGGTTGGAATGTTGGTGTCTCCTCAAAATTTGTAACTTGAAACCTAATTTCCAGTGTGATGGTACTAACAGGTAGGGCCCTTGGGGTGACAAGGTTATGAAAGTAGAGCCCTCAGGAATAGGATTAGTGCTCGTCCAAAAGAGGCCTCAGAGATGCCTTGCCCCTTCCACCATGGGAAGACACAGCAACAAGGTGTCATCTATGATACAAACCAGAAAGTGGCCCCCTCACGAAATCTGCTGGTACCTTGATCTTGGACTTCCCAGTGTCTAGACCTGTGAGAAATAAATTTCTGTTGTTTATAAGCCAACCAGTCTATGACATTTGATATAGCAGCCCAGATGGACTAAGACTCTCTGTCCCTAGCCCCTCTAGCTTTGGGATATGGAAAGTAAACAGCTCTTAGAAACAGTCCAGAGTTCAACTTCACGCTGCATTTCAGAGAGGGGTCTCTGAAACACTCTCCCCTCAGTTAACGTTGATGGTTGTTAACTGAGAACTGGAAGTCCCGGGCTGGGCCTGTGGATAGGATTCTGACAATTCAGGGTGTGTCTGATGAGTTAGTGGTGGCAATGTCTGGCCTGTGTCTCTCTGCAGGAGGTAATTTACATGAGGAAGTGAGCCTTGCTCCAAGAGGAAGTTGTGCACCCAGGAAGACATGCAGACAGGGGGCAACAGGAAAATACCATGTCGTATGCTTCAACTGTGAGCCCTCACAGCAGGTCCTTGGAATTCATCTGAGTCCCTTGGAGAGGGCTACAAGCCCAAGCTGAACAGTAGTTTTCATCAGGACTGTGGCCTGTGGCAGCGCAGGCAGTGCCCCAGGGCCTAGAAGACTCAGGGCAGCAGAGCTGGACAGAGGAGTGCCTCAGAGAGCTGCACTGTTGCAGCAGAGACTCCAGGGAACCTAGCCCTGCCTTGCTACCCAGAAGAGTAGCTCCCTAGGAATGTCTGTAGCCAACGCCCCAGGTGTGGCCACAGCATTCCCATGGAGGTTGCCAGGGCTAGGGATGAGTCCCAGTCCTCACTGGACTTTGTAGAGAGGTGACATCAACTAGGGGCCTGAGTAAAAGAGCATCAGAGGGCTGTTTGTGATGCAAGTAAGCCACCCCAGCGTCCCTCAGCAGTGACTGGATAGGACTTTCAGTGGAACAAGAGCCAGTGAATTTGGGGTCCTATTAATATCACTTGCAGAGTGCCTGCGGAAGCGGGGGCTATTTGGAATTCTCTTCCTTTCTCAACTCAGGGAAGAGCAACCAATAAATGTGGGGGACAGTGGCAATGGTAGCAGTCTCTGGCTTTGAGTCTCAGCCACTGTCATCTTTGGAATCCAATACCCTCAAGCTCTGCCCTTCCCTGCCCTTCCCTCCCCTTCCCGGGGCTCTTAAATTCTCTCCGAGTGTCACTAAAGTTTCCTGCCTGCCCTTCCAGGGCTGCTCTGTCTTTCTCACTGCAGTTCCCCTGCCTTCTACACTGTTTGATGTTGCTGTTAAGATTCCACCGTCTCCTTTTCCACTGGCACCAACTCCAATTTCTCACACTGATGTTGGTGCTTCTCTTATCATTGTAGATCTTGGTGCCCAACCCACCCTGCCAGGGTAGGGTGCCCTCTTCCCATCAGAGTTAAACTTTTCTTTGGTTCCTTAAAATATCTTTTGCTCCCTAATCTGCTTTCCGCCTTCCCACTTAAACAACTTAAGAACAAGTTACTGCCAAGGAGGGTTGCATGTGAACGGCTTTGCAAAGTGTGTCATGAAAAAGTTCTCTTTCCACTGACTATAAAAGAGGGTCCTCTCAAATTCCTCCAGCTATGGGACAATTTCCTAATGCATATCCCTCTGCTTGGTGTTCATTCTTCACATCCACTTAAACATTTCATTTCCTATCTTTAGCATCTCTCCTTCCAGACTGGAATTCCACGAAACAATCTGACACTCCCTTTCAGAAGACTTTCCTTATGAAATATCTGGCAGTTACTTCTGTTTGTTTAAACTTGAAAAAAAAAATCAATGATTTCAAATTGCAAATTCAGTTAAAATTTACTTTGCGATAATGTTGTAGGATAATACTGCCAGAGTTTGGAAGCAGAAAGCAAATGAAGCAGGAAAACAAGATAATCGAGAGGATGGTAGAACAGGATCTCTGATTAGTGAAGCACGATTACACGGAATAAATACAATATTGATTCTTGTGTAAAAATCACCCGCAGATGAGGGGAAAAAAGATGATGCTTTGTCATCTTTCCTTTTCCTTTCTAGTTTTCAGGCTATTTTCAAGTTCTCTTGTATTCATTTCATTTGGTTTTTGTTTTTAATACATTTCTGATTTAGAAGATTGATAGTTCTTTAAATGTCTTTCAACTCCTAGTATTTCCTTTTTAAAAACATGTTCCATCTGAACCCCGTAGTTCTATGTCAGGTTTATTCTTTGGCCATTCCTCACTTACTACATGATGTTATTGGTATTTGTGTCCATATCTTCACTCCCCTGCTCAGTTGTGAATTTACTGGGAGTAGACACATACTTGCATATGCTTTATCAACAGTGAATTCCCCAGTGGCATGAGTAGGTGGAATTCTTATTTTAAGAATATGATTTTTAAAACAGAGTTTTAAAATAATTTTATAATAAGAATTTTCACACAGACTGCATGGTTTGATGATTCTGAGATGGAGAATACAGGCTCATCTATATCTTCAATAATTTGTAGGAGGAAAAGATGGATATTTTATCCATGAAATGGTTTTCTTAGTTCATTATATTTGTTTACTGTTCCTGGAGGCATATGTAAGATTTAAAGACACGCACACACACACACACACACACACACACACACACACACCCTTGAAAGGGGTGGAGGGTCATCCCACTGTGCCCTTGTGGGAGGGGAACAGATGTGTCTCCAGTTCCAGCACTGAGTCAAAGGTTTGCAATTCCCAGAGGGCTGGGGATCATGGATCTCAGGGGATGAGCTTGGTGGCAGGGGTCTGCTGGTGCTTAGAGGCTGGAACCACTTTGGAGAAGGAAGGTTCGGCTGTGGCCTTCGTTGACCAGCGGGACCTTTCTGATGCACTTCCGGAAATAGGAGCACAAGGGGATGCAGAGATGGTCCCTATTTCCTTTCTGTATTTATTTTGGTATTAGATGAATTTGAATTTGTCTGAGGACCCTTCAACTTGGTTTTTAGCTTAGCCCTTTTGGACCCAAACAGTCTGTGAAAATTTTATTTTGTACATGACTTTACATAAAGAATTACGGGCATTTCATTGGCATTTCATGGAAGACCATTGCTGCAGAAGAGATACCTAACTTTTTTGAAGTTGCACATTTGTTTTGTCAATTCCTTAGACAGGGAGCATATAAAGCACAGGTCAGCTGCTCAGGGCCTGGAGCCAGACCAGTTTTGGAGTAGGGCCCTGTCACACACTAGCTGTGGGAGAGGCCAGTTTCCCATGAAGCTGATGACAATTAAACTCCAGGGTTTCTCCCTTCATAGGCTCCTTCCAAGGCTCTGGGAGGGACCCTAGCCCTGTGACCAATGCAGTCGGGGAATTGTGACTACTCTCTCTTTCTACTCTGACTTCTTCTTGGTCTCTCTCTGCCTTGTGTAGGGTGGCACTGGAATGCCCAAAGGCATTTTGAGGATCTGGCTAGGGAGCAGTTGAGTGGGGAATATGTGGCTCTAACTGCAATTCGGAAAGTCATTCTGAAATGTGTCAATAAAACAAGTGAAAACATTACAGCTTCTGATTTGAACATAGGTGAATGGTACATTTTAAATGGTCACCTTTAAACTTATTAAAGAACTGACAGAAAATTCATATAAAGATAGAAACATGAAATAGAAATGACGGAGGTGAGCAATAAAATCGCTAGACACCGAGGAGGCTTCGAACAAACACTTTTCAGATCATATCAAACTCACTCAATCATTAACAGAAAGGTAAATTTTATCCATTCATTTGCAGCCAGAGAAAATAGTGACTAAAAATGATGAAGACGCTCCTGGAGTTTTAATAATCCAGCTAGTGATGAGGAGTGAATCACATGAACACACTGGGAAAAAACAAATTTCTTGCTTATTTGACGCAAGACAAAGGTAACATGAAATTCATATTAAGTCATTATAATGAGGAGGTCTGTTCACAACAAACAGCTTAATGAATGTTGTCAACTCAGCAATATTGATTTAAGGTTCATCATTGACAGGTAAGCTTGAAATGCCCTGAAATCTTGCAGCTCAGATATGAAAGAAACTTGATAGAGCTTTCCCCAAATTTGACAACAACCCTAAGGATTTATCTACTGTCATCTGTAATGAGTCACGAAGCTGAAAATAATAAAGACAAAATTTGATCAATCACACTATGGGAAAGAAATTCTTATTCTGTTTTCTTTGTAGAAAAAGTACGCAGCCAACAAATGTAAGAAAAAATATGATAGATATATGTCAGGTAGATGATGAAAATCACTGTTATCACTGTCATTTTTCCAGATTTTATGATATTTGTAATACTTTTACATTTGTAATTTGTTGCAATTTCTTTCCCCACTGTAAATAATCACTTACATATCTAAATTTGTACTTGTAGTTTTATATTCTTTTCCTTAAAGCAGGCATCTTGAAATTGTATAAGTTTTAAGCCCCACAAAACCTGGTTCTGCCCTACAGCTACATGACCCTGAAGAAGTGATGTGCATGTTCTGAATGTCAGTTTCCTCATGGCAGACTGGGCTTGATACAGATCTCTGATTCTTAGTTAAGGGTTTTAAATGAGAGAACGAAGAAGAAGTGTTTAGCACAGAAGATGTGGGGGAACACTCCGTTAGAATCATCCATTTATTAACTCAGTAGGCATGGATTAAGCACCAAAACGTTCAGGCATTGCAGCTTCAGCAAAGAACACGATGGAGAAAGTTCCTGCCCTTGAGAAGCTTATGTTCTGGTTTATTCTAATTATTATGGTTGTTTAGCACTCTCACTTTAGGCTGTCTTTGGGCTCCTAAAAGTGCTGCTGGCTCCTTACCTTTTCAAATTGAATGAGTAAAATTAATTGGTTTTGAAAATTCTGTGCCACCTTTTGAATGTGTGGTCTTCCCTGTAATGTTGCAGAGACAGAGCTGGAAACGATGGCTCAATGTCCACTAGAGTCCTGCAGGAGAGTGAGGTTGGCATTCACAGTTTGTAATTTGGCATTCTGAGTGGTTGGTGGCACAGGTGGAGCAGCTCAGCATGGAGCTCATCACAGGTCCTTGAAAGGGGCCTGTTGAGTGGCCCTGGGAACTTCAGAATAGCAGAGTCCTTATGGAACCAGGACACAGAGATTACTCACTTCTCTATGGGTTACCTATCCTCATAGGTGCTGGAGTAACGCATCAGTTTGGAAATACCATTTTCTGCATGAGTAGCTTCTCAAAGCATAGCTTTCTTTCTTTCTTTCTTTCTTTTTTTTGAGACGGAGTCTCACTGTCACCCAGGCTGGAGTGCATTGGCGCGATCTCGGCTCACTGCAGGCTCTGCCCCCCGGGGTTCACGCCATTCTCCTGCCTCAGCCTCCTGAATAGCTGGGACTACAGGCGCCTGCCACCTCGCCAGTCTAATTTTTTGTATTTTTAGTAGAGACGGGGTTTCACTGTGTTAGCCAGGATGGTCTCGATCTCCTGACCTCGTGATCTGCCCGCCTCAGCCTCCCAAAGTGCTGGGATTACAGGCGTGAGCCACCGCGCCCGGCCAGCATAGCTTTCTTAAAGCTGGAGAGGAGTCAGGAAGGGAGAGTGCACACATGATTCTGAGGACCAGTGGGTTGGTTTTCCATTTAGACCCTCTGAGTCCAAGCATCTGCTGAAATTTATTTATAGGTTTACAGAAAGGGTCTTGGTTATGCTACAGCAGAAGCCCAGTGTGCTGGCTTTGGTCCAGTTTTGGAAAGCTGATATATTTGACTCTTTTTGTTTTATTTTAGGAGCATGCTGTACTGGTAGAATCAAATAAGGAAGGAGTGATTTGTGAGCACAATGCTATTTTTTAATTTTTAATTTTTTTGAGTGTGGGTAACTTGGTTGGAGGTCTGATAATCGCTTGGTCATTTAGAACAGCTACATTCAGTTATTAAAATCTCAGATCTAGAGAATCTATTTATTATCTTCTTGTGCTGTGAATCTGTTTTTGACATGTAAATAGATTGCAAGTTCTGGAATGACTTGTCCTGTAGAACTCCAGATATAGTCTGTGAGCCCTTTTAGGCCAGAGACCTCATCTGCTAAGTCCTAGGAATCAGCACAGTGCCTGGCACTTAGCAGGTGCTCAATAAATATTTATTGAATGAATGAATGAATAGAAGATGAGTGAATGAAGGAAGGATCATATAAGTTAACAGCGTTTCCAAGGTGAAGAAGGAGGCCTCTTCTTCCGAAATAAATTCATATGGTATTCATTTAAGGCATGCTAAAGAAGACTCAGTTAAATAAAGTTTACTTCAAAAATAAATGTTGTGCTTTGAGAATAAACCTTTTCCTATGTTGAGACAGAATAAAGTGATTTGCCACTCTAGAGGCATAACTCAAAATGGGAAACATGTAAATATGTGTCAAGGTAACTAAGCTGTTTGCTAGGAGTCAGCATAGACCCATGAGTTATCCCGCGGGATTTAAGTTAGAGAACCTGGGCTCCAAACCCAGCTCTGGCACACACTGGCTGAGTGGTCTTGACTAAGAAATGGAAGCTCTCTGAGTTTTCTCATCTATATAATGGGAATAATAATAATGACTTCTTCATAGAGTTGTTGGAAAGATTGAATAAGATAATGCTTGGCACAAAGTAAGTGCTCAGTAAGGATTTCTCCTCCCCACCTCCTTCCCTTCCTTTCCTTCCTGTTCCTCCTCTTTTCCCTCCTGCTAATTAATCTGGGAATTGGCGATTGCTCTTGCTCATTTCCACAGCTGATCTCCAGGAAGCAAATTAGAGTCTGGGAATGACTGGGGAACTTTCTGTAGGCCACTGTTCAGCTCAACCTGGCAGTAACATCTTTGCATGCCTTTGACTGTTCAGAAAGGAAATACATAAAGATTCTCATCTCGTGATTTTACAAGAGTCTGCTACTTACAATTTTGCTCATTTAATTAATGACTATCCCCTTCCTATACCCACTCTCACCGTAAGTTGAATTTCACCAGCATTTCAAGTCCTCTGGGATTGCTCTGTGCTCCTTTTACTTCTTGGCATGCAAACCACTTTTGTTTTCCTTTTAAGAGATTTAACTGGGCTGGGTGAGAAACTGACATCGAAGACAGTTTCCTATGGACTTGGGCCTTGAAGGTGACTGATGTTTTAAAAGCTATTAGTGATATAGAGAAGCCAAGCAAAACTCGCCCTTCAGGAGAGGTCCCCACGACTCTCTAAAGCACGCCTATCTTTTAACTCCTCCATGATAATTCAAGGTCGAGCTCATCCGTGGTGGTGGCTCGATTTTGCTCTTTTTGTACATTATTTATGTAATATGCGGGTTGTGAGGGAGTGTGGATGTGGATGATTCATAGGCAGGAGTGGTTAGAAACAGATTGCAGAAGCCCAGCTCCTCTTACTTGGGTGTCCCCCACCACCCCCAAGCTGCTTCATCTGCTGCCCCCTGCATGCCCTCCAGCGGCTACCGGGGCTAAATGCGGCCCTCAGGACTCCCCCAGGCAGCAACCCTGTGGAGCAGCAGGGCACATGGGCCCTTTAGAGGCCCTCCACCTGCAACAGATCCTGGGGACACACCCACCTCCCAAGATGTAACTCTCATAAAAAAAAAAAAACCTAAACCATAAAATAGCATAAGGGATTCTAAAAAAGTTATGATGACTACTTCAGTGCTTATTTTTTGAAATACCAAGTTTTTAAAAAAGTTTCTCATTTTTGTGTTGCTGCCCCTGCTTTTCTAGGATATGCCTGGCACCTGTGCTTAGCCTATTTATTGGGTAGCCCAGTGACCAGCAGGCAGGCTGCTTTCTTCTCATGGCTAAACTGTAGAGGAAGCTTTCTCAACTTTTTATAAGTTTCATCCCAATCAGGAGACCTGCCTTCAGGGGACACCCAAGACTCTCTGTTGTATTGGGGAAGAGCCCTGACTGTGGAGTTAAACAGGCTTGGTTAGGAGATGCATTAGTTCTGTGTATCGGTTATCTATTGTGAACATGATGCTGTGGAATAAAACTCACCAGCACCTCCATGGCATACACAGCATTTGTTATTCACACTTCAGGGGTGTCTAGGCAGCTCTGTTGATCTTGAGTGAGCTTCCTCACATATCTGGGGGTGATGGGGTGTCTGGACTCTGGGCTACATAGCTCATCCTCCAGCAGGCTAGCCTGAGCATGCTCTCAAGTGAATATAGGCCCAGCCACATAAATACTTTTTAAGCCTGTTTGCAGCACATTTGCTAACATCTCAGTGACCAAAGCAAGTCACATGGCCAAACCCAGAGTTGAAGTGGATGTACACATTACATGAGAAAGAGCTTGGAAACATGGAGGAGTGAAGAATTGGGGTCATTTTTGTAATCTATTATACTGTGTGGGCTTGGGAAAGTTAACTGAACTCTTTGAGCCCCACTTTTCCCTTCTCTTGGAAAAGGTCTCCTGATCTCTAGCCATCAAGTGTGTGTGAGGATCAAATAAGAGAATTTGATTAGACGGGTATGATTCATGGTTGTTTAAGCTTACAAAATTGCTGTGAAACTGATATTAACCACGTTTCCAGGCTAAGGGAAGTAAATGGATACCCCTTTGGTTGGTTTCTTCATTTGAAGATTAGATACTGTATTAGTCACGGTTCTCCAGGGAAACAGAATCAACAGGGTGTATATCTATATGAGAAATTTATTTTAAGAAATTGGCTCATGTGATTGGTGGGTCCAAAATCCCATGGGGCAGGCCAGCAGGCGACTATGGAAGAGTTGCAATTCAAGTTCAAAGGCAGAATTCCTGGCGGAATTCCTTTTTGCTCAGTAGAGGTCAATCTTCATTATTAATAGACCTTTAACTGATTGGATGAGGCCCACTCATATTATGGAGGGCAATCTGCTTTACTCAAAATTGACCTATTTAAATGTTAATTTCATCCAACACCCTCACACAAACATCCAGAATAATGTTTGATCAAATATCTGGGCACCGTGGCCCAGCCAAGTTGATGCACAAAATTAATCAACACAAGTACTATGGGCTCAGCTCTATAATTAATTATTAATTCAACAAATATTTATTGAGTGCCTACTTGTACCTGGCACTATGTTTATCCATCAGAGTATAGCAGTTAACGTGCTGTCAACCCTGCCTTCAAAGCACTTACATTCTAGTAAGAGATAATGAAGCAGCTAACAACAAAGCCTGCCAAATGCTGCGAGAGCTGCCATTTGTGGCGTGTACTTCCTGAATGAAGCTTCCTGCATACATCACCTCACTTAATGCCCACAAACGAACCATTAGGTAGGCATCGTCATCCCTGCTTTGCAAATGAGGTTTGGAGAGATTAAGTGAGCTCTCTGGAGGTCAAATAGCTCATAAGTGGCAGCGCCAGGACTGAGTTCACATCTGCCTGATGCCCAGGCCCGGGCTGTTGGTAGCTCCACTGTCACTCACACCCTTGTCTGTGGCCTCTCACAGACAGAAGAGCAGAGAAGCTAGAGGATTGTGGGAGCCTGAGGTCAACCTAGAGGTGGACCATCAGAAGCTGGGGATGGCATCTCTGCTGCTCCCTGTGAGAGACACGTGCCCTTCTGCCCCTGCTGGCCAGTTTGCTTTGCTACTTTGAGCCTCTGGGATGTGGGTGGCAAACAGGCCACCAACATTATTGTGGAGTCTGAAAGTCCATCTTGGTAAACAACCTCTCAGTATTCTCATCTTTGAAAGGGACAAATGAGTGTGTGTCTCTGTGTAGGTAGCGAGAGGGAGGATTTGAGTCCTTTCCAGGAAAGTCACCTCTTCATTCATTCTGCCCAGAGACATGCTCTGGGTGAGTGTGTGTAAAGACACACATATGTAATATTTTCAGACTTTATCATACTTCCAAGCAGCTCATGGGGGGGTGCAGATGGAACTGTATGCTAATGGGTGTGGGGGAAGCGTGCTACCCACATAAGGATTGCTCCTAAGTATGTTTAAAGCAACCTATCCGCTAAGGGGCTTCTCTCCTTAGCAGTTAGCTCTGGGAAGAACACGGCTATGCACACATTCGCCGTTGGCCTGGGGTATGCTGGCCAAAAAGCATGGCCTGGCCCACAGATGAGGAACCTGTGGAGGCGGGGGAGAAGGGGGCGCTTTATGTAAGTGGTTTTTAGACAGATGGAGGATTCATTTTAATTGCATAAAAGGCAGTCTTTCTTGAGTGGAGATGTAGGTCCTTTTGCAAACCTGTGCTAGACAAATCTTTGCTGCTGCTGCTTTTCTAAACACCCCTCTATTTCCATGAGAATTGCTCCTTAGTGTGTCGAGTTCTAACTGGGCCATTTGCCTGCTCAACCTTCCCCTCACTCAGGGTAAGTTCATCCCAGTCGTGATGCTGCCATCTGAAGAATTGTTTGAGTTGTTGGCCTTTTTTTTTTGTTTGTTTGTTTTGAGATGGAGCCTAGTTGTGTCACCCAGGCTGGAGTGCAGTGGCATGATCTCAGCTCACTGCAATCTCCGCCTCCCAGGTTGAAGCAATTCTCCTGCCTCAGCCTTCTGAGTAGCTGGGATTACAGGTGTCTGCTACCATGCCTGGCTAATTTTTGTATTTTTAGTAGAGACAGGTTTTCACCATGTTGGTCAGGTTGGTCTCAAACTCCTGGCCTCAAGGGATCTGCCCGCCTTGGGATTACAGGCAAGAGCCACTGCACCCAGCCAGCTTTTTCTCTTTTTTTTTTTTTTTTTTTTGAGACAAGGTCTCTCTCTGTCACCCAGGCTGGAGTGCATTGGTGCGATCATGGCTCACTGCAGCCTCGACCTCCCCCCTCAGCCTCCAGACTTGCTGAGACTACCATGCCTGGCTAATTTTTTTATTTTTTGTAGGGATGGGGTCTCGCTATGTTGCCCAGGCTGGTCTCAAACTCTTGGGCTCAAGTAATCCTTCCACTGTGACCTCCCAAATTGCTGAGATTATGGGCGTGAGCCACCTTGTTTGGCCTGCCATCTGAAGAGTTTTTTTTTTTTGAAACGGAGTCTGGCTGTTGCCCAGGCTGGAGTGCAGTGGCGCGATCTCGGCTCACTGCAGGCTCCGCCCCCCGGGGTTCACGCCATTCTCCTGCCTCAGCCTCCCGCCTAGCTGGAACTACAGGCGCCCACCACCTCGCCCGGCTAACTTTTTGTATTTTTAATAGAGACGGGGTTTCACCATGTTAGCCAGGATGGTCTTGATCTCCTGACCTCGTGATCCGCCCGCCTCGGCCTCCCAAAGTGCTGGGATTACAGGGGTGAGCCACCACGCCCGGCCAAGTTTTAAGCCAAGTTGTAACTGAACCGTGGTTTTGAGAAATGGATAGGTGGGTGTTTACAACACGGGACATTGGGAAGAGGGAACAAAACAGGTTCAGAGAAGTTGTTTTCAAGTTGTGCATGAATGGATGGTCCAACTTCAGGGAACCTATTGAGTTCTGAATCTTTGCCCCGTTAAAGTCCACAGTCCACCCTGTTAGAGTCCATTGGGAGAAGGCCCAAGTTCTCCCAGAGTAAACACCCTTGAGACAGGAGCCTGGTGTCCAGCATCTCCCTCTTCAGAGCTCATGCTGCAACCACCGTTAGTGGCCCATAGCTCAGGGACCTGGGTGGGCCAGGAGGCTGGCTTCCTAGATATGCGTTGGGCTGAATACGCTGAGTGTAACAAGAAAAACATCAGGTTGGATCACTGGTTTCTGTGCAGCTATAATCAAGGTGAAATTACTTATCCTGTTTATTTTATCAGTGACAAGTGAGTAAAACCTGATCTTCTCCAGCAGGAAGCTGGAGCTCCAGCAATGCAAGCTCATTGCTCTGCAGAATGAGCTTTTCCCAAGAAAGAACAAGAGTTTGCTGTGCAGTTCAGGGAGACCCTTTGACAAGGCTGTTCTGAACTGGTGGAAGGAAGTTCAGTTCAGGTATTGGTTCTTGTAAGGACCGTGCCAATTTTGTTAATCTCTGTATAGCTGGTGTTCTTTATTGAGAAGCACACAATCAATGTTTGTTAGCTAAATGAATGACTGTATTGAGACCAGCCAGAGTAGAGGCACCCTCGACCAAGAGAATCCTCACCCACTGTAAACCATATAGTACATGAAACCCAGCTCTCGTGTAGGTTGCTCAGGACAACTCTCTCAGGGAAAAAGAAGGGACGCAGGATCTTCTCAGACTTTGTCTCTCCACCCCGCAAGTCACAGACATCTGAAGAGCAGAGATTTCCTTCTCTGGCCTGTCCATCTTCACCCTTTACCACGTATCTCTCTTCCTTGGCACTTTTGTCTTCTCCCGTAAGTAGCATGTTTTATCATCTCTATGCCTTTGCATGTGTCATCACCCCTGCCTGGAATGCCTGCCCACTCATCTGGTGGAGTCTCACTCAGCCTACAGGCAAAGATCTCACGCTTCTGGACAGGCAGTCCTGTGTGGAGCTGGATCCTCAGCCTCAGGGGCCAGCCTGCCTGGATTTCCGTCTTGAGGCATTTAGGACTTACCATTTGGGACTGTGGCAAGTTGCCCAAGTCACCTAATAATTCCGGACCTTGATTTTTCATCTGGCAAATAGGAATTACAAGTAGGACCCAAATCAGAGGATTGTTCTAAGGGCTGAATTAGTGAATATGCACAAAGTACATGGAACAGAGCCTGGAACACAGCCCTTAGGACCCACCGGCCACCTCTACGTTGCAATTCCCTTCTCTTCTGCACCCCTGTCAGAGCTGTTTTCACCTTTGTCTCCCCGAACCACTTTGCTCTCATCTCTTTCCAACTCAGCACCTTGGCTGCTCCCCTCACTGATTCAACAACTGCCAGGGGTTTCCCCATTCTCACACAATTACATTCAAGCTCCTTAGCAGAATTCAAGGTGTTCCATTTTGCAGGCCAAATTTGACAACATATTTTCCCTGCTACTTCCCTACCCACAGCTGATGTCCCTGCCTGAATGCACTCTGTCTGTGCCCTCTTACCTCCTGGCTCTGTCCGGCTCTGGCCATTCCATGGCTCTGTCCTTCCCCCACCTCTGCCTGCTCAGGCTTCTGCCCCTGGGGGAGGGAAGCGCATGCAGCCTGGGTGGGCCTTCCTCCACAGGCAGGCTTCTAATACTCTCAGCTGAGTTCTGAAGGTCAGTCTCTGCACTCACATGCAGAAAGGTAGCACAGTCCTGGGATCACATTCCAAGGTACATTGTATGTTGCAGCAAAATGAAACCCATTAGCTTATAGAAGGTTAATGTTCCATTGCCACCCAAAGTGCCCTGATTTGCTTACCTCTTTGTGATGTTGGTTTTCTTACACTGAATTTGGTTTCTTCAGGGACCAACCTCAGTCATCTTGAGGAATTCTAATTTAGAAAATATGAAGGCAACTGTGAATGCTATAGAATGGGTCACTGCATCTTATTGTCCCTAAATACGCATAGCTTTAAAAAATCATCAGTTAATGTTTCCTATGTAGCAGAAAATGTGTATCACATAATGTTGGAGGAAAAAAGTCAGAACGCAAAATTGCATTTACAATATGACAATAACTATGTAGGAAGCATGTGGGTCAGGATAGAATAGCTATAGACTAAGAAAATAGCTTTATTTGTTGGAGAAATGGGATTATAGACAACTTTATTCTTCCTTTTACTATTGTTATGTTAATATCACTGCTATTATGTAAAATACAAACATCAATTATATTAGTAGTTATCATGTATGGTATCATATTAATAATATGATAAACACATACTCATTCTGAGTCCTTGATCTCTGCATTATCTCATTTAATCTTCCAGCATGACTGTGAGGTGGGGACGTTCACCTCTGGTTATGGATGAGAGAGTAGTCACCCAAAGTGTCACAACCACTAGGGGCCTTCCACAACACCAAGATTCCTCCCCTCTAAACCTATACTCAACCATTGCTGCTTGGTTATTAAAACAAAACCAGGCTGGGCGCAGTAGCTCACGCCTGTAATCCCAACACTTTGGGAGGCTGAGGCGGGTGAATCACCCGAGACCAGGAGTTCGAGACCAGCCTGGCCAACCAGGGGAAACCATGTCTCTATTAAAAATACAAAACCTAGCTGCACTTGGTGGTGTGCGCCTGTAATCCCAGCTACTCGGGAGACTGAAGTAGGAGAATCGCTTGAACCCGGGTGATGGAGGTTGCAGTGAGCCGAGATCGCGCCACTGCACTCCAGTCTGGGTGACAGAGCAAGACTCCATCTGAAAAAAAAAAAAATTTAAATAAACAAAACAAAACAGCTTTTCATGAACCAGCAATCTAAGCGTAAGAAAAAATAGAGACTACTGAGAAGGAAAAAACTTTAAAATAAAAAATAGCCCATAATGTTCACCCCCAAGACAAACCACTGTCAACCCTTTGGACATGTCTTCCAGAATGTTACATGTCTTCCAAGGCATTTTCTCTCACTTGCTTCCACTTTTTTTTTCGAGATGGAGCCTTGCTCTGTTGCCTAGGCTGGAGAGCAGTGGCACGATCTTGGCTCACTGCAACCTCTTTCTCCTGGGTTTGAGCGATTCTCCTGCCTCTGCCTCCTGAAGTAGCCGGGATTACAGACGTGTGCCATTATGCCTGGCTCATTTTTGTATTTTTAGTAGAGATGGGGTTTCACCATGTTGGCCAGGCTGGTCTTGAACTCCTGACCTTAAGTGATCCGCCCACCTCATCCTCCCAAAGTGCTGGGATTACAGGCGTGAGCCACCGCACCTGGCCACCTCCACTTATTCTTAAACCTTAATCTGGAGTCTAGAGCCTAGAAAAGTCATGAAATTACTGTTGGCTGGAAGAATTTTCTCTTGTGAAACCTGAGATAAGAATGACAGGAATTGGAGTTTTGAATGGAATGCACTGATCCCACTGACAGAATTAGGCGGGCTAAAGGGAAACCTTGTGCCCTAGCGGCTGTTCTAATTCTCACACTTCAATGGCTTTGGAGAGTCGACATATTCCAAGAACACTTGAAAATCTTCTTTAACTAAAAAATTGAGCTTTCAAACACCTTATGCATATCTGGAACAAAAAATAAAGACCATGTCATCACAAAAGCTCTATAAAATTATAAAACAATTCGGTACTCAAAGACTTATGGTTTTCCTGCAATGTCAGTGGTATCAGGAGATAATCCAGACATTCCTAATATTTTCATTTGGTTCAAATATTTAATGAAGTTCATTTAGAAAGAATGTCTTTATTAGTTTAGGAGTGATTGCAGTCTTCCTTGGGCATTGAGTTCTGTTATACAGACATAACTTTATGAAGGGTTTGTGTGATGTGAATGCAACTGAGCCGGTCGTGATTTATCCTTTATTCATTCATGTATTCATTTATTAATTCGTCCAGTAAATATGTGTTGAAAAACAATCATATGAATATCTTTCTAAGTGCATTTGTTATAAAATCATAGTCAAGGGCATTGCCTATTATGTATATCAATGTTCTATGTATAAAGTCCGTGTGAAAAATTTCTTTTAGAATTAAGTTCCATAAAAATGCTTTAGCTCACTTGAGTTACACCAAGCCCTCTCCTTTCTGATAATAGCCACTTATTCTTGTGTTTCCCATTTTGCCCCGACTGCCAGGAAACTCAGGGATACTCTTTATGCTCAATCATAAGCATCATTTTAAACTCATGGTTGGTTTATTTGTCTCTTTCTCCTTTTATGGCCCTGATTTTCTGCTTTACAACCTTAGTATGTATCTATTCCTTTGACAGCCTGCCTCAATTATTTCTGGAAAAAGTTCATGGGGAGGGGGGCAAAAATTCAAGGCACAGCCCTGGACATCCTCATCAAACACCTATCAGTTGAAACTAGATAGCGGGGGGCCAGGGAAGGTGCATAACATTTTGAATGTACTAAATGCCTCACGTTAAAATGGCTAATTTAAGTAAGGTTAATTTTGCTTCAACACAAATTTTTGAAAACAAAGCCTATCAGTGATCAACTGACTTTGATGATGATGACTGATATGATTTGGTTGTGTCCCCACCCAAATCTCATCTTGAAGTGTAGCTCCCATAATTCCCATGTGTTATGGGAGGGATCCGGTGGGAAACAACTGAATCATGGGGGTGGTTCCCCCATACTATTCTCATGGTAGTGAATAAGTGTCATGGGATCTGATGGTTTTATAAGGGGAAAGCTCTTTCGCTTGGCTCTTATTCTCTCTTGTCTGCCACCATGTGAGACGTGCCTTTCACCTTCTGCCATGATTGTGAGGCCTTCCCAGCCACATGGAACTATGAGTCCATTAAACCTCTTTTTCTTTATAAATTACTAATACAATGAGATAGTAACGACTAGACTCTAGTAGAAGACAGAGTGCTTTCTGTGATTGCCAATAGGAACAATGGGAAAGTCCTCCAGGGAACTGGCCTCACTGCTGTCTAAGGGCAATGATCAACATTGGCAAGGTTTACAAGGCAGTCACACAGCTGGGTTCAAGAACTCCCTTCCCCATCTCCAACCTCTCTTCAGTCATCTTAAAAAAGAAAACAACAAAAGCTTTATTATTTTTAATTACATAGGCAGAAATGTTCATTGTGGAAGAATCGGCAACATGATAATAATAATAAAGTCATAAAAATCACCCATAATAGCCAACTCGAGTCACTGTTGACATTTTGTGCTTGCCTTCTAGACTTCTGTATTGCTCTATCAAGATATGCATTCAGTCATCCATTTCTCTGTCTTTTCTAAAGGGTGGTCCCCAGAACACTGGTCTCAGGGTTAAGTAAGTTTAGAAATGAGGCACCCTAGCACCTCCTCTTGGAGATTCATGGTGTACACTGGCATATTAAAAGATTTGAGAAATTTAAGAGACAAGAAGCTCATTTCACTCTCATTAATCTAGAGTTTTTCCAACATACTTGAGCATTAAATTCTTATTTTTTCTTTTCTTTCCTCTTTTTTTTTTTTTTTGAGATAGGGTCCCTCTCTGTCACCCAGGCTGGAGTGCAGTGGTGTGATCATAGCTGACCACAGCCCTCGATCTCCTAGGACTAAGGATTCCTCTACACCTCAGCCTCCCAAGTAGCTGGGGCTACAAGTGCATGCCACCATGCCCAGATAATTTTTTAAATTTTTTGTAGAGATGGAGTCTTGCTATGTTGCCCCAGGTCTTGAACTCCTGGCCCCAAGTGATCTTCCCTCCTTGGCCTCCCAAAGTGTTGGGATTACAGTTGTGAGCCACTGTACCCAGCACCTTATTTTCTATAACTCAAGAAAGTAATGCAATGTTCCGTGAAAGCTGACTGAATTAAGTCCTAGGTCATATTTACTCTGCATAGCCATACTAGATTACTTGAATTGCTTCTACTGTGTAAATATCTATGTCAGTTACATTTTTCCTGAAATGTAATGACTGCATAGAATTCTATTGTGTTGGTGTTCCATGGCTTGTGAAACCAAAACCCTATTGCTGGGAGTCTGGATTTTTCCCATATTTGGGTCTCGTAGTGGGCATTGTTGCAGTGGAGGCATTGTCCACCTCCTAAAACATCTCATCATATGAAGCTTGGTTTTCCTGGGGAGTACCGTCTGCATAGATTCCCCATGAGTGGTTTTTGTTTATTTGTTTTTGTTTTCCTTTTTCCCCCTCTAGTTTAAGGGGCCTGTTAGGAACACTATGAAAAGAGAGGAAAGGCAAACATTTCGTAAGATTAGAAGGGAAGAAAGGAGGGATAGGCTGGGTGCAGTGGCTCATGCCTATCATCTGTGGGAACAGAGACCCTTCCAGGAGGCCAACCCCCAACTTTAGGTCACAGTGAGCCTTCCACTCATCATAAGGTAAGTTACTCAGAACAGGAAAAAATAACACTTGGAAGCAATAAATATAAATGAATTCAATGAAAAACAGTTTGGCCAATGATATTATCTGGGAGTTAGAGAAATATTTCTGCTTTCCCCTCTGGTAGCTGAGAGAGCAAATAGCCCTAATAGAGACCAGCAAATAACAGCAATAAAAACTAAAGCCAGTTTGCAAGACTGAAGAGAGATGTCAGCTCCAAGAAGGGAAAGAGAAAGAACTGGAAGTGGAGCAAAGCAAAGAAATGTAGGCTTAAGCCTATGAGGCACAGGTGGGATTTTTACATTAAGCACATGAGAGACTACAGGGGAAAAGCAGACCAGCTTTATTTTTTTATGACAGGATCAATAGAATCTAATCAAGTTTTGAATGCAATCAGGGTAAGATGAGAAATACCAAGTAGGTCCTCGTAGGCAGTAACTAGAACATAATGGTGTCCGGAAGGGATTCCCAGAGTGATGTTCCACATTTCCCTCCAAGCCTGGCTGGGGAGGGAGACTCTGAAATTAAGGAGGGGTGATGTGGTGGTTTCAGATTCGTGTCCCCAGAGTTTTAATGCCCTGTTTTGTGATGATTTTTTCTTCTCTGTAGCACTCCCTTGGGACTAGGCTTTTGGCTAAAAAAGGAAATGAAAGAGAGATGTCCTTCTGGAGGAAGTAGTGAAGAATGTCACAGGCCACTTCTGGGAGGCAAGGGATCAGAAAAGAGGTGCTCCACTGGGAGGTTATGAGGACTGGGGGCTCTAAAGGGGTGGGGGTTAAACTCATTTATAATTGCCATGCACACACTGCCCAAGTCACCCCATGTACAAATAATCCAAGCAAAAACAGACTGCTTGTCATGCAAATACAGCTTCAAGGTACCCAAACAGACATGCCGGTACAATCTCTGTAGCCTTTAAACAGGTGCCCCTCTTTTTTTTTCCTTTAGAGATGGAGTCTTGCTCTGTTGCCCAGGCTAAAGCAAAGGGGGTACGACCATATCTCACTGCAGCCTCAAGCTCCTGGGCTCAAGTGATCCTCCTAATTCAGCCTCCCAAGTAGCTGGGACTACAGGTGTGGGTGTGTACTACCACTCCCAGCTAATTAAAAACAGCTTTTTTTTTTTTTTTTTTTTTTTTTTTTTTTTTAGTGATAGGGTCTTGCTATACTGCCCAGGCTAGTCTCAAACCCCTGGCCTCAAGAAATCCTTTGGCCTTGGCCTCCGAATGTGCTGGGATTATAGGTGTGAGCCACCTCACCTGGCCCTGGGCGCCCCTCTTAAGAATTCCCATGTAGGGATTCTGGAGCCACAGCTGGAAGGTGGTTATGATTTGAGTTCATTGATTGTACAAGGAACACAAGAAAACGTGCAATACCACTTATAGACACTGGTGATGTGCCTGATTTGGTGCCAGATCCTGGAGAGACCATGTGGGTTGGAAGCCAATCCTTGCCCTTGGGGAACCCACTCAGAGTCTAAGTGGGTGACATAGACATAGTCAATAATGCAACACAGTCAAATCAGCTGCGAAGGGAGGCTGGGGCCATGAGAGTCAGAGGAGGCTGTTACTAACTTTGACTGGAGCATGGGTCAGGGAAAGGAAGCAGAGATAACGAGTGATTATGATTTCTACATTGATTTCAACCTGATGTTGGTCTCAGGCCACACAACTCCCTGAGGGAGGTATTGTGACTTCAGGCATATAGTAATTGCTCAAGAAACTTCTGTGAATGTTTGGGTGAATGAATAAATGAATGTCTCCAGTGAAGAAACTGGGACTCAGAGAAGAAATAACTTGCTTGAGGTCATGGGACTCAGAGACAGCAAAGCTAAACTTTAGAACTAAGAGCCTTACTCTCTTTCTATCACATGCAGCATTTGCTGGATGGTGGAGTGGGAAGAGCTAGAAAGAGACAGCTAAGAGGACAATGTAATAGAAACCAACAAAGAAGAGAGAATCAGATGTCTATTTCCTTCTCATATGGGCAAATTCATATTAGACAGTGAGCACACAGATAATTTCTAATAATATCAGTCTTTAAAAACAAAACTAAAAAAACTATGGTACTCTCTCTTCACTCTCCAGTATCTAAACGGGTAGTTCTGGTGCTATAATCTAAATTAGCTCCTTAAAAATATTCTCTTTTCAGCCCACCTTGTTTGGATATTTGATTTAGAAACAACTAATGAAGTCCATTTGCCATATGGGTAAGTGAACTTTTTTTTAAAGTAGGTGTTTTACATCCCTGTAACTCTAGAAGCTGTTGTCATAGTAACATTTTCCTCTTCGAGTTGCAGAATGAACAGTCCATGGAACCAATGACAATGTAGGTCACGAGTGAAAAGGGGTCTGGTGGCATTGCTTCAGTGCCCAGTTTGGCATAGCTGGGATTATTAATACTGCAGGCTCCAGAGGGGCTCACACTCCTTGGTTAGAATGTTCTGTTCTAGGACTGAGTCCAAAGAGGAGATGTGTGGGCAGGGGAGGGGAGAAGGGGGAAAGCAGAAGGTAAGAAAACGGTGAGGGGAGGCTGGCAGGAGCTGTCCTGCATGGAGATTCAGAATGGTCTGTCCCCGCTTGTGGCTGTGGGGAGGTAGGTGTGGAGTGCTGGAGCTCAACGTTGTTCCTGATGCATAATGGGAATTGGCACCCCCTGCAGTCCAGAATCCATTTGGAGTTGATTTGGGAAGGCCCACATCAATTATCAATATAAAAGTTTTGACTACTGGACATGTCACCATTATATACAGCCTGGAAATGTGTTTTAAAATTTTCATTCATTCATTCATGTAGCACACATTTACCAGCTCCTCCTCTGCACCAGGTGCTGAGCTGGCCATGGCTGGCTTCCTTGGGTGCAACCCATGGGCATGCACATCCCCTGTGCTCAGAAGGACCTTGCTCTTGGTTTAATGCTCTGCTGTTGCGATCTTGTACTTGTTCTTGAATCAGGAGCCCCACATTTTCATGTTGTACTGGGTCTTGCATTAAAGGCACAATGTTCAGCAAAGCCAGACCCAATCCCCGCTTTCCTGAATCTTATGGTGCAGTGGGAGAGACAGACAGAAACCCAAGCATGATGCAAATAAATGGAGAATTACAACTGTGATCTGTACCATAAGGAGAGGTAGAGGTATGTAATGCCAGGAGAGAAGATAGGCCATCATTTTACAGCTCTATGGCTTGACCTGACTATATTCAGAATAGTGGAGGTGGAGCGAAATCATAGTAAAAGGGATTTAAATTATTGTGGGCGTTCGTTATCAAAAGTTAGTACCACGGGAGACTAACGAGATTTCTGAGAGAGAATGGCAAAATTTCCCCCTCAAGGTTGTAAAGAATGGGATATCCACCTGTCAAGGAAAGTGCTTTGGTGCAAATCTTTCTCTCTCTCCCTTCCTTCCTCCCTCTGAGTTTTTTTTTTTTTTTAACTTTGATAACTGCAGACTTACAGAAAAGTTGAGAGAATATTCCCACATACCCTTTATCCAGATTTCTCAGATGTAACATTTTACCATGTTATCCTATGTGTATCTGTGTATCTATCTACCTACCTACCTACCGTTTGATCTTAATTGCAGACATGATATAATGCCCCTTTACTGCTGCTATGAACTGAACATTTGTGCCCCTCCCCCACCCATTCCTATGTTGAAATCCTAACCCTGAATGTGATTTAATAAGATGTGGATCTTTATGGGCAAAGATTTCATGATGAAAATGCCAAAAGCAATTGTGACAAAAGCAAAAATTGACAAATGGGATCTAATTAAAGTAAAGAGCTTCTGCACAGCAAAATAAACTATCATCAGAGTGAACAGACAACCTACAGAATGGGAGAAAATTTCCGTAGTCTGTCCATCTAACAAAGGTCTAATATCCAGAGCCTCCACGGAACTTAAATTCACAAGAAAAATTTACAGGAAAAGTTGTACAAGAAAATTTACAAGAGAAAAAAACAACCCCATTAAAAAGCAGGCAACGGACATCAACGGATACTTCTCAGAAGACATTTATGTGGCCAAAAAACATCAAAAAAAGCTCAACATCAGTGATCATTAGAGATATGCAAATCAAAACCACAATGAGATACAATCTCATGCCAGTCAGAATGCCTATTACTAAAAAATGAAAAAACAACAGATGCTGGTGAGGTTGCGGAGGAAAAAACAAAACAAAACAAAACAAAACAAAAAAATGCTTTTACACTGTTGGTGGGAGTGTAAATTAGTTCAACCACTGTGGAAGACAGTGTGGCAATTCCTCAAAGACCTAGAGGGAGAGATACCATTTGATCCAGCAATCTCATTACTGGGTATGTACCCAAAGGAATGTAAATCATTCTATTATAAAGATTATGTTCATTGCAGCACTGTTCACAATAGCAAAAACATGGAATCAACCTAAATGCCCATCAGTCATAGACTGGATTAAGAAAATGTGGTACATATACACCATGGAATACCACGCAGTCATAAAGATGAACAAGATCATGTCCTTTGCAGCGGCATGGATGGAGCTGGAATCCCTTATCCTCAGCAAACTAATGCAGGAACAGAAAACCAAACACCACATGTTCTTGCTTATAAGTGGGAGCTGAACAATGAGAATGCATGGATGCATGTTGGGGGAACCACACACACTGAGGGCCTTCGGGAGTGGGGGTGGGAGAGGGGAGAGTATCAGGAAGAATAGCTAATGGATGCCTGGCTTAATACCGAGGTGATGGGATGATCTGTGCAGAAAACCACCATGGCACACATTTACCTATGTAACAAATCTGCACATCCTGCACATGTAACCCTTGTATTAGTCCGTTTTCATACTGCTATGAAGAAATACTGAGACTGGGTAATTCATAAAGAAAAAGAGGTTTAATGGACTCACAGTTCCACAGTGCTGGAGAGGCCTCACAATCATGTCGCAAGGTGAAGGAGGAGCAAACGCATGTTGCACATGGAGGCAGGCAAGAGCCTGTATGCAGGGGAGCTGCCTTTTATAAAACCATCAGATCTCATGAGACTTATTCACTATCATGAGAACGGCATAGGAAAAACCCACTTCCACGATTCAATTACCTCCCACTGGGTCCCTCCCACAACACGTGGGGATTATGGGAGCCACAATTCAAGGTGAGATTGGGTAGGGACACAACCAAACCATATTATCCCTGAACTTAAAATAAAAGTTGAAGAAAAAAAAAAAGAAGTGTAGCCTTTAGGAGTAATTAGGTCACGTGGGTGGGGCCCTCATGAATGGAATTAGTGCCCTTATAAAAAGACATGGGAGAACTTGCTTCCTCTTTGTTAGCAGTCACATGAGGATACAAGGAGAAGACGGCCCTCTGTGAACCAGGAAGAGGGCCCTAACCAGACCCAACCATGCTGGCATCCTGACCTTGGACTTTCAGGCTCCAGAACTGTGAGAAATAAATTTCTATTGTTTAATCCAGTCTACGATATTTTTGTTATAGCAGCCCAAACTGACTAAGACAGCTATTAAATACTTAAGAGTCTATTTCCCAAAAACAAGATCATTGTCTTACATAACCATAGTAGAGTCATCAAAATCAGAAAATTAACATTTATATATTATTGTCTAATCTACAAATCTTATTCAGATTTTCCTCATTATTTCACTAATTTCTTTATAGCAAAAAGAAAATCTTGTATCACATGTTGCATTCACTTGTTTTGTCTATTTAATGTCCTTTAATTTGGAACAGTCCTTAGCCTTTCTTTGTTTTCCATGACGTTGATATTTTTGAAGCATCCAGGCCAGTTTTTGTTTTTTAAATCAGGTGTATTGAGGTATAATCCACATTCAGTAAAATTCATCTTATTTAGATGTACAGTTGTCTGGCCAGTTATGTTATAGAATGGCCCCACTTTGACTATCTGCTGTTTCCACATGATTAGAGTCAGTCTGCGATTCTTTAGTATAAATATACAGGAGGAATGTTGCATTTTTCTCAGTGCATCATAGCAGGAAATACACACTATTTAATTGTTCCCTTACCATTGATATTAACTTTCATCTTTTTTTTCCCATTGTAATGTTTCTCTTTTATTCCTTTGTAATTTATATGCATCCTATGGGGAGATGCTTGGAGACTGTGTAAATATTCTTTTAGTCCTCAACCTTTTCACCCCCTAGTGTTTTTATCCATTGTGATTCTTGCCTGAAAATTATAGATCTGGTGATTGCCCAGTGGTGATTTTCTGTCATTCCTTTTACATTCATTGTCTATCTTTCTACTGCAAGAAAGACAACTTCTCCTCTAATTAATTAACTAATTAATTGAGTATATAGGCTTATTCATTCCTATTTTACTCTATAGGCTATACTATTTTAGTATCATTATTTATTTTGATGTTAAAATTGTCTCAGATTTGGCCCCTTTAAACCTGCCTCAAATTTGACATGTCCCCATCATTCTGTGAGCCTTTTCTTATTTTCTGGCACAGCAAGATGTTCCAAGTTCATCTTGTACTTTCTGTGCCCCAGCCCTGGACTCAGCCATTTCTCCCAAGGAGGGTGCAATTTTCTGAAGGTGCATATGTTGCCTGAAGTCATCTCAATCTTGAGATTCTTTCCAAATTCGTGGAGTAGAACCAGAAATTGGAAGCTTCCGATGTAAAATTTTATTCAGGATACTTATCAGGTTCTTTTTTTCTCCTTCAGTTGAATTTGAAGCAACATATCAAAATAATTTATACAGTAAAATTTATAAAATAAAGGTTTTCAAAGAGAAAAAAATGGTGACTAAGTGGAGGAAAACAGACATGCCAGCCACAAAAGTTGCCAGCTTGCCCAGAAAAACTTGGCATTCAACATTCTGGCAGCAAAATTAAAGGATGGACTGTGTGGGGAGAAGATGCTCAACAGATCACCTTCAGGGACTCTGACCTGCTGGCAAAGGCAGGCAAGCAGCAAGGAGCTGGGCTTGCACGGCATTGTGGGAATAAAAAGCCTTTCCAGGATGGCCTTCCTACTAGCCGCAAGGGCTGAGCTGCAGAGAGGAAGCAGCGGGGCCAGGATTTTTTTCTTGAAAGCACTTTGGTGTGTTTTCTAGCTTGTGAAACAGCATTCACCTGGGACCCCACAGTTAGAAGGGAATTACCATTTAAGTGCCACATAATTATTCCTGCATGCATGCACTCACTGTCTCACTCAGTAATCTTTGTGGAACACTTTCTAGAAGTGCAGCTACCAGGCCCAGTGGAGGCAAGACCACTAGGATCCAGACTTGGCCACCAGTCCAGCAGCCAAGGAAGCAGGGCTGTGCATGATGTCACACCGGATTAAACACTCAACGTGCTTTGAGACGTGCTATAGGAATTGGGAGACAACTGTGAACCATCTCTTCTACCCAGAGGAATGTTTCATGAAAGGGCTACTGTTTTATAAAAACATGTAAGTTCACATCACAAAAGGGCATCTAAGGGAATTCTGGCCAATGGCCCCTGGAGATGCTTGACTTTCTTCTACTACTGGGCCTCGTGGTGAAGCAGGGGTCAAGTAAAATATGCAAATGAAGGGAGTGCCATATGTGAATAGGCATTCCATAGTTCCTTCATTTATTTGGTGAATATTTATCGAGGCCCCATTGTGTACTTGGCTCTGTGGGAGATCTTGGGTGAGCAAAAATGCCCTCAGTTTCTGCCCTTTGAGCACTTGAAATATAATGGCAAAGACAGATATCAGTCAGATTTATTTTAAAAGTGCGTTATAGACCAGGCATGGTGGCTCACTCCTGTAATCCCAGCATTTTGGGAGGCCAAGGCAGGTGGATCACCTGAGGTCAGGAGTTCGAGACCAGCCTGACCAACATGGTGAAACCCCGTCTCTACGAAAAATACGAAATTAGCCAGGTGTGATGGTGCATACCTGTAATCCCAGCTACTTGGGAGGCTGAGACAGGAGAATCGCTTGAACCCGGGAGGTGGAGGTTGCAGTGAGCCAAGATCCTGGCATTGCACTCCAGCCTGGGCAACAAGAGTAAAACTCTGCCTCCAAAAAAAAAAAAAACCCAGAAAAAAAGGTGTGTTATTGGCCAGGTATGGTGGCTTATGCCTGTAATCCCAGCAGTTTGGGAGGCCAAGGCAGGCAGACCACCTGAGGTCAGGAGTTTGAGACCAGCCTGGCCAATATGGCAAAACTCTGTCTCTACTAAAAATACAAAAAATTAGCTGGGCGTGTTGGTGCACACTTGTAATTCCAGCTACTCGGAGGCAGAGGCACGAGAATTGCTTGAACCCAAGAGGCAGAGGTTGTAGTGAGTTGAGATGGCACCATTTCACTCCAGCCTGGGTGACAGAGCAAAACTCCATCTAAAAAAACTTTTTTAAAAAGTGTGTTATAAGAACTACTCTATATGCTTTCATGAAAGATACTCAGCACTTCCAGGGCAGGATGTTAGGGATGCCTGCCTTGGGAAAATGACAATGAAGCTGAGAACAGAAGGAAGAGTCAGGGTCACTAGATGGGGCAGGATAGACAGAGGGAACAGGGAGTGCAATGCTTTGGAGGAGTCAGGGTACATCCAAAGAGAGACAGGCCCATGTGGTTAAAGAGCAGAAATCAGGGGGAGCATGAAGAAATATGATGAGGCTGGCGAGGTGGGAAGGTCCATGGTGAGGGCTCCTCCAGAGGCACATGGTGGAGAGGTGGTGAGATGAGGGATTGCTGAGCAGATTGTATCAGAAAGCAGGGGATAGAAGTGTGAGCCTAGAGCAATAACTCTAAGAGATAGAGGAGGGATAGGAGATGAAATTATGAAATGATAGGAATGCTGTTGTATTAGTCCATTCTCACACTGCTATAAAGAACTACCAGAGACTGGGTAATTTATAATGAAAAGAGGTTTAATTGGCTCATGGTTCTATGGGCTGTACAGGCTTCTGCTTCTGGGAGGGCCTCAGGAAACTTACAATCATGGTGGAAGGCAAAGGGGAAGGAAGCACATCTTCTCATGGCCAGAAGGAGACAGAGAGAGAGAAGGGAGAAGTGCTACACACTTTTAAACAAACAGCACTAGGGGCATGGTGCTAAACCATTAGAAACTGCCCGCATGATTCAATCACCTCCTGCAGGCTCCTCCTCCAACACTGAGGATTATGATTTGACGTGAGATTTAGGTAGGGACGTGAGATTTAGGTAGGGACACACAGCCAAACCATATCAGGTGGTAACAACAATGAAAAATAGCATCTCCCATTTGTTGAGTGCCCCATTTGACTGAGACCTTACTGATAGAAGACAGGTCAAAGGAGAGACAGGGTGAGGGTTAGGATCTATTCAAACAGCATCAAAAATAACTTAGGGCTTAACAATTCAATTTCTTACTATCTACACTATAGAATCACTTTCATTCATGAGGCAATCCATCCAAAGATGTTCATTGCAGCAATAATTGTAGTCTAAAAATTGGGAACAACATCAATGCCCATCATTATGAGAATTTGTAAATAATCGATGTCACACCCTTTCCATGACACATGTGTGGCAATGGAAGAACAGAATTCTTTCATTGCTCTGTGTGCTGACATGGAAGCTCTCCAAGACATATGGCTAGGCAGAAAACACGAGGCAGGATAATACGTCAGGATGATATCATTGCTGTAAATGGAAAAAAAAGCAGTCCTCAAAAAAATACTATCCCTCACCCCTTGTGAGTACATATATGACACTTAAATGCCCAGAGAAATGTGTAGAAGGCTTCAGAGCAAACTGAAAGCAGTGGTTACCTGGGGAGAGGAAAGAGTCCTGGGGTTAAGATGGTGTCAAGGGGGATTCAGCTTTATCTGTAATGTCTTACTTAGATTACGGAAACTTCCAAACGTACAAAAATAGGACACTGTAATAAACCCCCAAGTACTGTCACCCACACACTCCCTCCTCCTGGATTATTTTTAAGTACATCCCAGACATTGTATTCCATTCATAAATATTTCAGTAAGTCTCACTAACAGATAAGGAAACTTTAAGAAAAACATTATCACAATACCATGATAACAACTAAAAGTATTTAAAATTCCTTAGGATTTCAAACACCCAATCAGTGTTCATATTTCTCTGTCTTAAAATTTCATTTTATTTCTTCAAATCTGGACTCAAATAAGGTCCATGCATTGTAATTGATTGATATGTCTCTTATGTCTTTTGTGCATTTTTGCCTGTGTATCTCTGTTGGGTTGAAGGACTTTGAGTGACTTTGTTGGGTCGAAGGATAAGGGCATGTGTAATTTTGCTAGATGCTATCAAATTTCCCTCCACAGGGTTGTAGTATTCCTCATTCCCATTGGCAGTGGGCGAGAGTGCCCATTTCCCCACAGCTTCACCAACAGACTATGTTGTCAAATTTTTGGATTTTTGCCTATCTGACGGATGAGAAGGGGTATCTCATTTTCATATCTTTAAATTAAATTTCAAAAGAAAATAGACTCAGGAAGAATTCTGAGTCTGTAGAGGAAAAGAACAATTTGCATAGAAATAATAATATTACCAATTACCATCTGGCACGTATATTATCAAGGAATGTAGTGTCATATCACCTTTTTAAAATTTTTTTTTTTTATTTTTTGAGACACGGTCTCATTCTGTCACCCAGGCTGGAGTGAAGTGGTGCTATCACGGCTCACTGTAGTCTCGACCTCCTGGGCTCCGGTGATCCTTCTACCTCAGCCTCCCAAGTATCTGGGACCACAGGCATGCACCACCATGCCTGGCTCATTTTTGTGTTTTTGGAGAGATGAGGTTTCACCATGTTGCCCAGGCTGGTGTTGAGCTCCTAGGCCGTGAGTATCTCCTAGATCCCTTCCTTCTTTCCTACTTGGAGCCAATTTCTTGAACTCCTGGCAATGTCGATCATCTGTCTTAGTAGTTTGCAGGGCAAAGGGAGGGACATCCCAGGACTTTCCTTGCAGGAGGGCTTGGGCCAAGGAGCATGGGCTGGATTTTGCCTGAATGCATGGTGAAATTCACCTGCATACAGAGCTAGTGCCCTATTTTTATAATGTTAGAAAAACATCGTTTTCCTTCCTTTTGTTTTCTTTGAGAAAGATATGAAAATACAATAAGAATGGACTTTAGAAAAAAGGAACCAACTGAGAAACACAAACCTGTCAAACCCAGACTTCTAAATGAACGTCCTTCTGTCAAACACCTTTTGATTACTGAGATATTGCTTTGCACATTTTATTATCCACAAAAAAAGATCTGGTTTTAGCCTTGCAACATTACTCTAAGGAGTGTGACAACTGTCATTCTGGCCATTCTTCAGAGGAGGACACTGAGTCATGGGCCATTTCAGAGGCTCTCCGAGGCCCCATGCCTCCCAAGGAAGAGGTCCAGACCAAGACTGCAGCTGGTCCAGTCCCTTTAGGGAAGGTTAGTCAGGATCCTCTATAAGATGGACTTGGTCAAACTTGAATATCAGAGAAAAAAAGCCTGTTACTTGCTTTCCTTAGCACCTTGAGAGCAGGAACTCCATGTTTTTTCATCTCTGTCTTCTTCGCTTCTCAGCCCTGGGCTGGCTACTCGGGATCTCATAGGGATTAATGCACAGGGCTGGCCCTCAAGGTGCTGAGGAAGGGGGAGAGGGAGTCATGTGACTGAACTCCCTCCTGTCAACTTGTTTGTGTGCACATGCATGCCCAGGCTGCACAATGCAAGCATGTTTGGCCGGGCCTCAGAGAAGGTGGGTGTGAGCTCTGGCATCATCACTGGATAGCTGTGTGGTGTGGAACAGGTCACTTTCTCCCCTTAAGTCTCAGTCATCTCCTCTGAAAAATGGGGCCAATGATCCTGTCATGGGATGCTGTGATGATTACATGACATGAGTGTAGAAGGGCCTGATGACATGGTCAGTGCAGTGCCTGGCATGCAGTAGATGCCCAGGACACATGGATTGACTCTGATCCAGTAAACTCCGTGGAGTGCTAGGAGCTGAAATTATCACCGAGCAATCAATGGGCTTACTGCCTGATGTGCATGGAAGCCAATACCATGGCACCAGCTTTTGAGAAAAGAAAAGCTTTATTGTAGTTGACTGGCAAGAAGACAGGAGAAAACACTCAAATCTCTATCCCCAAGCTGGGGTTTGGGTCAGGTTTTATAAGAACAGGGTAATGAGGTGTGATCAGATTGGATCTTGCAATGAGGTGATGCCAGGGTGCATAATCTGATTGGATCCTGCCATGGGATGATGCCAGAGCTCGATCTGATTGGATCCTGGATCCTGCTGTGCAGTGTCCACTTCTTAATTTAGTCCCTCCTCCTCAGTCCAAGCCCTTAGGTTCCCCCTGTGGGTTGCACACTTGGTTCACCTGGTAATGCTCAGATTATGTGACTTTTAACCTGGGGGTCCATGGCCACTGAAAAACAACTCACCATTTGTTACATAAAAGTTGAACCAGATTGGTGTGATGTGGTTACAAAGGGACCTTGGAGGTCAGTATTCATTCTTCTCATCATCTGTGGGAGAAGCTGGTGGGGAGGAGGGACTTGCTTCGATTTGGGGCAGGGCTGGCCCTGGAACCTAGCCTTTGGACCCCCAGTTAGGCCCTCCCTGCCACACCGGACCAGGTCAGCACTCAGCCCCACAAACACACCTGGGCTTCTGTACTTGTACGTTCTCAGTTCGCTCCCATTTCCTTTCCACGAGTGCCCAGCCCCCTACACATAACCCCTTTTGAAAACAGAACAAGTAACTGCTTCTGTGCCTTTGTCTTTGAAATATGTTTTGAATCGATTGCTTTTCTTTACTAGGTGGGTTTTTGGTGTTTTGTCTACCTCCTACTTCCCATCAATCATAAATGCCTGCGAAAATTCAGCACAGGGTTGTAAAGAGAGAGAGGTCAGTTGGTAGCAAATCCTCAATCCCTCCACGTACTTCTTCCCCTACAAGAACTTAACAACAACAACAACAACAACCATCCTCCCTCCCTCAATCTAAAAGCCTGGCCTCTTCCCTTTCCAAGGGCTCTGGGAGAAAGAGCTGGAGAATTACTCTGGGCTTTGGCAAGACTTCAGAATTTTTTTTCTTTTTTCCAGTAGAAGCTCAATAATTCCTGAGATCCAAATTTAGAAGCTTGTACGGAGAGCCCTGAGAAATCAGCCAGACTTTCTTTTTTCCCCCCTAAGCAATCTAATAAAGCTATTGCACAGTCATTTCCCAAGGTCAGTTTCCAGCTTTTAATAGTTTTAATGAGCTGTTTAAAAGGCTCCTCAACTTGTGCCCATCCAAGCTTGCACGTGTTATGTGTTTGGGTACAGAGAGGAAAGAAAAGGAAGAAGAGAGGAGGATGAGGAGTAGATAGGAGAGGTGGGATCAGTTCTGCTAACTGGGACGCAGGCAGGGGACCAACCTAAGGGCCAGCTCCTCTCCAGAATGCCCCAGGGGTGCTAATGGGAGTGAGGTTCTACCCTTGATATCAGATCTAAATAACTACAGGGACCTGAAAGGCTGTCCTCACTTCTACCTCGAAGCAGGAACCACAGGTGCCGCCAAACCTGGGACATCTGCAGGGAGATGAAGAAGAAGGTATGATAGAGAGACAGGATAAAGACAGTGGGAGAGATGAGACAGACGGGCCTTGAGGGTTTAATGAATAAATGAACTTGTTGACGGAGTTGAGGAGAAGGAAGGAGAGAAAAGAAAAAGGAGGCAGCATCACAAGTGATACTCCAAACACAACTAGGGCCTGTATATTAGGTGGCTTTGTGCTAATAACCACCACCCAAATCATGGTAATGCTGATAACACCCAATCCTATTCAGCACTCTCTTACTGTGCACCAGGCTCTATGCTAAGCATGTGGTAGGCCTTCACTCCTGTGATTCTCACAACTGCCCAGGAAGGTAGGTTCTAGTATTGTTCCCATGACACAGAAGAGGAAAACAAAGGGTCAGCAAGGAAGAGTCATCAGTCCAAGGTCACCTAGTTAGTAAGGCTAATTTGCATCTAGCAGTCTGACTCCAGAACTCATGACTATAGCCACGACTATTATTCTGTACATCTCCTCAGGGCAATATGAAAACTTCAGAAAAATCCAGATATCTATGTAAAGCAGAAAATAAAAATACCCACAAGCCTACCCCATAGTCACAGACTTGAGCATTTTGGTGTACAGTGCAGAGACCCCAGGCTGTTTAACAGCAGCCACTCTTCTTCCTTCCACAGAAATAGAGTTATAGTCAGGCTATGAGCATCCAGCTAACCAGCCTTTCCCAGCCTCCCTGGCAGCTAGGTGTAAACAGGTGATGTGGTTCTTACCTGTGGAACCTGAGAGGAGCCAATATAGATGCTACAGGCCTGGGTCGGGGACAGTGGAGGTGAGTCCTCTGAACTCTCTTTCCCCTCCTTGCTGGCTGGAATCTGTATGCACCACCACCCAGCTTCAGCCATGCTTGTGATGGAAGGAAAAACTGCGCCGGGGAGAGGCACCCACCTCCAGGGCCACTCACTTACACTGTTATGTGGGAGAGAAAGGAAAGTCTTTTTTTCCCCAAAGTATTGGTGCATTCTTTTGCTTCAGTAGCTTTCCCTAACTATTGCAGTATATTTTCTTCTAGTTTTCTTCCCTATGAATATGTGTACAGTCATTTTTCACCCATTACCCCATTAGGTGCAAATGTTCCTTGACTTAGTATGGGGTTACAGCCGGATAAGCCCATCATAAGTTGAAAATATCATAAATCAAAAATGCATTTACTACACCTAACATATGGAACATCATAGCTTAGCCTAGCCTATGGTAAATGTGCTCAGAACACTGACGTTAGCTTACAGTTGGGCAAAATCATCTCACAACACAGTGCACTGCATAGTGCTGGTTGTTGACCCTCGTGGTCACGTGGCTGACTGGGAGCTGCCACTTACTGCCACTCTCCTGCATGGAGAGCACTGGACTGCATATTGTTAGCCTGGGAAGAGATCAAAATTCAAAATTCAAAGTATGGTTTCTATTCACTGCATGTCACTTTTGCACCATCATAAATTTGAAAAATCCTAAGTTGCAGACGATTTATATTTGTGCTTTCCCTCATATTTCATGATTATCTTTCAGGATAGGTGAGTCCAGACTCACCATCTAATTCCAGAACAATATCAACTGAAAACGATGATCAAACTACAAACCAGCCATTCCATCCCTCTACTTTGATTTGAGAAGATCTTAGATCTCAGGCACTCAGTGGGAAGAACCCAGTTCCCACAGTACCATCAGGTATGTCTGAGGAAAGATTGTTGAGTAACGCAGCTGTCTCTCTCTATGTCTAGGCCTGACACCTTGCCCTTGTGTCGTCTTGTGATGGGCAAGGCCCAGCCATCCCAGTTGCCTCGTTTTGAGCCTTCTACACATGTCCTAACTGAGGCCCTGTATTTCTACTTAGAGATTTGGACACTGAGGCTTGAGAGGATCTGGTTTTCTGGGCCCCACACCTGGTGACAGATCTACATCTGGTCAAAGATGGACTGTGAGGCATGGTGAGGGCCGGAGCTTGTGTTCAATTCCTTCCATTCTAAGACCACTAAATTTTTAAAAACAGTTTTTAGTTTTTCTTATGTTTATAAAAGTAATATTTGTTCCCTGTATACGAAATCTCAACAAAGCAGTCAGAATAAGCCTTTTAAAATATGTCGTGCCAGGCATGGTGGCTCATGCCTGTAATCCCAGCATTTAGGGAGACAGAGGCAGAAGGATTGCTTGAGCCCAGGTGTTTTTGAGACCAGCCTGGAGAACATAGCAAGACCTCATCTCCACAAAAAGAAAAAAAAAAGGAAGAAAAAAGTCAGAAAAAGACAAATAAACCAAGTTTTTAAATGGGCAAGGGTTTGAATTGACATTTCTTCAAAGAAGACATGGAAATGGCTAGTAAGTATATGAAAAGATGCTCAGCATTATTAGTCATTAGAAAACTGTAAATTTGACCCTTGTGGTCAAATTCAGTTGAGTTCACAATCCAGACCACTACTTCCCACCCTCTAGGACAGCTGTAATAAAAATGCAGGCAATACAAGCATTGCAGTGGAGAAACCGGAACCCTCAGACACCTCTAGTGGGAATGTCAAATGGTATAACCATCATGGATAACAGTTTGGCAGTTTCTCAAAATGAATTGAGAACATACACCTATACAAAATCTTGTATATAATACTTATAGCAGTATGACTCATAATAGCCCCAAAGTGGAAACAACCCAAATATCCATCAACTGATGAATAGATAAACAAAATGGGGTACGTCCATACAATGGAATACTATTTAACAATAAAAAGGATGAAGTACTGATATATGTCACAACATAGATGAGCCTTGAGAACACTCTGCTAAGTGAAAGAAACCAGTCATGAAAGACCATGTATTGTATAATCCAATTTATATAAAATGTCCTGAATAGGCAATTCTATAGAGATGGAAAGCAGATTAGTGGTTGCCCGGGGACTGGGGTGGGGAAGTGGGGAGTGGCTAAGGGGTGTGTGTACTTTCTGTAGGGGAGGGGGACTAAAACTGTTCTAAAACTAGACTGTGGAGATGGTTGCACAACACAGTTAATATACTAAAGCCCATTGACTTGTACACTGTATTTTATGTATTTATTTATTTATTTTTGAGACAGGGTCTTGCTCTATCACCCAGGCTGGAGTGCTGTGACCCAATCTTGGCTCACCACAACCTCCACCTCCAGGGCTTAAGTGATCCTTCCACCCCAGCCTCCTGAGTAGCTGGGACCAAAGGCACATGCCACCACACCTGGCTAATTGTTGTATTTTTTGTAGAGACATTGTTTCGCCATGTTGCCCAGGCTGGTCTCAAACTCCTGACCTCAAGTCATCCTCCTGCCTTGGCCTCCCAAAGTGCTGGGATTACAGGTGTGAGCCACTGTGCACGGCTGCGTTGTATACTTTAAATGGGTGAATTGTGTGGTAGGTTAATTATATCTCAATAAAGCTGTTTAAAAAATGGAAGTTAAATCCTGTCACTCTTTTGCTCTCAACCCTCCAGTGGCTCCTCGATTTTCTTAGAGTGAGACTCAAATCCTCATGATGCTCTACCAGGCCCCAGGCCATCTTGGCATCCAGTTCCATCCCTGACCATATGCACATCTGCCCCAGCCACAATGGCTTCCCCACTGTGCCAGAGGTGTGCCAGGCACATTCCATTACTGGGTCTTTGCCCTGTCTGCTCCCACTGCTAGAGAAGCTCCATCCTTAGGCACCCTCCTGCTGGCTCCCTTCTGCCTGACAAGTCACCTCCTTATGGACCTTCCCCTGCCACTCTATTTAGGATTACAGTCCTGGCTCCACCAGGCATTCCTGACTACATTGCCCCTGTATTGCTTTACCCACAGCCCTCCTTGCTGCCTGGTATACCATATGATTTACTATTTTATAACATGTATTGTGCAGCTACCTCCAGTAGACATGAATAGACATATCTAGAATGTAACCCTATGAGATCCAGGACTTTCTGTCTTCATCACTGCTTTATCTCCTTACTCAGAATAGGGCCTGGCATATAGCACATACTCAGTAAATATATGCTAAAGACACACAAGATTGAGACTACATGGGGTAAACACTGTTAATTATTCCCAGCTCCCTCCTTCTGTCCTCACTGGCCATAATAGAGACTGAAAAACCCAGGCCCTCATTTTCTTAGTTTACCTTCAGCCATAGCCCTTAGGACAGTTCAGGAAAAGGCTGCCAGGGAGTTTCTGGTAAAATGTTTACTTCCCTGATGAGGAAAGAAGCCTAGGAGGAGAGAGAACCTCTCTGTTAGTGTCTTGTCTATATCTACCCAGTGCTTCCCACCTTTGAATGCTGATGTCTTTCCAGGATTTTTTTCTTTTCATGTACACACCATTTGATAAAATTAAAATGGGATTGTCCTCTCTATACACTGTTTGATACCTAGTTTTTTCCACTTAATGTGCCATGGACCACTTGACTTATCTGTCCTTCTTAGTCTCCCATGGGGAGTGCTGACTTTGCCAATCTCTATTCATTCATTCTGCACTTGTTTCCTGGGTACCTACTGTAATGACAATTGGCAAGACAGATCAAAAACTGTGGTGTAGGCTGGGAATGGTGGCTCACACCTGTAATCCCAGCACTTTGGGAGGCCAAGGCAGGAAGATTGCTTGAGCCCAGGAGGTTGAGATCAGCCTGGGCAACATAGTGAGACCCCATGTCTAAAAAAAAAAATTAGCTGGGTGTGGTGACATGTGCCTGTAGTCCCAGCTACTCGGGAGGATGTGGTAGGAGGATTGGTTGAGTTCAGGAGGTCGAGGCTGCAGCAAGCCATGATGGTGCCATTGCACTCTAGCCTGGGTGACAGGGCAAAATGCTGTCTCCAAAAACAAAAAACAAAAAACCAAAAAAATGATGATGTGTCCTAGGCCCAGGGGGGCTGGGGCAAGGGATGATGGATGGCTGGATCTGGCATGGGGGGGCGCTCCATGTATTCTCACTGAGGAAGAGGCAGGAAGGGATTTCAGGAAATGGGCCCAAGTTGCAGAGGTGGCTCAGTGATCATGAGGCTGTGGAGGCAGGCAGAGACCCTTTCTGTTCAAACCCTCACTGTTTTGACTGCAGACACTGGGTCTAGGTCTGCCTCTGCCAGGAGCTGTCTTGCTGGCAACAGTATATACCTCTGAATCTGGGAAGAAAAAGCCGTGGGGTGGTTTCATTCCTGTGCTTTCTGCATAATGTAAATGTAATTAATCATGTCTAGGGTGGTTATAATTTAGCATTTTTTTTTTTCATTTTTAGCAGTCTAATTAAATTCATTTAAGCTTTATAAGTAGTTATTTTAGAATTTTTCTTTGTACCCCTACTGGTGTAGTGCTGAAAACTCACGATAAATATGTCTCAAGGTGGCTACTGCTGTTTTCAAAATGAATCTTAGAGACTATTCAAGTGAAAAGTACTATTGTGTTACTACAACTTAAATTAGTCATAGAAAAAACTGGAGAAATATTTCTTGTGTCTTTCTTTTCAAAAACTTTTCAGTGCTTTAAAGAATTAGGATGGGAACTCAGGTTAGCTGGGAAAAGTTGCTTGACAGGACGGGCAGGTGACTGTGGCGGTCAGTGCCTACTCCTAGGACGTGACTCTGCTTGGGTTTTCAGCTCTCCGATTTGGTAAAGAAGCCATATACACCCTTCTCTGTCTCTCAGACAGAAGCCTATTTGCTGCCATGTTGTGCGGAGCTCATTTTAATGGTGTAGTAATTCAGTTAGAAAACTGGGGTACTTAACCCTTTTACAAATGCTCTCCTCGCCGAGTTTACAAATCCCCTGTTAAAGTCAGAAAAACATTACGTAAAATATGGATTTTTAAAAACTCTATTAATAATCAAAGAAATGCAAATTAAGTCCACAACAAGATGCCATTTTTCTCCTACCCAATTGTCTAAGATGTATATCAATGATTAATAGTGTTGTCAGTAGTGCTGGCAGAAGTTTGCATTGGTATAATCTCTATGAAGAATAATTGAACAGTTAGTAAAAAGAATGTCTTTTGGATAACTTTTTCTTTTTTTTTAAAGGGAATTTTTTTTCTATGATCTTTGAACCAGAAACCTAGGAGTTACAAACCTAGGAGGATTGTATCTTAAGGAAGTATGGATTTTTTTTTTTTTTTTTTTTTGAGATGGAGTCTGGCTCTGTCGCCCAGGCTGGAGTGCAGTGGCGCGATCTCCGCTCACTGCAACCTCTGCCTCCCAGGCTCAAGCGATTCTCCTGCCTCAGCCTCTTGAGTAGCTGGGACTACAGGCGCCCGCCACCATGCCTGGCTAATTTTTGTATTTTTAGTAGAGATGGGGTTTCACCATGTTGGTCAGGATGATCTCGATTTCCTGACCTCGTGATCCGCCCACCTCGGCCTCCCAAACTGCTGGGATTACAGGCGTGAGCCACCGCGTCCGGCTGGATCTTAATATATATATCTAGCAACCTGTATTATATGCAGATATATTAAATATACTCAGCATTCCAGATTATATAATGTGATGTACACGCCCACATACCCCAGATAGCACTGGAAAGTTGATCAGAATTGACTGTGTTGTTCATTCAGCGGCTCTGTGAAACATCTCCTGTGGCCAGTCGTCCTTCCTTTCAGGTCTCTCGAGTTCTAGGCTGAGAAGAAAAGTGGCCTCCTGTACAGCTTCGCCTTCTGGAGCCTCAGGCGGAATCGGGACTGCTGGGAAGCTGTGCGGGGGCGGGTCCAGCAAGCCCTGGCAACGGAGATCTTCCCAGACGAGACAGAGCGACCGTTACTTCCCGGGCTGCTGTGGGTCTGGTGTCTGGCTCTGTGGCCCCGGGCTGCAGGGACAAAAGTGGCTGGTCTTCTAAGAGCACCAAGCTCAGCAAAGCCACCCGCTGCTCACAGGACCCACGCGTTCATTCCTACTCTTCTTTTGGTCTCACAAGAGCCACACTGCCCTTGGAATGGGCGTCAAGTCACAGCTCGGCGCTTTCCTTTAGTCTTCTGCCATCTCTGCCTCCTTTTCAGCCATTTTCATCCGAAGTGTGGATCTGAAGCAAATGACCTAGAGAAGTTTCCTTCATCTGGTTGTTATTATTTGCTGAATTTTTTAAAAGAAACTTTTTAATACCTTCTTCTTTGCTACATTGTTCTATATGTAATAATTCATAATCCACATAGGAAATGCCTATATGTAATAATTCATAATCCATATAGGAAATGCCAGATAAGCCCCTTTAAGAAGAATGATGTGGGGTGCAATGTTAGGTTGCCCTTGGCGTCAGATAGCCTGGGTTCTGGGCCCAGTGCCCCCCCTTAGTAGCTACTGTGTGACCTAGAATGAGATTGGGCCAGTCTCCTTCATAAACGTCCTTCTAATTTATTCCTGAAATTACCTCATTTGTTCTCTTCTTCACTTTCTGTCTCCCCACTCTAGAAACATTGGCTTCTCAAGAGTAGGGGGACTCCTTCAGGGCTGTTCGCTGTGTTTATAGAGCACAGACGATTGACTCCCTGCCCTTGCTGGGCCTCAGTTTCCTCAAACACAAATAGGCATGATAACAATCCCTACCTACCTCATGTTAAATGGGCTTAATACATGCAGAATGCTCAGAACAGTGTCTGTCATGTGGTAAATCCTCAAGGAACAATGAATAAGGATTAAATTCTGCATCCTCCCACATAACTGAGAAAAGCCTGGTAGGAAATCAGGTTAATGGAGAGAAAAGACAGAGGGATGAGAGCAGCTCGAAGGAGATGATCATTTCTGCAGACATAGAATCCAAGTTGCCGTGTGAAATGGTAAGAGGTGGTTCCTTGGTCCGGAAGTCCCAAGAAAGAGTCACTGGTTTGGGGGAGGTGAAGTTGGCTAACCCACCTTCAGCAGTGAACCTGGGCAGCAGGCTGGAAGCTGGCTCTCCCTGCTGGCTGAATCCTGCTTCCGTGGGAGCCAGGAAGGTGGGTGGTTTCCTCTCTCTGACAGTCCACCGGTGACTCAGGTCTTCCAGAAACCTAGGACCATTAACACTTTAGTTCAAATAGAATGAGTAGTTTAGGTAAAGACTATGTGAAGTCATCAGTGTCCAATGAGAGTGGCACTGAAACCTTCACCAACCTTGTTTAGAAGGAATTTTTCCCCCTAAGAGTGCATTTTGAGGCCTGAATAAGGAAGGCCACTGCTTGAGGCAAAATTTGACTTTTTCACTTGACTTCTGTGATATAAGCAGTAAAGTCCACTGGGATAAACCTTGACATTGATACCCAACAGAGAGAGGAGGGGTAGTTGGAAGCTAATTTGGCCTTCCTTTGAGGCAAAGGACCTCAGAGGGTTCATCAGCTCCCTATCAGCAGAGCAGGATGCCAAGGCCACGAAGGGCGGTGGCTTATCCAAGGTGTTTGGCTGGTGTAGCCAGGTTCTCAGACACCAAGCTAGAGGTGCACCAAGTCCAGCTTCCCTGTCTTGTGGTTGAGAGAATGAAAGCAGGTGAAGTAGCCCATCCATGCAGCAAGGGCCCTTGCCCAAGAGGAACAGCTGGATCTGGGGTGTTCCCTGGGCAAGTACATCAGCACCAGGCTTCACCCACTGTGTCCCTGGTGCTGGAAAGGCCAGTTTACCAAAATGCCTGCCTACACTCAATTTTATCATCATTTAAAAGTTTGTTTCTAGTTGTATCTGAGACTAATAACAATTTATTTTTATTTTACCTTCAAGCAGTGTCAAAAACTAACACCAAGACCCTGAGCATTACACATAATGTTGATGTTGATTCATATTAAGATCTTCCTTTTCCTTCTGTGAGTAACTGTGCAAGGGCCTGGTGACCTACAGGGGTGAAAAAAACAGTCAAAAATGGCTGGGCATGGTGGCTCACACCTGTAATCCCAGCACTTTGGGAGGCCAAGGCAGGTGGATCACAACGTCAAGAGATTGAGATCATCCTGGCCAACATGGTGAAACCCAGTCTCTATTAAAAATACAAAAATTAGCTGGGCATTGTGGTGTGCACCTGTAGTCCCAGCTACTCGGGAGGCTGAGGCAGGAGAATCGCCTGAACCTGGGAGGCGGAGGTTGCAGTGAGCTGAGATGGCGCCACTCCAGCCTGGCGACAGAGAGAGACCTTGTCTCAACAAACAAACAAACAAACAAAAAGCACTCAAAAACAAGCATCATCTTCAGGGAGCTTCATGCTAATTGGGGAAGACAGATATTAAACAAGTAAATGAAAAACAACTTCAACATATCAAGTGCCATGAAGGAAATGAAGATTTCTGACTACCTTTGAGTCAGCAGATACCTGACTCAAGACATCTGTCTTTGACCTAGATGGTCCTCTAACCTCAGACTAGTCACTCAAAAATCAAACTTCTTTACCCCATTCTGACTTTTCCTTCTGACTTCCAGGTCTTTTAATAATAAGGTTAGCAATGCAAAGTGGCTCTTAATGTTTTTAGGGACAGGGACCGCTTTGAGAACATACTAAGTTATGAGTGTTCTTTGCTGAGACACACCCTTTTCTGCATACAGCTTTAGAGGACTTCATGGTTTGTGGTTAAGAACTCTGATCCTAGGCTGGGCACAGTGGCTTACATCTATAATCCCAGCACTTTGGAAGGCCATGGCAGGAAGATTGCTTGAGGCCAGGAGTTCAAGACCAGCCTCAGCAATATAGCGAGACCCTGTCTCTACAAAAAAAAATTTAAAAATTAGCTGGGTGTGATGGTGTATGGCTGTAGTCCCAGCTACTTGGGAGGCTGAGGTGGAAGGATTGCTTGAGCCCAGGAGTTCAAGACTGCAGTGATTTATGATTGCACCACTGCACTCCAGCCTAGGCAACAGAGTGAGACCCTGTCTCTAAGAAAACACACACACACACACACACACACACACACACACACGAAACTCTGATCCTAGAGGAATAAAGAGACATGGAGAAATGAGTGTTCCAGCTCAGCTGCAGCTGTGTGTCCTGGAGGTGGAGACCAAATGCTTAGATTGACTTGTCTCTACAGCACTTTTTGTATTTCTATTGACGCTTTATATTTTTGTTGACCTTAAGAGCAGATGTAATATAATATTAATTCTTCCAGTCATTCAACTTGTTTATTGATCTGACATACAAAGGAGTAAAGTAACTTGCTCAGGGTCACCAGCTAATTAGCAGAGTCAGAACTATAGCCCAGGTCTCCTTTTCCTCTAGATATCTGGAGCAATGCTCAGGGAAGATAAGTTTTGATGGTGGTTCAGTGTAGTGATGGTGTTGACAGCAGTGGCAATAATGATGGTGTCATCACTGGTAATAGTGATATTGTTGATGGTGATATGGCAGTGATGATGATGTTGGTGGTATTAGTGGCTATAACAGAGTAATTGTAGTCATTTGTAGTCATGGTATTAATGGTGGTGATTGTGGCAGTGGTGGGGTTCTTGGTGGTAGTAGTGGCACAGATAGAATTTTTGCTGGTGGTAGTAGTGGCAGTAGAGGGGTTGGTGGTGATGGTAGTAGTGGCAGTGTGGAAGAGTGGTGAATGTTGGAGATGAAGTGGAAATGGTAGGTAAGATCAAAATCCAGATTTTAGGAAATGCAAAGCAGTTATTCTGGTTGCTTTTCTGGCATTTATTTTTCTTTTCCTTGTTTTTTTTTTCTCTGTCTTTGTCCCTTACATTTTTGATATCACAGATACCTGCTTTCATCCAGGAGTTCTCTTTCCTTTGGATCTGCTTATTGTGTCTAGAATAAAAATATATATTATTAGAATGGCAGGCCATACATCTTTGCTTTGCTTTATAAATCATGAGTATGTTCTATTGTTATGGAACAAATACCTTTATTCTATAAAAATGCAGTCTTTTCAGAGCAAGGCTGTTAAATCTCCAGGAGTTCTTTTCAACTTGCGTGTTGCTGCACATGACCTAGCAAGCTGCAGTTATAGGATACCCAGAATGGAGAGACTGATAACAGCTATAATAATGACCCATGGGATGTGTTGACCTCCCTTCACCATTCTGTCCTCAGCATTTTAGCGCCTGTGGGATGAATCTTGCCTTCATCTTCTGCTGGCATTAATACCAGAAAAAGTTCAATCCAAATGGGTATCAAGTGGTATATTTTTGGAGACACTGGTAGGGCTGTTATCATTGTCAGGCCAACTGCTAGTATTGTGTTGCGTTTCATCTCTGGCTGCTGTCTTATTCAGTTTTTTAATTTTTTATATTTTTTTTAGCTGTGTGGGTGAGCACATGGATGGCATGCTGATCACATTTCCAGGCCACCATGAGGCAGAAGTAGAGCTAATAGACTGGATGAAAGAAGAATGAGCCAGAGCAATGCCGACAGTCTGCAAAGCCAGGTCAAGTTAGGCAACCTGGAGCATAACAGAGAAATGCAAAGTCCAGCCCTTGGGTCCAGACAAGTTACACAACGATGGCAGGTAAGGGCCTCAGCCTGAGTCTGGGAGAGAGATTCAGGTGCTGCGGTAAACTGCAGCCTTCAGGTGGGAGATGGCTGCCAAGAACGTGAAATTTGGGGTGGTGATTAGAGCTCTGTTGTGTTAGCTTTCACTGGGGGCTTGTGTTGAGTTTTCTTCAACACATTTGACAAACAGGGATGGAATTGAGGAGAGAGGTCAGAAAGGTGGGACTGACGTAGGGTCTTGAAATGTCACATGAATCTTAGAGTGGGAGGCTAGACACCCGGAGCTCTGGTGAACTGTCATTGGCTAAAACATGATTCATTACAATTTACGGAGAGCTCAACTAGCAGTGGTTAGGTGACAAAAACCTGATTATCTCATAAAACAAGATGTCTGGAGGTAAGCAGAAGGTTTGTTTATGATGTTTCAGAAGCAAAATTTGGGCAAATGTGCCAATTGGTAGGTTACAAGGAAGCCAGTTTTTGGTTCCACTGTAGTCAAGATTTTCTGATAACCACAGTTATCCAGAAATGGAGATGTGAAGCAGAATTAGCACCCACCTGGCAGGGACATAGTAAAAGGAATTCCTGTACCTGTTGGGGAGTAGGAGAGACAGGGGAGAGAACAGGCTTTTACACTGACCTGTGAGTTTCCTTCCAACCAGGAGAGCCCATGATTCTAGTAATTAGTTTTTCCCCTTTGAATGTTCATTAGATAAATATGCTAATTGAGATAAATTTCTACTGAGTGAGGTATAATTTCAAGTTGAACAGTATTTTTTATCTTTAGCATCATTGTATGAGATGCAGAGTTTGCTGTGGACTTGGGCCTATACTGTACTTTGTTTATAACTGTGATTTTTACAAGGACAGAGCGAGGAGGAACACATTCTTCCCTGAGGTAGGTTATGGGTGACATGAATATGGCCCACTAACTGGTATATTAAGTACTGATTTCAGGGGTCCCATGAATCTTCTTAGGCTTGCCACACTGAGACAGAGCATCAGCTAGGCAGAACCTCCTCTTACACCCCTGATGTTTTATGCCCGGTAGGATAGCAGCAACCCTGTGTGGATCAGGGTATCAAGGAGAGAAGGGTGAATACAGCTGATTAAAAGAAATTGCTCTATTTCTCTCCAAATGAGAAATTTCTCATGGGTTCTAGTGTTTATGGCAAACATGATCTCTCATCTAAAGTCTCTGAAAGCTTCTTGGACAAAATTCTTAATTTCCTACCGTCACTTAGTAAAAAGAAGGAAAGGACTTGGAACAGACACCGTTTGGCCATTCGCTTTCCTCTCCTCTTTCTACACTGCTACTACCTGTGTAGTCACAGCAGTTCAGTTTGTATTAGAAAACCCTATGCCCTACTCACAGTGATTGCAGGTGGGACCAGAAGTGTTCATCTGACCCATCAGATTCTTTCCTCAGGGAATTTGGAGTTGGGACATGGAGGAGCTAATCAGTTTCTGCTGGGTGTCTGGTCATTCTAAACAGTGTGGGTTGCCACCTTCTACCACGGGCTCAGAGAAACCTAAAGGAGAGGTGCAAAAAGAGACCATGTGGCCAAAGAGAGAGCCAAAGGCCTTGTCCACCTGCATCCAGCCACGCTATCAGTCCCTGCGCCCAGCTTCCTCCAAGACCCCTGAACATTTCCTAACTTTCTATTCTGTGCCATACCTCAGAGTCCACCCTGCAAGGCCACCCTATTTTGTTTAAGCTGGCTTGCATGGAATTTTGTTTTTTTATAGGAACTTGAGAGAGAGCTCATCCTTATAAGGGCCTAACAGGAAGTTAATATGAATTTTAAAAAGAACTGTATTGTTTTTTCCACATACAAAATGATAAAAATGCTCATTGCTACGAAAAAAAAGAGCATAAAAATGTATGTCTTAGGACGTGAAAATTGCCACAATAATCCTCCTTAGAGAAAATAGCTCTCGATAGTTTAGGGGTGAGAGCAATGAGTGAACACAAACAGGCATGAACCAGCCTTTCCTGGGCTCTGACCAGGGGCCACACGTTGTTCAAAGCACTCTAGCGGAATTAATTCCTTTAATCCTTACTATCAGGCCATGGTGTGGGACGAGTACCACCCTCCATCTAAGGATAAGGAAACTTAGACACAAAGAGGTTGAAGGGGGAGACAGGATTTGAATCCAAGCAGTCAGGCTCTAAGCCTGGGCTCTTAACCGCCATGCTATACGAACTCTCATTTTATTAGGCTGCTGCAAAAGTAATTGCAGTTTTTGCCATTGAAAGTATTGGCAAGTAATGCTCCCTTATTTGTTGCCTATTGCTATGTAATGAATTACCATGAACTTACTGACAAACTCATACACATCTGTTATCTTACAGGGGCCAGACACCACTTAGCTGCATCCTTTGCTTCAGGGTATTTCATAGGTCAGTAATCAAGGAATCAGCCAAGGCTGGAGACTCATCTGAGACCCCATTGAGGAAGGATTCACTTCCAAACTCACACAGTTGTTGGTGGGATTTGGTTTCTTCTGGGCTCTTAAACTGAAGACCTCAGTTCCTTATGACTGTCAGTTAGAGGCCACCCTCCATTTCTTTTTATGTGGGACACTTCATAGGGCAGCTCTGCACACAGTAACTTGCTTCCTCCCAGCCAGCTAGGGACAGAGTGTGCCAGCAAGATGCAAACTCTGTCTGAAGGAACCAATCACACTGTGCTATCCCACCACTTTGCCATGTTCTGTAGGTTAAAAGCAAGTCACTAGGCCAGCCCACAGTCAGGGGAGGAAATTACACACGAATGGGCCAGGGCACATTGAACATCATTCTTGGGATCTGTTCAGCACACCCCTGCTTATCCTTTTAACTTTTATGCTTTTTAGAGACAGGGTCTCACTCTGTTGCCCAGGCTGGAGTGCAGTTGCACCGTAAGAGCTCACTGCAACCTCAAACTCCTGGGCTCAAGCAATCCTCCTGCCTTGACCTCCTAAAGTGCTGGGATTATGGGTGTGAACCACTGCATCCAGCTAATCTATTTTATCTTTTGTAGAGACAGGGGTCTTTCTATGTTGCCCAGGCTGGTCTTGAATTCCTGGCCTCAAGAGATCCTCCTGCCTCAGACTCCCAAAGTGCTGGGATTACAGGCGTGAACCACTGCACCCACCCAGCTTTTACGGTTTTGACAGCTCTCTGGTAAGGGGACCACCACATGGCACCTTGAACTGGAGACAGCCAGGCTCACAGGGCACAGTTGGCCTGACCCACCCACCCTGATGTCAGAGGAGAAGCTGGGCCTAAGGGAGAAAGCATGGGTCTGCTTATCTCCTCTTGCCTACTTTCCTGCTGGAGAAGAGAAGCCCAGGAAAGGGACTGAGAGATGGTGTGAGCCCCTGCTATGCCTGGAATAGGCAACGTGAGACCTAGGAGGCCTCGTGCACTTCCCCCACCTCCCTGCCCTCTAGGACACATGGTGCAGGGCAAGGCCAGCTCTCCTGGGGAGGCTGAGTGAGGAATGGAAGGAGGTGTGGGGCTTTGCTGCAAGTCTCCTCCTGGAGAGGAGAGAATTCTCCCTGACCCTTATCCTACAGAGAGTTTTGCACCTTACTTCTGTCACTAGACCAAATATATTTGGACATCTTTCTATGTCAGAGCATAGGGATCCAATCCATTCTGTTTAGTAGCCGCTTATGACTCCACTGCTTGGGTGGCCTGATGGATCCTGATCTCTAAGCACTCTGAGGCCTACCCACTGCTTTTGCAGTGCATCAGTTCTGGTGGACCCTCAGAATTGCCCCATTGTGCTGGGTCATTGTGGAAGTGTGTGCTCTAAACATAAACCTCCTAAAAATAGTCTTTCTGAGTTTGGTGCTTGTGTATCTCTCAGTGAATGTCTGCCAACTGGGGCCGCAAGGCTTCCATTAACAAGAATCTCTGAGCAGGTCCTGGGGCCTCCAAAGGAAGGAAGTGGAGTCAAGCCTCTGCCACTCCTTCCAGGGCTGAGGAGTGCTCTGCATTTGAAAAGGCGGGTGTGTGATACCCTGGATGATATCCCTGTATGAGCTCATCTTCCAGGAATGAAAAGGAGGTGTTCTTTGCCTTCAGGCAGGTGAGACTTTTGCCCTGTACATTTGCTTCTATTGCACACTCAGTTGGCTCTTTCACTGTGCACACTACAATTAGTGAAGTCTGTTTCGTGCCTGCCACTCCAGGAACAGGCTTTAGACGGTCTTTCATGCCCCCTTTGCTTTATTCAGGGTTTTCATAAATAATCTTTCTTCTCGCTTACCTTTTCTTTTCACCTACAATATCTGAAACCACGTAGAATGTTGCCTGCATACAGCTCAGCATCCTTGCACGGCTCCCCTGTTTAGTTAAAGTGGTTATAGTTTTAGCCTATTTATTAGTAAGTAGTTGTAATTTACTGAGGTGTTGGTGTGCAGCAGGCCTTATGCTAAGCGCTTTGTTGGAAAAAGCTCCTGGAAGCTTCACCACAGACTGCTCTTTGAGATATTTTTGTCAGCCCCGTTTTACAGAGGAGGAAACCAAGGCTGAGGAAGTGACACACTCAAGGTCATTGAGCTAGAAAGTGGTTGTATCTGAATCTATGCCAGCTTAGAAAACCTCCATTTTTAAGCCCTCTGCCATGCAGAATTTTTGCCTCACCCCCTCTGTAGGTTCACTGTGGGTCCCCGTAAGAACAAGGTTATTCAGCTTCTCAGGAGGACAAGGAGAAATTGGAGAGCCTCCAGGGAAGGCCCTGGAAAGTGATTAAGAGGATAAGAGTGAGGCTGGTGAGAAAGATTAGAGGAATAAGAGAAATTTAATCTGGAGAAATAAATCCTAGGGGCGATATTAATGGCATTCTACTGATGTCTTCATGAAAATCAATTAAAATATTTTTAAAAACAGGAGCCAGTCTACTAGTTTTATTACACGATGTGAAAGGAATGATTTGACTATAATTTATTTAATTAGTTTAGCAAATATATACTATACAGCTACCATAGCCAGACTACAGAGTGAACAAGACAGGTGAGGACCCTCCTCTGGCAGAACTTACATTTTGGTGGCAGGGGTGGAAGAAGGAGGGAAGAGAGGCAGGCAGGATAAATGAGGAGAGGCTGTTCAAATGGGATCATTCCAGTCAGTGATATGTGCTGTGACAACACCATGGCAGGAAGATGGGTAAGCCAGTAACTGTAGGTGGCCTTCTCCCAGAAGGGGGCATTTGAATGGAGACCTTAAAGCCATGTGAAGCTCTGGGGACAGAGTGGTCCAGGCAGAGGGACCTTGAAGTAGGAACAAGTTTGGCAAATACAAGAAACAGAAAGCAGAAGGGTGAGGCTGGGTGGCAATCTGGTGGGAGACCAAGCCAGAGCCTCACCATGCAGGGCCATAGAAAGCCACCAGGCAGAGCAGCTCTCCAGCTATGGGGGCAGGGATAATCCACTGATGGACTGTAGGAGATCAGAGGGAGAGGCGTCTGTGTGAGAGATGCTGTGGCAGCATGGACGGGGGTGTCTGGGCCTTTGGGTCTGTCTTGTGTCGATAGCACAGTGGGGAAATCGACGTGGATTCGATATTGGGGTGGGGAGAGGTGAGAGTAAAAACACTCAAGGATGACCATCAGGTTTTTGAAAAGAAGAATCAACTATTTTGTTGTCATTTTACTAGAGAGGGTTTTAAGAATACCTTCCTTGAAGGTTATTAAGCTAATACTCCCAAGCCATCCATTTATGTGACATTTGGGTCTCTGCATGTTTTCTTAGGGAGAGGATCCAACCTCTCTTCTGTTTCCTGGAAGGGAAAACCTCCCCCACACCACCTCCCAGCAACAGAAAGTTTGAGTTTGACCTAGACCAAATTCTCCCCACTCCACCTCATTTTGCAAGAAAGGAAACTGAGGCTGTGAAAGTAGGTTACAGAAGGTCACACCACATCTCGTTCTTGGCAGAGTCCTAGGTCTCCTGACTCCCCAGCCAGGGCTGTCTCTGCTATATGAGCTGTGCAGGGAGGCAGAGCGTTGAACAGACATTGATTCCATCCCTCCTAACCCAGATGAAAACAAGGACTCTTTCTATTTAGAGGTCAGTTCTCTGAGTTAGTGGCCTCAGCTCTCAGTGTCTTGTCTGCCTAATAGAAATTTAAGCACGTCTGTTACTAAGAACGGTCCCCAGTATTTGAGTGCTTATGAAATGCAAGTAAGATCCAGGTGTGACTGGAATTGAAATGAGGCAGGAGTGAGGTATGTGTGTGGATCTATGTTGGGGTGCAAATCATCAAGGTTTAGGGCCCGTGGGAGGGTGGTGAGCTCCTCCAGGAAGTGTTCCCGTAACTGTTTTCTCAGTAAGCCCTGAATTATAGCCTATCAGACAGGATCCTGAACAGAAATCTCTGTCATCCCAGTAATACCATGAGGTACCTTTTAAAAGCAGGAGTCAGTTGTAAAGTAACCAACCCAAAGTGGAATGAATATATGTTTGTTTCTCAGTTTTCACTTTCCACACTTCAGGCACACTTTTATGGCTCAGTTTCTGAAGGCCAGCAAAAGGAAACAGAAGGAAATAAAGACACGCCTTTTAAAAAGCTGGTATTATGAAGAGGAAACCATAATGTTCCTGAAAGTGTGGATAGATACAATGCAGACCTCCTCTAAGAAATATCCAAATGAGATTTTAAAAACTTTATAATGACCTTTTGTGTAGCCTGGCAAAAGCAAATGCAAAACATGATGAATGTGTTACACTTATAATGCCCCTTGCCCAGAAGCTTAATTCAATGTGGAGGGAATTCAGACAGTATCCGTGGCCATGTTCCTTGAGGAATCACTGAATGCCTCAAGACCTGAGGCCAATTTTTGTGATATAGCATACTTTTAGACAAAGCTAAACTGATAGAATTCCCAGGACACAGAAATGCCTTCTCAACCAAACTTACTTTTCAGATGTACTTTTCTGGGGTTGAAGCAGGTGGTTTGTCTCAAAGAGGCCTCTGTTTAAAGGAATGTTTGCTCTTTGGGAAATGCTATCACTGGCAGCCTTGAATCACATTATCAAGTTGGTTGGCTGATTGAGAGCTTGGCAAAGATCTGAGGCAATGAGTCATGCAACAAAGTGAAGTTTTGATGAGTTAAGGAAGGGAAGGACCATCCCAAATTTGGGGGGCTGTCTGGGGTGGGGAAGCTTCTGCTGCGCACAGCCCTGGGGTGGCTATTGGTGTTGGAAACCAAGCTAGTCTCCTGGTCTGGTCCTGCTGAGACAGGTGAAGTCCTTGACTTTGCAAACAGCTTGCTTTCCTTAGAAAGGACCTGGAAACATGGAGTCGGACAGTTTGTTTAACACTTTAGTCATGGTATGCACTTTTGGCCTGAGGACTGAGAGTTTGTGTCTTATTCAAATGGCGAGTTGAGGTCTCCTGCTAGATGGTAGTCTACCAGGCACAGGCTTGCAAAGGACCTAGAATTTGGTCACCTCCAAGAATGGAGACACTTCCTCCTATGAAGAAGTGATTATTCTTGTTTAAGACCTGGAGAGAAGCTAGTATATCTCAATTTTCAGCTTAGCTAGCCAAGTTCTAGCAGGAACTGTGATAATCGAATCAGCAAAGTACATTCTGGGGGTAAAATGTTTACTATACAAAGGTTAATTCACCTCTGCAAAGAGATACTTCCTCACCCTCAGAGCTTCTACAGATTTCTGTAGAAGTATTTTTGGGTTTAGTGCCCTGACCATAAAAAAGTTGGGAAAATATATTATACTCTTGGGCCCAAGAGTAACTATCAGTCACTCCTGGAAAACTCTAGGTATCACTGGTATTACGGTAGGAAATAAGAAGAGAGTAGGAATTGAATGCTTGTTGAATATTGTGGTTGGGGAGAGGAGTAAATTGAGGCTCAGAGAGCTTAATTCTTTGTTCAATCTAGAAGGAGATAGAACTAGGATTTGAACTCAGGGCTATCTGGCTATAAAACCCGCCACATTTCTACTATTCCATGCTTGATAAGAGCAAGATTCCGTAAGCTGGTAGTTGGAAGGAGTTTCTGGCATCTGCAGAGAGGGAATGCCTCTTCATTCCTTTTTGAGACTTTTAGTTAAATCCATATGCTTTACATCAGTGTCAAGTGATCTGGGAAAGGCCCTTTTTTTCTTACTTTTGCATCTGTTCAATTAGAGAGTGGAACCAGATCACCTCTCAGGACACTGCTGGCCCTGACTCAATGTTTGACCAGAGTAGAGCCAGTGGGCAATTCTGGCTGTGTATTTGAAATGGATTGTGTTTGCCTTTGTATCAGAGATAAGCCAGGTGGCCACAAATCTGTTTCCTCTTCCTAGGCACATGGCTAAATTGTATTTCCCAGCCCCCTTGCATCTGTGTGGGCCTTGTGACTAAGTTCTCACCAGTGAATGCAAGGGCAGATTGCTGGGTCATTTCAAGGCCAAGGCAGCTGAGAGCAGTTATGCTTCATCCAGTTCACTTTGCCCCTTCCACAACAACCTTGGAGACTATGTGATGTGGGTAATAGCATTCCCAAGATGGAAGAGGCTTGGTTTCCTGAGTCAGTGCTGGTGGAGAGCTGCCAAGGGAACTGCCCAACCAGAACATCTCTGCATTTGACTTTGCACGAGTGAAAAATACAACTGATTGTTGAGTCACGCTATGGATACGTGGGATTGCTTGTTATAGTAGCTAATGTTAAGCGCCCTAATACAGGCATCCAGTGTCCATTCCCTCATTCCTTTTTCTGAAAGAAACAGCATCATTTTCAGTCCATATGCTCCAGAGGATTTACAATCATCTCTCAGTATCCATGGGGGATTTGTTCCAGGACCCCCACAAATGCCAAAATCCGTGGGTGCTCAACTCCCTGATATAACCTGGTGTAGTATTTGCACATAACCTACGCACATCCTCCCATATACTTTAAATCATTTCTAGATTATTTATAATACCTAACACAATGCCTACACATCACTTCATTTGTGTGGATTCATTCTAGTACTTGTTGCGCGGCAAATTCAAGTTTTGCTTTTTGAACCTTTGTAGAATATATATATTTTTTGTACTTGTGTGAAGTTTATTGATATGTTACACTTGGTGGCAGACTCCTCCCTGAACGTTTGTTGACCCAAACAGCGTCATTTCTGGATCAGTTTTAAGTTTCTGCTTTGCGAACTTTGTGAGCATGAGTCACAGTTATCTCCCAAGCAATACTGTAACTTCCAAAGGGAGCACATTTGTCACCAGATCCTGAACTTTTTAAAGCTACCCCTTCTACTAAGAAAGCAACAGAAAGAAAAACAAGGCTTTCTGGCCTGGGGACATCTTGTCCACTTGTAGCAAGATGAGCATTCTGGGGGCTTAAGGTAAGTTTCTGGAATTTCTCATCTGCAGGAACAGCAATGGGCACTTATACTGCAGCATATCTCTTCAAAACTTCTGACTTTGAAACAACAGCATGTCCAGAAAGAGGTTTCCATTCCTTTGCTTTCTGAGCATTTGAGCCTACTAAGATAAAAGGTGGGGCACTGGTCTTACTATCTTCGATCATCTTGTAAGTTGGAGATCATCTTGTAAGTTGGTGGATGCTGCAGAAACTGTGGATCCTTAGGATTAGATAGACAGAGTTGCTTGGGGAAAAGGCCCAGGTGCAGGTGGCAGTGATGGGTGACTTTGTTGATTCTTATCAGTTAGACAATAAGGGGTCCACATGTTAGAATATCGTCGTGGTTGTCCTGCTTCACTTGCTGCCATTGCTAATATCTGAGAAGCAAACCGAGCTGTGTCAGCTGGGACATAGGCAAACTCTGGTGAAACAGCTGTTGGAGATGGTTATGAGGGTGGGGTAGTAGTCTTAGGGGTGGCTGGTTTGGAAGAAAGATCACGAACTGCTTCAGTTTGCTCAGTGCCTAGCTCAGCATAAATGGATGGAAACTGGGTGGTTTTGTCACTACATCCTGTTCCGGTTACATTGTCTTTGTAGATTTTTCCATCTGTGTAGGCACTTTAGATTCTGTTCCCTCTGACCACTTCATCCAGAGAAGTAGTCCCTTCTCTATACATAATAAGTTCTTTAAAATAAACTGCTGCAAACTGGGTCATGTTCGGTGGGTTGGTTTTGAGAACGGCTTTGCTAATTTTCCTGAGCAGAGTCTTGAGGCCATAGGGTACGGCAAGTCTGGGCTTTGAAGAAATTATTTTGGCAGGATATCTGTAACTCAGCTTCTTTCCAGCTGTGCTCTTAAGAGCTTCCTTGTTGCCCCCTTGCTGGAATATTTTTTAAACAAATATTTTAGATCTGCAGTTGATTGAATCCATCTATGCAGAACTGCGGATATGGAGGGCTGACTGTATGAGTACTATGAGCCTGGCCAATCAGAGCATTGCATGTCCCCCACCCTTAGCCACAGAGATTGGCTTAGCAATGGGCATTTGAGCCAAGCAGGGCCTTTGGGGAAGGCTCTGTTCTACTGGCTTTGAAGCTATGATGAAGAATGCAGCTGCTGGGCACCACCACATGAAGAGAGCCTGCCTAAGGGTGGCCGCAGAAGAGAACAGACAAGAGACAGAAAGTGAGATTGGAATAATCTGCTGGCATTGTGTAAGCCCCTAGGTTCAATCACACTGGAAGCCAGATCTACCCCGGATATTTCAGTCACCAGAGCAAATAAATTCTCTCTTATTTTTGATTAAGTCATTTTGGGTTGTTTTTTTTTCCTTTTGTCACTTGTTGCCAAAAGGGTATTAACTTACATAGGCAGTAAAGATGAGGAAGGTTTGAATAAAAACAAAACGAAAGTAGCTGCAGGTTCAATGGCATGCTCAGTATCATGAGCTCCTTTTGGAGTCAATTTTCTATTTTTTATAAGTCATCAATTTTTATCCACCAAATTTCAGAATGAGTGAATGAATAAAGGCCATGAAGGCCAGTGCCATGAGGAGAGTGAGCTATGCTTCAGCCAAAATACAAGAGTAGCTGGTGAAAGGTCTTTGGGGTACAACATCACCTGATCTACAGTTACATGTTATTTTCTATATAATATTTGAAAACATGATGTATTAGAACAAATTATTACAACTCTAACTTACATAATGAGTATGTATCACAGTATGGGATGTACAAATAAATGCAATACTCATAAAGTACTTGATGGATTTCTTTGACAATCAGCAGTGGTCTAGCTTGAATTCTTCCTGAATGCTGAGGCTCAATTATCATTGCAGGAATCATTGTGCTATTATAGTTAGGCTCAGTTTGGAAGCTTTAGTAATTGTTAAGAGAAGAAAAACAACCTTCATAAAACAGAAAATAGTATGTGCATTTCAATATTGAGTTTTCCTTAGTTCATACAAATTGGCATCCTTCTTTACTCAGCCAAATTCAGAATGAATGATTGAATGAATAAATGAATGAATAACAAAGTTACATAATTTACAACCAAAAACCCAATTCTAGTTGGTTGAACAATAAGAGAGTAATAGCCCCATGAAGTTGAGAAGTCCGGAAGACCAGAAGTCAGACCCAGATAGTGAGATGAGGTCCTCCATGACCCTCAGATTTTCTTCATGGAGCAGCGTCTTCATCTGCAGGCTTCACATAGTCCTGGCAGACCAGCTTATCTTTAGCAGCAACAAGATGGCTGCAGAGTTCCAGGCTGTAACATCATTGCAACACATTCTCCAGGTTTAGAGAGAGGGTCTTCTTGCACTAGTTTTTGCAGAGGATGAGAAATCTTTCCTTGCTGGAAGGATTCAGTGACGCCCCCTCATCCCCTCGTGTGTCACTGGCCAATCCCTAGAGCCAGAGGGTCGGGAGATACTGGTTGGCTAAAGCTGATCAGGGCCTACACATTGTTGGGGGTTTCAACCTCACCTAAATCACATGGTTAGGTAGGGAGGAGGGATGGTTTCCCAAAGGAAATATGGGGAGATTGTTCCCAGGAAGAGGGTGAATCAATGATGGGCAGCAGATAACAAGATGTCTTCTACAAACAGGAAGTGTATTTGCTGCAGTAACCTTGAATGTATTTCGATAGCAACTCTTTGAAGAGCCATTTGCTTCATTTTGATACATTGAATGGTCTCTAAAGGTCATAGAAAATCTGCAGTAAATGTTATTGAAAGGAAGGAAGGTAAAGAAAGAAAGACTGTTGGTAAAAGTAACACTAGTTTCACTAGCAAGTTCTCATATTTCAGTGGCTTAACACAACAGAAGTTTAATTCTGTTCTCTCACGTGCTGGTCTGTCAGGTTTTTCACACTCTGATTCTGAGACCCGGGTTTCTTCTGTCTTGTGTCTCAGCCAAAGGCTCCATAATATTTCACTTTCCAGGCCATAGATGGGGAAAAAGAGGGGAACATAACCTTTAGGAGGTTTTGGGAGGCCACACATAGAAGTGATACACATCACTTCTGCTTACCTTCTACCGGGCAGAACCCAGTCACAGCGCTACTTGTGACTTAACTGCAAGGGAAGCTGGGAAATGCAGTCCAGCTGAGTGTTCAGGAAAACAAAAACAGAAACAAAATCTGTGAGAAAGGAACACAATCAGCCAGGCGCGGTGGCTCATGCCTGTAATCTCAGCACTTGGGAGGCTGAGGAGGGCAGATCACCTGATGGAAGTTCAAGACCAGCCTGGCTAACATGGTCAAACCCTGTCTCTATTAAAAATACAAAATTAGTTGGGCGTGGTGGCATGTGCCTATAATTCCAGCTACTCAGGAGGCTGAGGCAGGAGAATCACTTGAACCTGGGAGGCTGAAGTTGCAGTGAGCAGGGATTGAGCAACTTCACAGAGTGAGACTCCACCTCAAAAAAATAAATAAATAAAATTAAATTTAAAAAAAGAAAAAGAAAGGAACACAATTAAAGAAATTCCATTCCCCTGGTGCATTTGCTGGCAAAGAAAATGTTTTTCTAAATCAAAATGTATTACTAAGACAATAGGTGAGAATAGCTGCAGATTACATTGCACAAGTGTGTTAACACTATTTAAAACTTAAAAAAAGGCCAGGTACGGTGGCTCATGCCTGTAATACCAGCACTTTGGGAAGCCAAGGCAGGTGGATCACGTGAGGCCAGGAGTTCGAGTCCAACCTGGCCAACATAGTGAAACCCCGTCTCCACCAAAAAAACAAAAATTTGCCGGGCATGGTGGCGCAAACCTGTAATCCCAGGGCTGCAGTGAGCTGAGATTACTCCACTGCATTCTGTCCTGGGTGACAGAGTAAGACTCTGTCTCAAAAACAAACAAACAAAATACTTAAAAGAAATCTGTATGGAACTGACATAGGCATACACAAATGGCAATTTCACATAGTTTGACTTAATAAAAATTTGACATAAAATCTAGGAAATGGTGAAGCTGAAAACATATTGGGAACATCTCCTGTTGAATTTCTGGGATCTTTATTTTGGAAAAACTTTCTGAGGTCTAATTTACATATGAGAAAATCCTGGCATTTTAGGTGTATAGTTTAATAGGTTTTGACAATCTTACTCAAGCTTTGATAGGGAAAATGTACAGGGAAGTAAGTCTATACTACCACTATACAAAAGGGGTTGTTGAAGGAATGCCTGGAAACGTCTCTAAAACAATTTCTCTTTCTTTGAGCTAATTAACAGTGAAAAAAGAATTTTGTCCAAGTCAGATTATTGCTTCAGTTTGCTTAACCAGGACAGATGTGACTTCAGCCTTTGAATAGAATGAATATACATAACAGGTTTCTGATAAACCACATTTGCAGTGCTCAAGAGTCTGGGCTTTGGCATCATATTGATCTGGGTTGGGTTCTTTCTTTGTCACTTGGGCATTCTGAGGTTCAGTTTTCTCTTCCGCAAAATGGGACTGATAGCATGCTAGCACTTGACAGGGTTCATATAAAGATTAAAAGAGATAGTACATGAAAACAGTACAATGACTAGCTCATAGTAAGTGTTCAATACACATTAGCTGCTGTTATTATTATCACCCATTAGAAAAATACCCATTCTTTGAGAAACTCTGGTTTTGTACAGTATATGCCACTGAAAGGCTCCTGAAGACATCATGCTCAGCTTGACTTCTTCATCTTTTTTTATTCACCATCCCATTATTTTTTTATAAGATATTTTGAATTCCCTGTGGAAGCAGGAACCATAGTAACAAGCTTTCAGCGTCATTTTGCTTTTGAGATAATCATTAATGGAGTTATTTTGATACTTTTTTTTTAAAAACAAGACAGCCTTGAGCTGTAACTACAAATGCCTTTTCAAAATCCCCTGATTTATTTTTCTGTTCATCTGAACTCTTGTATCTTTATTTTCAGATGTTCTTGATGAATGGATAATGTTGTCTTTAGATGTTCTCAACCATCCTGGGCACGTGAAAACCCACCCGATGGCTCTCATCAAGTGGAAAAGAAGAAGGGGAAATCCGAGCAAAAAGATATTACAGACTCGTCTTCCTGAGACACGTGCACCTGCTAAGGGAGTAGCATTAAGGAAATCTACAAAGTCAGCCTCTGATTATCAAGGTTCTTCCTTAAGGAGAAAAGGAAAAAAGCAAAAGCAAAATAACACATTTACTTCAAAGAACTCCTGTCTGATTGAGCGAAGGAAAAGTAGCCTCATTGCTTTGATCCTTTCACTGAGCAAAACAACATGAAAAGCGAAGACAAGGCTCAAAATATGGGCTTTTGTTGAGCGCATCATTAGGAGTGTTTATTGGCTGCTGCAAACACACATCCCAGCTCCAGAGCACGCGGTAAGGTTTGCTCAATGACAGCATGAGAGCAAGCCTCACTAGCTTCCCCAGGGAAGGCAGGGCAGTTGATTCTGAGTCTCACTCCTTTTCCAAGAGAGGGAGGAGGGACCTTAAGTTTCAAACCTCCTTGGCTCCTGGTGAGTTCAGGCTTTAGAAATGCACTTGGATTTTTATTTTAGGCCTTGGTTTGTTTACCCTTGATAAACACTGTCCGATTCTTTTCTTCCCTTTGAAGAGAAAAGCTCTTGAATAAGCTGATGAAAAAGGCTTTTTGCATATCAGCTTTTTCAAAACAATGCTGTAATAAGTGCAAACAAATCAGGATACAATGAATTATATTTCCTCTTTAAAATACAAAGTTTAATGAATTTAAGATGATGGGGAAGTGTTTTTGTGAAAGTGCTTTTCAAATCCAGAATACTGGGAGGTAGTTAGTACACTAAAAGTATGGACCGAATTTGCCTTCCTATACTTCAGGACAGTATTTATCAACTGGTGTGTGTGGCCTCAGTCCTTCAGAGGTGACCTGTCACATTTTGATGAATGCATAAAGTTAATTTGTTTTACACTGAGGACACTCCCAACATAGCACTGAGCAGACAGAATGTGATGCTGAGCGGCACTGTCACCGTCTGCTACAAGGAGGTAAAAGGCATAATTTAATAGTAAGCTGGCACCAAAGAAAGATTTCATAATTTGGGAAATGTGCAAACACTTTGCTTCATGAGCACATAAGAGAGTGTGGCCAGGTAGGAAGCAGGCCCATACAGCAGCTCTGCTGGAAACTCCACAAAGGTGGAAGCCCAGGTTTTCTCCTAGCACTTGGAGCCCATGGCCCCACATGGGGCTAGACAACAACAAATCGTTGTTCCATAAATGAATGAATGAATGAACCTGTCACATAGTGGCAAAGCGTGACCAAGGGGCTTGACTCTGGATGAAATCTGTCAAACTAGACCAGAAAACCAAAGGCTAAGAACCTTTGTTTTGAGCAGGAGAAAACCCTGTCTTTTCGACAGTCTTTTCTTATGTTGTATGTATTTTCTTGCTTTGCCTCCTGTCCTGGCCTGGAAGCTCACTGAGGGCAGAGTCCTCATCTTAACTCTTCCCTTTTTTTGAGACAGAGTCTTGCTCTGTTGCCCAGGCTGGAGTGCAGAGGTGCAATCTCGGCTCACTGCAATCTCTGCCTCCCAGGTGGAAGCGATTCTCCTGCCTCAGCCTCCCATGCAGCTGGGATTACAGACATGTGCCATCATGCCCAGCTAATTTTTGTATTTTAGTAGAGACAAGGTTTCACCATGTTGGTCAGGCTGCTCTCGAACTCTTGACCTCAGGTGATCCACCCGCCTCGGCCTCAAAAAGTGCTGGGATTACAGGCATGAGACACTGCGCCCAGCTACTTGTTTTAACTCTTTTGGTCTTTTTCTTCTTTTAGAGGGCATTGTGCATGGCATGAGATGCTAAATGATGCTGAACCCATGAAAGAATCCAGACTGTCATCTTCATCACCATCATTATCACCATCATATTCACCTTTGTCATCATTTTTATCATTTTCCTTCATCATCAACCTTCATTATCTTCATCATCTTTTTCTTCCCCTTTGTTGATTTCATTTTCCCTCGGGATAGTGTTGTGCTGATTTCTAAGTGCTTTCACGGGTATGATTCTGTGGCGGTATACACTTGTGCTCTCCGGCTGACCGGGTTAGGATTTTCCTTGTAGTCAGCATCAGCATCAGCCCCTCTTCTTGGGCACCTGCTACTGGTTCTGCTTGTTCTCCTGATTCTCCAGGCACATCTTTAGGAATAGGCGGCTTTAGGTGCAGTGAGGAAACATAAGCTAGTATTTATTATAGTAAAAGAGAAATTTGTTAAATCATTAGGCAAAAATCAATAATTCAAACAAAGAAAAAGGGACTAAAAGCAAAGTTGCATTGCTTTCAGTAATGTAAAGTACTCTGCTTTGACCCTATTTTGGCCAGTGTTCTTAGTGAAGAATGCGCCAGTTCTTAAATATCACATGACTTCCTTATTAGTCTTAACAAAATAACAAAGAACTGTGCATATGAGAATGGTTAGAGAAGCCTTTTCATCTTACTGATATCAATACAAATAAAGAGATATTTTGCTGCAACAGGTCCTGGCTTCAAAAAGAGCCATAAATGCCTGTTGTTGTTTTTTTTTTTTAATCATTTCTGACTCTTGGTTTTCAGAGCATTTGATCTCTCTTCTTTCTCTCTCTGGCATCCTCTATCACAAGCATGAAGTGGAGATTCGTGGAGCCCTCGAGCCAGTTCTTTGGTTTTCAGGTAACTCTTTTAGATAAACTTGAATGAATAAATTCATGTAACTTGACAATTTACTCATTTAAAGAGACAGAGCTACTTTGAGACTTGCCTGAAATGAACAATGTTTCCGGCCTTTTAAAAGAAAAATCATCCCAGAACCACACCCTACCACCACCACCATGTGGACTTCTGCTATTTGAATTATGATATTACTTAAATGCATATTGCAGAAAAGTGGATATAAACTTCTTATGTTTGTAGTTCTTATAAAACCGTAAAACAGAAAACTAATTTATAGGTTAAAGTCAAACAATAAAACAAATGCAATTAAAGTTAACTGCATTAACTTTAGAAAGACATGGTTTGTGAAAGATATTGTTTTTTGGAAGTAAATCACTGCTTGAAACAAGATGCTGGCCATCTTGGCTTTTTGTGAACTCCTTTGGTACAAATGCAGTATGTCAGAGTTATGGCCAACTCAGTTCTTCACTCACTAGCCTTTGACAAAGTGGTACCATTGGCACCAACATAAAGTAAACACAAATGCAAACTTGGGCTTTGCCTTGTGTAGGTTGGCCATCCAGGTGGTACAGAATATGCTTACATCAATTTAGTTTATCATCAACATGAAAACGTCAAATTAAAAATTCTCCTTAGAGAGCTCACAGGTACCTGTAAACTCATCCCAGTAACATAGTAAATATGGATTTAGAGTTAAACGATTGAACTGAAGCTTATAATGAAAATGTTTTGATTATAACACAGTGACCTTTACATGTTGTAAGGATGATTTTGTACTTTTTTCTAAGGAGTCCATTTAACTTAGTTATAATTTACCAAATGGAATGGATGTTTCAACAGGAATATAAAAGGCTTTGAAGGAATTCAAAATCTCTTTTCCCTTTTTTTTTTTCTATACAATCAGTATGGCCTTAGTTACACTGCAGTAACAAATAACCCTCGAATCCTAGTGTCTTAACCTAATAAAAGTATATTTCTCCACTGTTGGTTGGGACAGGGCCTCTGCTCCTGTGGTCACCTGAGGACTGACTCAAGCTGATGGAAGCCTTGACATGTGCTCCCACCATCTCCCTGGCAAGTGAAGAAGGTGTGATGACTCATGGCTTGGCTCTCTAAAGTTCAACCTTCTATACACAAACCATCGGTCACAGACAGTTATCAGTTATATGGCCACCCTAATTTCAAAAGAGAGAAGTACAATCCCACCATGTGCTCACAGAGGGGAGAACTGTAAGTATTTGTGAAGAGCCCAAGTGCCCACCAGCCCTTCCTTAATCCTCCCTCACTTGGTACAATAGCGGGACTCTCAGGGAAAGGTACTGCCTCCGATGTCTCTGTTGGGTTGTCTGCCTGCCTTACCTCTTTAAAAATACTCCTGCCATCTTAGAGAGCAAATGGGTAATACAAAATAAGAAGTTATATTTATTCCTTTTAGAAAACAAAAGGAAGAAGTATGTAGTTGAGCAAAGGTTGAATAAAAATCACAAATTTTGTGTTTAGAGGTAATTAATAAAAATAATATTATCTTCCTTCCTGGAGTAAAACTCATCTGAAACGGCTCTGATAGCAAAAAGGTTAGCTTTGGAATTTGAATCCCATGGTGGATATTGGTTAGCAAACAGGGCCTCCAAACCTTTTAGGGGTATTTGGTAATTATTACTCTTTTGGTGACTGTAGTTATTGAGGAAAAAAACCTATGAGTATCTTGTATTTTCACTTCTATATTTTAAGTGGCAGTGGGATCAAGGATAATTGTGCATGTAGTTTGTATTTAAATAAGGCACGTGAGTGGAAATATCACTGAATTTGCCTCTCAGAAATCAGTCCTCAATCGCGATGTTGAAATGTGCATTAAAAGTACCTCATGCTATGATAATTAAATGTTATGTTTTCCAGAGATGCTAAATGACAACTCCTGAGGGTCTCAATATTTGCAAGTACCTCTATTTTATATGACAAAACTTTAAAAAATGAGCCATAGTAACTTTTATAAATTGAGGATTTAAAATGAAAATTAGACATACTCATTCTCTCAAGATATTTTATTCTACTACATGACCAATCATAAATCTTTAAGTCTCTGGATACAGTACATAAAAACTGGAAATGTTTTTCTTTCACCAATAGATTGCACCAAATATGCTACTTTTTTGCTTTCATTTGGCCATTATGTTTTTAAAAAGTCAAAGTGACTTCCTTTGTGATAGGTAGTATAAATTTAGATAGAAAACAATTATTGTCTTTGATATCTATTAAAAAAGTAAAGCATGTTCACTGTAGGAAAATCAGGAAGTACTGAAGAATATAAAGAACCAAACCAAATAAAGCAGAGGTTAAAAAATAATAACTAGTAATAATCTTACTACCTAAGAGCAATCACTTAACTTAGTGTTTTTCTTACCAGTCTTTTTAAAAATGTGTGTGTGTGTATGTGTGTGTGTGTGTGTGTGTGTGTGTGTGTGTGTGTACAGTTGGGATCATATGCAGGGAATTTCATTTTCTACATTTTTCATTTAACATTTTTTGGGTGGTGGTGGTGATGAGGAATGTACCAGGCCCTGTTTTATAACCTTTTTCTTAGAATTATGCAACTTCCTCCCAAATTTCAGAAGACTGTTCTTCTTGGAATAAAAGCAACAACAACCCTTACCCACAAGGACGTGCCCTATGGGATGCTATTGGAAGCAAGTATCATAAATCCTGACTCAAATTAAACAATAAGGAAATTTATTGTTCCACGTTATTAGGCATCCAGAGGTAATTCAGGCTTCAGCGGTTGCTTGATATAGTGGCACAATATCTTCAAGGACCAAGGTCCTTCCCATATTGCCTCTCCGCTGTCCACCCGATTGGCTTTGTCCCTGGGTTGATGGCAGCAATTAGGTCAATGGGCTTCCTTATGGATGCCTAGAGGGAAACAGAAAAGTACAGCATGAAAGTCCTCCTGTCACTTGGGGGTCCCATTGGTCCAGTTTAGGTTACATTCCTGCCTGGGCACCATTAGCAGTTGTCTTGTGCAGTGCTTAAACCTGGGATCCAGAAGGACTGGCCTCAATCTATTGGAACCCTCCCTGGAGCTGAGGATGGTGCCATCTTTTCCTGCATCACAAAGCTGTATGGGGAAGGGCTGACTACCTCCACAAAGTTGGAATTCTTTTGGTGGGAATGGATGTGATGCTGAATGGGTATCCAACATCATCCAGCAAAAGGGCCCCTTACAATGTCTCTCCTGCCTACCCTCTCCACTTCTCCAGTCTCACCTTGCACTGTGGTCCCCCACCTCTTTGGCTCCAGCTTCTACAGGTTATGTTCTCAACCTCAGGCCCTCTTGTCCATGCTGCTCCCTCTTCCTGGGATGCTCTTGCCTCCTCTCCTCTCATTTCCTAGTTAATTCCTACCCATCCTTCAAATGTTAGCTGAGCTCCCCTGTCCCCTGATGAGGTCAAATCTCTTATTCCTCTTCCTTTCTGGCACTTGGTAGTGTTCAGTCCTTACTTAATTGCGTCTTTCTTGACTAAGGTTTCTTTGTTTTCCGCTAATTCTAGCCTCCCTTAGGGTGGAAATTACCTCACCATTTTATTTCCTGTGCCTAACACAGTGCCTGAAATATGTAAGGTGCACAACACATAACTTGTGAATAAAATATGACTGAAATTAATTTTAAGCAGAAGTTAGCCGCCAGCATAAAAAGATGAAATTTAATGTTCAAAATCTAAATTTAGTATTTACCCTTGTTTATTTCGAGTATTATCCTATAGGGGAACAGGGATGGCATTTCAAAGCTGACTCTATTAGGGAGGCCCTGAGAATGTGGAGACCAGGGGAGACGAGTATGTGGTAATTGTAAGTTTGCCATACCATGTGGTTAGGTGGTAACTTACCACCCTATTGTGCCAGATCTCATGGGATTGATTGCTTGTTTATAGGGGCAAATAATAGCCTGGTGCCCCCCTCCTTTTCTTATTTTGTCACCTTAAGAAGGTGAATCCCCTTTTTCTCAGTGAGAAAGGGATAATTTTGGATGCGAATTATGAGAGAAATGAGAATATAGTCAAGGTGTGAAGTTTCTCCTGGGTAATATTTTTGTTTCATTTAATGAGAAAATATAGACATTCTGTTAAGAAATCAAATAGTTTATATATTTTAAACCTTCCACATTTTGAAGATTTATTGAAGAATATTGTTAAAATGCTAATAACTCATGAGGCTTTGCAGAATTGATATTAAACTTCTACCTATAAAGATATTAATACAGGCCAGGCACAGTGGCTCACGCCTGTAATCCCAGCACTTTGGGAGGCCGAGGTAGGCAGATCACTTAAGGTAAGGAGTTCGAGACCAGCCTGGCCAACATGGTGAAACCTCATCTCTACTAAAAATGCAAAAATTAGCCAGATGTGGTGGCACGTGCCTGTAATCCCAGATACTTGGGAGACTGAGGCAGGAGAATCACTTGAACCCGGGAGGCAGAGGTTGCAGTGAGCTGATTGTGCCACTGCACTCCAGCCTGTGTGATAAGACTCCGTCTCAAAAAAAAAAAAAAAAAAAGATACTAATACAAATGGTCATGGAGGGGGAATATAGAGAAGATCAATTTTGTACAGAAAAACCATTGGTTAGTATTTTTTTTTCTTTTGGATTTCTTTTTATTATTATTATTATACTTTAAGTTCTAGGGTACATGTGCACAATGTGCAGGTTTGTTACGTATGTATACATGTGCCATGTTGGTGTGCTGCACCCGTTAACTCGTCATTTACAATAGGTATACATTTTCCTATACCCTTAAGTCTAAGGATGTAGAAAACAGTCTTTGTTTATATTATGTTAATGTCTGCCTACTATCTCATTGTCTGAGCATGCTCTGTCTAACCTGAAATTGACATTTCATTCTCCCCACCTCTTGCTACTATGAATAATGCTTAGGTGACCATCTCACACATAAATTTCAGCATAAATCCTCATTCCAGGTTATGTCCTCTGGACAGATTTCCAGAAATAGAATTACTGGGATGTCCACTTTTAACGTCCAGCCTCAAAAGCCTTCTGTGCATTCAGTATTTGAAAAATGTGTTGGCTTATCGCGATTCTGAAATTGGAGAAGACTAGGCAGAGGAGATGAGGTGTTCAGCTCAGGGCACTGCACTGGCTCACCCACGATAAGGGGCACTCTGCAGGTGTGCCAGGGATGTGGGCATTGTGATCTGCCCAGACATGCAGATTGTCAGAGAGATGGCTGCATTCGTGGGCAAGTTTCTTGCTTAGACCCCAGAGTGTGAGAACTCTGAGGGGAACCCAGGTGAAGTCCATGTCAGCAGCTCACCTTTAAATATTAGACTTGGAATGTGATCAATCAGCAAGCCACAAGGGAGCAAGTATAACTAAAACATGTGCCTTGCAAAGAGGGCAAAGCTGCAATTTGCCAAGTGCACTATAATTGCTTCTGGTTAATTATCTCAGTGGTGAGCTGGGAGCACCAAAGGCAAACACTTACATCCACATTGTGGATAAAAATACTGCCACTTCTTGGATGATCCTAATTTCGGCTGTCAAGATGTGGACAATGCGCATCCAGTTCCTTTGGATAGTAAGAGATGGATAATGATTTCAGATAGCTCCAGTTTTTGGATCATCAATTTTTATCATCATTATAATTACTTATAATAATAAAGTAATATAATTATTCATAATAACCACTAATAATTACAATAATACTTACTGAATGCAGTCATTGGGCTAAGCACCTCCCATGCATTAGCTCACTGGATGCCCACAATGACCCTAAGAGGCAGTATTACTTTCATGATTTTCTTTTTGTTTTTTTGTGGTTTTTTCTGAGACGGAGTCTCACTCTGTCACCCAGGTTGGAGTGCAATGGCGCGATCTTGGCTCATTGTAACCTCCACCTCCTGGGTTCGAGCAATTCTCCTGCCTCAGCCTCCCGAGTGGCTGGGATTACAGGAGTCTGTGCCACCATGCCCGGCTAATTTTTGTATTTTTAGTAGAGATGGGGTTTCACCATGTTGGCCAGGCTGGTCTTGAACTCCTGACCTCAAGTGATCCGCCCACTTCAGCCTCCCAAAGTACTGGGATTACAGCCGTGAACCACTGTGCCCGGCTGTACTTTCATGATTTTCAGATTTGGGAACTGAAGCTTAGAGAGATTAAGTGACTTGTCCAAGGTCACACAGCTGATATGGATTCCCAGTTGTTATGTTAGGATCCAGAGATTTCTCTTAGCCACTGTAGCAGACACTGCTGGTGCCCCACCTAGATAGCAGATCTAGGAAGGACCCCTTTTACCATTCAGTGTGCCCATCCCCCAACTGCTAGAGGTGTTGCTGTTAATAGCTCACACCTGAAACCTTTTCTGTTGCCCTTCAGAGATTAGAGCAACTTTACCTGGAAGTGCCTAGGGGTAACAGTCAACCTCTATCCTGGAGCAGCACAAAGCTAATAAACAGATGGTGCAGAAGCAAAAAAGCCCAGCTCCCTTGTTTAAGGTGGCTCAAGTTCTGTGATACAGTGTGGTTCTAGAGCTCCCTGCAGGATCACACTGTGGCCACATGTCACCTAAACTACATCCTTGCCTAATTTCTTTTTCCCTAGCCTACTTTCCCCCCCCATGCCATTTCCCCTGAGATCACTCCCTTAGTAAGTGACAAATCCCCTCTCCTGCTCTACTTCTAGGGAGCCTGACCGAAGATAAACACTATGCCAAGTTAATTTCTGGTATGTTGTCTGATTTGCTGAAGGAATCCTTCCCATTGAAGCAGTGTTGCCTTGCCTTGTCTCTATGACTCTGGATACACTTTAGAGCCTTATGTGCCTTCTCTGCAAGATGAAAGAGCTAGATTGGATGGTCCTTAGGCTTCTAGTCCTGGAAGCTGCTGAAGTTTCCACTCTCTAAAATCCATAGTTTTGTGGCTGTGCCAAAAAAGGGACATTTGTCTTGGTAATGTGCCTCTGGTAGGAAGGCCCCCAGAGAGTGTGAACTTACTTTTCTCCTCTCTCTCCATCCCTACTACAGGGGATTCCTGAAGGGACTGGAGTCCACTGGAGCTTGTGAGTGTGAGTGTATGTGACTCAATGGGCTGGAATAGTCCATTAATTCTGAAATGTCTTTAGGAGAAAATGGCATTCCTGAGGTTAGGCAGTGAGGGCAGCATCCTCCAGCGCAGGAAAGTTACTGTTTGGGATGGGGTAGGGGTAGGCATTCCATGTCTAGAACAGGTCGGATGAGTGGAGCTAATGGATCTTCGGATTTATTAAGGGGGAGATCACTGGTGACTTTGACAAGAGTGGATTCAATGGAATTCACTCTGACTGGAATGCGTTAAATAGAGAATAATGGCAGTGAGGTCTCACAGTTGGCAGCAGTCCTGGAGACTTTCTGACCGTGGTGACTCTCTGATCATGGTAGTGGTTGCATGGCTTTGAGGTCAACAGTTATAATGCAAGTTTCCAGATCAGGCAGTGCTTCCTTGTCATAGGAGAAGCAGCAGTCTTTGGTGGTCCATTTCTGCCATTCTAGAAAACTTAAGGTAGAGTCATTTTCTTCAAGTCTCTGATAATTCTGGAAGCTACCTATCTATTACTCTGAAATAAGCCCCTTCTGCTTAAAGTTGTTAGAGTATATTCTATATTTTACAACTGAACTCTTACGGGCCTACTTTAGATAGTAGAATTGAAGATGCTCTATAAACACAAAACAGTACCCTCAGCATAAGCCTCTGGTTGACTAGGCCAGGCGTGGTGGCTCACGCCTGTAATCCCAGCACTTTGGGAGGCCAAGGCAGGCGGATCACAAGGTCAAGAGACTGAGACCATCCTGGCCAACATGGTGAAACCCTGTCTCTACTAAAAATACAAAAATTAGCTGGGCATGGTGGCACGTGCCTGTAGTCCCAGCTACTTGGGAGGTTGAGGTAGCAGAATCACTTGAACCCAGGAGATGGAGGTTGCAGTGAGCCAAGATCGCACCACTGCACTCCAGCCTGGCGACAGAGAGAGACTCCATCTCAAAAAAAAAAAAAAGAATATTCCAAGAGCAGCTCTTCTTAAGTACCCACTGTGTGTGTACCAGGCATTGTCTCAAGTCCTCAAATAGAGAGTAGCCATGATTGTCCCCACTGCATAGACAAGGAAATTACAGCACAGAGAAGCTGTTTCTTTTTTTTAAGGTCACACACCTGGAAAGCAGCAGAACCAGGTCTTGAACCAGGTCTGTCAGATGGCCAGTCCACCATGCTGCCTCATTGGGTAGGGACTGCTCTATCCAGGACACAAGATCTGAACAAGTTCCTAATTACAGAAAAGTGTTTGTGTGTGTGTGTGTGTGTGTGTGTGTGTGTGTGTGCGCTAAGAAATATCTCTGGGGATAGTTCTCCCTCTTAAAACTTTAGTAAAATTGGAGTAACTTTAGTATATGGAAGATTAGACATGCTTCTGTTTTGACCATCGTATCAAATCACAAAGATTCCTAAATGGTAAGGATTTGAAGGCAAGAGGAGAAGGGCTGTTGGAATCCTGAACTCCCAGTGATACAGATAAAAACAGAGGGTCATTTTAGCAAAAGAGAGAAGGGCTTGGGAGGTGCCATCAAAGAGGTTGAGCTTGGATATACCGAGGGGTGATGTAATGCATCCTCAGATGAGGATTTAAGTCAGAAGCAGAAAAAGAACAAAGGAATTGTGGCTAAGCAAAGAAGTGAGAGATGGAAGGGCAGAAGAGCCTCATCCCTAGGAAGGTACACTATACAAGAGGCCACTGTCCTAGCACAGAAGCAAGAAGAGTCCAGCAGATCTCAGGACCTGCTGTGGCATTAGTGGGAGAGGAGGAGAGAAGCCAACGAAGAAGCTGTAAGGAAAGGTAAGCAAAATAACGAAACAGAGACAGACACCAAGAAGAAAGGCGTGTGAGATGTGGCTGAGCTTTAATTGGCTCCCCTCAGCCTTTTTTCTGTCAGACAAACATGTGATTCTGACCCATCTGTTTTGGTGCCACAGCCTTTTGCTCTCCAACTATCCCTGGATCTGATTGTTATCAGCCTAATCCTAACATAGCCTCGAGGCCCGGTGCGGTCCTTGCAGGCAGAACTTCCACGTTGCTCAGCTCTGGCCCTTGGGTTTCATTAGCCGCTAATAGCACAGGGACTTGGGCTAGGGATTATTGAGGCTGGACTAGCCTTGCAACCTTGAAAGAGTTACCCAACCTCTCTGAACCTCAGTTTTGCCACTAGTAAAATGAGAATGATGACAGTACATGTTAAATAGCTTAAATGAGGTAATATGCAAGAAAGGCCTAGAAAAGGGGTTGGCACACTGAAAGTTCTCAATTCAGTAAATGCTAACTCTTACTATCATTCTTTGGCACCTTATACTTTCTCTGTTGTACTCTTACCTGGTGAGAGGGAAAATATTAAGACTTGAAGAACCTGGATTCCTCTTTGGCTCCACCGCTTACTTGATGTGTGATTTGGGAAAATCCCTAGACCTCTCTAGGCCTCAGTTTTCTCATCTCTACAATGGTTGAACAGACGAAATGGTTGAAATTAATGAGGTCTGTCCATGACAGGATTGTGTAATTTATATTCCAGCAGGGATATTCCTGGAAGGTGAGAGTTTACCATTTCCTTCCATTCAGGTTGAAGCAGTCTTCAGGTTGGGCTTTGCAGTGACCTAGTTTAGTTTCATAAATCATTCACTGAGGGCCTGTTTGTCCCAGGCGTGGGGTCAGAAGCTGAGGGTGAGTGTGCCTGGGAGAGGACAAGCCAAACCCCTTTGAGCGACGACTCATGTCTAGTGAGAAAATAGGAAGAAATACAAAGCCAATTACAACCTACTGGGGTGCATGCACAAGTTAGAGGTCAGAAGATGGACTGATTTGCTGGCTGTGGGGGTGGGAGAAGCCTTCATGGAGGAAATGAGGGGTGCTCTCTTCCATGTTCATAAAATTAATATATGTTCAGTGGAAGAAATATGCAAAATGTAGAAAAGTGCATAGAAAAAAATCCCACTTTGGTGCATGTATGTTCTTCTCGTCCTATGCCTGGTATGTGTGAGTACATGTCCAATATCGAAATCTTGGTTTGCATAGCATGTTGTCACTTGTTTTTCAACTTTAGCAAAGTACCCTGAAAGAGAATAGGAGTCTGTGGAGGCAAGCAGGGAAAGGAGAGACGGAGAGGGCAACATTCCAAGCAGCAGTGACAGCATGAGAAGTAGCAGCTTCAGCTTTCTACTTGAAAGATGGTACATTTCTTTCCTAAACACAGCAGCATAGTGACTGGAAACAGTCACTACTATTCATATAATGAATATGGAGACGAAACAGCATATTCACTTCCATGCATCTTGAGCTTCAAGGTGTAGTCTGTCTAGCAGCAACTGGCTTGCAATTTACTCAGCAATAAAGAAGGACTTAGTTCTGAAAGCAGACAAACCAGAATCCTTCAGTGGCCCCATAGCTCTTCCCAAGGGAGATGAAATGAAGGAGCCTCACTGCAGAAAGGATTTGTGATGCTCCAAGGGCCTGCCATGCGCACAGCACGTTCTGAGGAAAGGGGCCCCAAGAGGCTCTCTCTGCTTCCAATTGTTAGCACTCAGGCTGTGTGTGTACTTGGGGACCCCCCCACTGTGATTCCAGGCATGATCTATTGGACCAGTGACTGGGGCCTGATCTGTGAGCATCTGATGCAGGCTGCTCCTGCGGGAGGCCAGCTCATCCCTGAGGTGTCTTGGTGCACAGCTTTCCAACAGGGGTGACCTTTGATGTCAGAGGTTCAGAGCTGGGCTATGAGAGCTCAGGTTGTCCGCACAACCATGCCAGGCTGATTGCTGCAATCCTACACCAGGCCTGATGGCGCTAGAAACCCCAACAAGCCTGTAGCTGATGAGGTAGTGTCTGGGGCACCCTCACTTCCTAGCACATCATTATGCTCAACTCCCATCACCAGGATAATCCATGTCTGACTCTTTTAAAAATTGTAACAACTCAAATACAATAGCCTTTCCTGACCAGTTAGTGATGAGCCAGACTGGCTCACACTGGCTCACAGGTATTAATTGTGAGATTCTGGAGAATTCTGTGAGGTGGTTGTTAAGAACAGCCATTACTACACATTAAATTATATATATATATGCCTGCAATTAAGTAAATTATATTAAAAACAAAGGTAGTGAATACTTGAGAGCTTGTTTGGAGGTTCTAGCAGCTTCGGGAAGGACATTGAGTGGTGAGGGAAGAAAGGGACACCCGCCTTGCAAGCAAGGTCAGCTGAATCAACCCTGGTGATCAATGAGGTGACACATGTCACAGCCAGATCACCTTCACATCCAAAGGGAGTAAATACTTGAAACTCATCTCCTCCTAGTTATTTTTTACATTTTACTCTTCTCTATGCTTTGGGGATTATTTACATCTATTTTGTGTATATAATGCTGTGCTAGAAGCTTTAGTGACTTCATGTAGATAGCTCTGAATCAGGCATGGTAGGAGTATTTACATCTCAGAAATCGGCGAATGTTACAAACCACGGCCTTCCCTTCCCTCTGAAAGCTGGTGATTACACATTTACCAGCACAACCCTGCCCTTAGGCACTGGGGGAAGCCGAGCTTCCTGAATGTGCGTTTTGGAGAACAGCATGCCTTGCTCAATTCCACCAGCAAGTCAGCACGGCTAAAGGCTGGAAACTGTTCTGTATTTGTCACCCATTTATTAATATAATTTCCTCACAGCAAAGGTTTCCCAGGCTGTTCCTTAAGGAGGCAGATACTCTTGATCCACCACCCACAGGCCTATTATCATCACTGGATTCTCATTTGACTCTACAATGTAATGAATACAGAACAGCCAGGATACTCCTTCCTCCCTCTCTTCTCACTTGCCTGTGGCACTGTCTAGGCAGAGCCTAGAGAAGTCTTCAGTGCCCGGGCCACTTGCTGCTAAGTGCAGGTGGCACATGGACCAAACTGGGCTTTGTGGGGAAGCAATTCCATGCTTCTTTTCACCTCACTGAGAAGACAGTGCCCAGGTCCCTTCTCTGCGCCACCAACTGTGAAGTGGAGGGGTGGCAGGATTCCACCTCCTGGCCCCCTCTGCCCAGAGGGAGGGGATGGAATTATACCCCATGTCATGGGGGATGTTAAGGAGCTGGCCTATTCCAATCTCCCAGATGCATATCTGTACTGCAGAGTGGGTAGAGAGAGCAAAGTGCCCAGCAGCCTTAAAATAAGATGCCGGTTGTCATTGCAGACCCTTGTATCTCACGAGGAATGAACAAGGGGAGCCTCAGAATGCTGCTGCTGGTCCATGGCCCTGAGCTGGGTCGGGGAAAGAGGCAGACATGGCTTGGACTAAAGAGCTGGGAATGACATGAGATACACAGGGATCTTCCTGATGCAGTGGGAAACAATTTGCTTTTATTTCTGAAATAAACCCTCAAGTGACCTTGAGGCTTGAGAGTGCCTTTTGGAAACGATCTGTGATACAAAAGTCCTGGCCCAAATGGGAGGGGCTCCAGTGTGCAGGTGACATCAAGGGCATAGGCTTTGGGGCCTGACAGTGGAGCTGGCATCCCAGCTCTGTCTTTAATGTCTCACTCTGCCTAAATTCCATCATCTTAAACAGGGGCTAATAACGATAACACTTGTCACATAGAGTCCCTTTGAGAATTACATGAAGAATGTAAAAAGTTTAGCACAGGGCCTGGCATCTAGCAAACACTCAATAAATCCTGGAGCTCCAGGACAGGAATGGGAGAGAGACATTTCTCTCTAAGCTTTGTTATACTGCTTGAAATTTTATTTTATTTATTTTATTATTATTATTATTCTTTGCAGACAGGATCTCACTCTATAGCTCAGGATGGAATGCAATGGCACATTCATAGCTCACTGCAGGCTTGACCTCCCTGGCACAAGTGATCCTCCCACCTCAGCCTCCTGAGTAGCTGAGACTACAGGCATGCACCACCATATCCAGATAATTTTTTAAAATTTTTTCTTAGGGACAGGTCTCTCTATGTTGCCAGGGCTGCTCTCGGACTCCTGGGCTCAAGTGATCTTCCCAGCTTGGCCTCTCAAAGTGCTGGGATTACAGGCATGAGCCACCACACCCAGCTTGAAATTTTTAGATAAAGTGTCTGTATCACCTGTTTTAAAAATTTTAATTTAAAAAGTCAGTACCTTTTTAAATGACAAATAATAATTATACCTATTCATGGGGTACACAGTGATGTTTTCGTACATATAATGTATGGTGATCAGATCAGGGTCATTAGCATTCATCATCTCAAACATGCATCATCATGCATCATCTCAAACATTCATCATCTCAAACATGCATCTTCCTTTGTGTTGGGAACATTCAATATCCTCCTTCTAGCTGTTTGAAACTATTAGTATATAATATTGTTAACCAGTCATCCTATAGTGTATAGAGCACTAGAATTTACCCTTCTATCTAGCTGTCATTTTGTATCCTTTAACAAATCTCTCCCCAAGTCTCCTCTCTTCCCAGCCTCTAGTACCCTTGGCTCTACTTTTTACTTCTTTTTTTTTGCGACCTCTGCCTCCTGGGTCAAGCAATTGTCCTGCCTCAGTCTCCTGAGTAGCTGGGATTACAGGCACCCACCACCTTGCCCACCTAATTTTTTTTTTTTTTTTTGTATTTTTAGTAGAGACAGGGTTTCGCTATGTTGGCCAGGCTGGTCTCAAACTCGCCTCAGTCTCCCAAAGTGCTGGGATTACAGGCATAAGCCATCATGTCCGAGCTTCTACTTTTTACTTCTATGAGATCAAGTTTTTTGCTTTCTTATATGAGTGAGAACATGCAATGTTTAACTTTCTACCTATTTTTTTAAAGGTGAGAAAAGTAACAGTGTTCACAGACAGTTTTAATGGATTGGGAAAAGGACAAGAAAAGTCCACAAATCTTCCTTCTAAGTGTCATGTCTTCTTTTATAAAATGGGGTAATAATGGCACCAACATCCTGAGGTGTTTGTGAGGATAAGGGCTCAGCCCCGTGTCAGGCATATGGTCATTGCTCTGAAGTGCCCCTCAATGGTGACAAGCTCACAATCTTGAGGCCCTGCATACAGCCTGCTATTCTAGCCTTAGGTTTGCATTTCTCAAACCCAGTACTAAGGGGGATTTCTACAGAAGGAGACCACTCCTCAGCAGGGGAACCCCTGCAAGTGGTCCTGGTAGGAACCTCTGGGCTTGGTGCTGAATCTGAGCCCTTTGGCGGGATGGCCAATGCCTCCAGTGCTCCCAGTTCCTGGAAGGTGGTCAGCAGGCAGGTTCTAGAGCTGAAGCTGGTCCTGACTCTGGTTACCTGCAGTCAAACATGCAGGACTACAGGAGGACAAAAAGGGAGCTGTAGGAGTTCTGTGCAGCAGGAAAGTTTGAAGCAGAGATAAAGTGTGAGAGGGCAGGCTTAGACAGGTAAAAGGCTTTCCATTGCAAGTTACAGCAAACCCTTCTGAACCTGCCTGAAGCATAAATGGGCTGTTACTGCCTTACTTATGTTATTAAGAACAAATAGTTCCTCTTCAAAGGGTTTCAGTTCCTGGTTCTTTGTTCTATTCTAAAAGGAAATCATACCCATTCATCTATCAGCCCTCCCTCTCTCTGCTGTGCTCAGACGCCCCAAGATGTACCTTACCTATCCTTCCCATCAAACATCCACCCTCGCCTCCTTTGATGATGTCAACAGTAGCTAATCGGAATTAGCCTAGATTGTGTGGTCCGACCCCAACACTCAGGGTGAGGGCACAGGAACAGGGTCTGCTTCAGGGATAAAAAACTCCTGCTCTCCTTTGTTTTGCGCGGTCTCCCTTGCCTCTGTCTTGCATACAGGAAGCGCCTTTCTGTAGAAGTAAATTGCCTTGCTGAAAGAACTTTTGCCTGAGTGCTGGGTTCACTTTGCGGCACTGAAAATTGGTTTCTAACAATCTGGGGGCTCGTCCAGGAGTCCCATTCTCCTCCGGGGAAGGGGTCTCTGGTCATCTCCCAGGGGGAGATGCATCCCACTGCGTCACTGTGGTGGCCTCAGGGGCTAGAGATCGAGACCCCACCGACTATGACAAATAAACCCAGACTCTCAGCAATGTTGGAAGGAAAGGCTTGCCTACAAACACAATGGCGACCAGGTAACTTTGTGCACAGACCAAAGTAAGAAAAGCCATGGGGGCAGCGAAGTATTTCCTTGGTGGTCAGGATATCTTGGATGTTGAAAGTGTGTGTGAATAATCACAAGCACTACTGCTTGCGGTGCTGCTTGTGTGAATAGTGATAAGCACTACTGCTGTGTGGAGTGAGTGGGTCCTTTATGTGGTTCTGTGGTCAACTCATATGTCTTAGAACGGATCCTGCCATGGGGCTTATACTGGCATGCCAATGCTAAAAGGGACCTAATTTCCCATGAGGGAAGCAGCCAGATAGGACAAAGCAAATGGAAAGGAGTGCAAGAAAACTCCAGTAAGGGGGTTTGAGCCTCTAGATAAAAGGGAAGGCTTTAATAAGAGAGGTTAGGCCACACACACACACACTCAAGGGAGCATCCAAAACCTCCAAGATGGGAAACACTCCTAGTACAACAGGGAAAGGTAAGGATAGGGATAGTCAGATCCCCTCCGATAGTCCTTTAGGTCTCATGCTAAAATTATTAGAAGGAAAATGAGACGACCAGACACCAAAAAAAGCAACAGATGATAGAATATAGTTTTATTTGGGCCAAGAAACCCATCCTCAAACCTGATGTCTTCTGGCCAAAATATGGATGAGATGAGGATTGGGTCTGTCATCTTTTAATTCAGCATGTGAATGACAAAAGTCTGGTCTCACAGAAAGAAATAGACTATGCTCTCTGCTGGAGAAAAAAGACCTGTTATCTTCTTTCCCCTAAAAAATGCAGGGGAAGGATCAGATTTCACACTTACCACCACCCCATGGGTCAGCCTAAGTATCCTTCCCTAAAAGGACTCAAAATCTTCCTTCCCCCTCTACCTCTAAGGAATCAGCCCCAACTCTCTTTCCTTTGAGAGAGGTGCCCCAGGAAGGAAGAGAATGTCCCTCCTGGGTATCCTTTTCTCAGGGGAAGAAAGGGGGATGAATCATAGGGCTGCTATGACAATTTGGGAACGTGAACATCCTTCTGGCCAAAACATTCCGGCAGCAGGCCAGAAATTCCCAGTCCAAGATCCTCAATGGGATAATAACAATGCAGTCCACCGGAAAAACATGATATGAAACCATTCTATTAAAAAAAAAGATGTTGCTGGGCGCAGTGGCTCACGCCTGTAATCCTAGCACTTTGGGAGGCCAAGGCAGGCAGATCACGAGGTCGGGAGATCGAGACCATCCTGGCTAACACGGTGAAACCCCGTCTCTACTAAAAAAAAAAAAAAAAAAAAAAAAAATTAGTCAGGTGTGGTGGCGGGCACCTGTAGTCCCAGCTACTTGGGAGACTGAGGCAGGAGAATGGCGTGAACCTGGGAGGCGGAGGTTGCAGTGAGCCGAGATCGCGCCACTGCACTCCAGCCTGGGCGACAAAGCGAGACTCCGTCTCAAAAACAAACAAACAAACAAAAAAAGATGCACCACTGACAATGCCCTTAACCCTACTGCTTTCCTAACTAGGAATCTAAACCCCAAAGATAAAGATCTTAGGGAAATGATAATTAAAGGAATTCGGGAGTCAGTGCCCCACACTCAGAATCTTTCCCGAGCATTTGACGTACAACAGGAAAAAGATGAAGGCCCCATGAAATTTCTAAAAAGACCAAGGGAACAAACAAAAAAATATGCAGATTTAGATCCAGAAGACTCTCTCGGGCAAGAAATGTTAAAGCTACATGTTGTCACAAACAGCTGGTCAGACATAACAAAGCAGTTGCAAAAACTAGAAAACTGGAAAAACCTGTCCATAGAGAAACTCCTAGGAGAAGCCCAAAAATTCTATGTGAGGAGAGATGAAAAAAAGCAAAAACAAAAAACGAAACTTATGCTATCCACCTTCCACCAGATGACTTCCAGCCCATAGGCTTCTACACAGAGGCTTCAGGGGGCCAGGAATTATAAAGGGTCCAAACCCCTGCTTAGAGGAGCCAAGCCTCCGACCTGGGGACCCAGACCCTCAGGTACCAGGCCCTCTAGAGAGTACAGGGGAGCAGGGTCAAATAATCCTAGAACTGAGGGAGAGAAAGCACAGGATAGGTGCTTCAAATGTGAAAGAGCAGGCCACTTCAAAAGAAAATGCCCTGAGTGGGGGAAGAAAAAAGAAACTGTTCTACCTTTGAAAGCCGAGGAAATAACCTTGCTGATAAAATCGCAAAGCAAGCTGCCATCTCTCAAAAAGCATCTATTTTCCACCTGACTCCCTGTCTCTCTCTCCCAGTTACAATCCCTATCTTCTCTCCTGCTGAAAAAGAAAAGTTAGAGAAACTTAGGGGCTAAGGAAAACTCAGAAGGGAAGTGGGTGTTACCAGACCAAAGGGAAATGCTTTCCAAACCACTTATGAGAGAAATCCTGTCCCAACTACATCAAGGGACTCACTGGGGACCTTAAGCTATATGTGATGCAGTTCTCAGAGTCTATGGATGTATAAGAACTTATACCTTAGCAAAACAAGCTGTGGACAGTTGCCTAATATGTAAGAAAACTAATAAACAGGCCCTAAGAATCTGGGGGGAGAAACCCAAGATTAAGGCCATTTCAAAGCATTCCAGTTGACTATACTAAAATACCCCCACTAGGTTACCTTGAATACCTAGTAGTAGTAGTAGACCACCTCACTCATTGAGTTGAAGCCATTCCTCTCCCCAGTGCAACAGCTAATAATGTGGTTAAAGTATTACTAGAGAAGATAATACCTCGGTTCGGGCTAGTAGAAAACATTGACTGAGATAATGGGACTCATTTTACTATAAATATCATTAAAGGACTTACTCAAGCTTTAGGAATCAAATGGGAGTATCATACCCCCTGGCATCCATCCTCATCAGAAAGAATAGAAAGGATGAATCAGACTTTAAAAAATCATCTAACTAAGTTAATCTTTAAAACTCAATCACCTTGGACTAAGTGTCTCCCCATTGCTCTACTCAGAATCCGAACTGCCCCTCGAAAAGACGTTGGCCTATCTCCTTAAGAAATGCTCTACGGGTTACCATACTTAAGTTCCACTAGTGACATTCCCACTTTTGAGACCAAAGATCAATTCCTTAGGAACTATATATACCTGGTCTGTTTTCTACCTTGTCTTCCCTTAGGACTAAAAGTCTCTTAGCGCAAACTCCGCCTCTTGAGTTTCCAGTCTATCAGCACCGGCCTGGAGACTACGTCCTCATTAAGAGCTAAAAAAAAGAGAAAGTTGAACCGTCCTGGCAGGGACCACATCTGGTGCTCCTAACAACTGAAACTGCAGTCCAAACCACTAAAAAAGGATGGACCCATCACACCCGAGTCAAAAAAGTGCTGCGCCCTCCAGCGTCATGGGCCATAGTCCCAGGGGAAAATCCTACCAAACTAAAGCCAAGGGAAGTTTAACTCTCTGTCATCTATTCTATTACTCGTTCTTCTTTCCTTGTTCTGTTACTAGCCACTTCGTTATTAATGTAACTAGATCAGACTCACCCCAGACCATTACCTTCGATGCTTGTTTAGTTATGCCTTGTGAAGATCTCCAAAGCCAGCGACAGTTTACAGCAGCAGAAAAATATTTCTGCCCCTCCACAGCAAATGCTTGTAAATTGTTTAGGTACCCGTTTTGTCATACTTAAAAATATGTCGTTTGGACCACTCAAGACTGGGTCCCCTCAGAAGATTTCCCACTAACAGTTCTAAAGCCCTATATCCATTTTACTAAAAAAAGTGCCCCTCTCAATTGTCAATATAACCAATATGACCCGGTGCAAATTTCCATCACCATCCCGACTCTTCAAGATTCCTCCCCTACCCTAAACCATTTCTATGATATGAGAGCAAATATAACAGAAAAAGACCTCGTAGGATTTTTTGAGTTGCACTTCATCACATCCTCATCCCTCACATCTCCACCTCTATCCTCTTCTAAACCTGCTGACCAGACCACTGTCTCTTCTCCACCTAATGACAAAACCAAAGTAGCTATTGTAGAGGTTAAAAATTTAAAACAAACACTGGCAATTAAAACAGGACACCAAGTTGCAAATGCCTAGATGGACTCTAAACAAAAGTGACTCTTAGGCTTGTGTGCACAGTAGGCCAGAGGCCCAGGTCATCCCCTTTTCACTTGGATGGTCTTCTGACCAACCAGACTTGAGCTGTATGGTGGCTCTTTTCCAAGACCCCACAGCTTGGGGTAATGAATTCTGTCGAATTCTCTCTCTGCTATTCCCTGAAGTTCAACACTCTGCGGGTCAGCCCCTGAGGGCCATCTAGCCTCCATCTCCAGACGTGAATTTTACTTCGTGTCTCTCATGACAGGGAGAAAATTTGGCATTTCTTGGAGACCTAAAGGGATGCAGTGAGCTTAAGTCTTTCCAAGAGCTTACCAATCAGTCTGCCCTTGTTCATCCCCCAGCTGATGTATAGTGGTATTGTGGTGGACCCCTACTGGACACTCTGCCAAGTAACTGGAGTGGCACTTGTGCTCTAACTCAATTGGCCATCCCTTTCACCACGGCATTTCATCAACCAAAAAAAGGGAAACCACAATGCCATAAAACAAGAGAGGCCCCTCGTGGATCCTTCAACTCTCATGTCAATATAGATGCAACTGGAGTCCCAAGGGGGGTACCTGATAGATTCAAAGCCCGAGACCAAATAGCTGCAAGATTCGAATCATTATTTCCATGGGTAACTATTAATAAAAATGTAGATTAGATAAATTGCATCTATTATAACCAGCAGTGATTTATTAATTACACTAGGGATGCTATTAAAGAAATAGCCGAACAATTAGGGCCTACTAGCCAAATGGCTTGGGAAAACAGAATGGCCCTAGATATGATATTAGCAGAAAAAGGTGAAGTTTGTGTTATGACAGGAACCCAATGCTGTACCTTCATTCCCAACAATACAGCCCCTGATAAAACAATTACAAAAGCTTTACAAGGTCTTACCTCCTTATCAAATGAATTAGCCACAAATTCTGGGATAAGCAACCCATTCACAGGATGGTTAGAGAAATGGTTTGGTAATTAGAAAGGACTCATGGCCTCTATTGTTACTTCTCTTGCAATCACAATAGCTGTGCTTATTCTTGTTAGATGCTGCATCATGCTCTACATTTGTGGACTAGTCCAAAAACTTATAAAAACAGCTGTTACCAAAACCTTCCCCAGTTCTTTCCAATCTTATACTAATAAATTATTTGTCCTAGAAGAACAACAAAGCCGAATCATGTTCGATAAGTTTGAAAAAGAAAATGTATAAATTCAAGAGGGGGAAATTGTTATTAAGACCAAACAGTTCTTCTCCAAAGGGTTTTGGTTCCTGGTTCTTTGTTCTATGCTAAAAGGTAATCATACCCATTCATCTATCAGCCCTCCCTCTCTCTGCTGTGCCCAAACACCCCAAGATGTACCATACCTGTCCTTCCTGTCAAACACCCACCCTCGCCTCCTTTGACGATGTCAATAGTAACCAATCAGAATTAGCCTAGATTGTGTGGTCCTACCCCAGCCCACAGGGGGAGGACACAGGAACAGGGTCTGCATTAGGGACAAAAAACTCCTGCTCTCCTTTGTTTTATGTGCTCCCTCTTGCCTCTGCCTTGCATACAGAAAGTGCCCTTCTATAAAAGTAAATTGCCTTGCTGAAAGAACTTTTGCCTGAGTGCTGGGTTAACTTTGCAACACCGAAAATTTGTTTCTAATGCATAGGTAACTGAAAAATCCAGACACATGCTGATTTCAGGCTCAGTTGAATGCAGGGGTTCAATCAATGTCACCAATTCTCAGTTCTGTTACGTGGGTTAGTTTCCTTCTCAGGGAAGATGACTGATGGCCCATGGCTCCACGGCTACACCCTGGTAGGTTCAAGCCCAATGGGAAAGAAGGGCCCACTTCCCTTCCTCTCTCTGTTTTTTTTTTTGAGACAGAGTCTCGCTCTGTCACCCTGGCTGGATTGCAGTGGCACTATCTCGGCTTACTGCAGCCTTTGCCTCCAGGGTTCAAGCGAGTCTCCTGTATCAGCCTGCTGAGTAGCTGCGATTACAGGCGTGTGCCGCCACACCTGGCTAGTTTTTGTATTATTAGTAGAGATGGGGTTTCACCATGTTGGCCAGGCTGGTCTCAAACTCCTGACCTCAAGTGATCTGCCTGCTTTGGCCTCCCAAAGTGCCGGGATTACAGATGTGAGCCACCATGCCTGGCCAGTCCCACCACATCTCTTGATCGGGTCCCAAGCTCGTTCCTGCACCAATCATCCCTCCAAGGAGAATTTGATGCCAGGCTTGCCTGATCAGTGGTTGACTGAACTCCACCCAAAATCATGTGGGCTGCAGTGGGAGACGAGAGAGTTGCCAGAGGGAAGCTGAGGAATTACTAGCAGTAGAAGGATAAACAGGTGAAAACACGGCAGCATCCACTGCACAGGCAAGCCCAGAAAGTCAGGAGTAACAGTGCATGGTGCCTGTTGTCTCTCATCAATTCCCAGAGCCTCCTGGGCTTTCCATCTGTTGTTCTTTGATCAGGGGACTTTGGTTTGGCTTTTGGCTTCAGGGTTGGCCCCAGGCATAAGCACTACCTTTGTCCACCCTGCCTAGGCAGCTGGGAACCTCCCCCTCCTGCTGGCATCTCAAGAGTAGTGTCCTTGTTATTCTTTGTTGTGTGTCAGTGAGGACTTGTGCCCTGTTTCCTCAGGGACACATTGGAGATGGCAGAGCTGCAGGAGGCAGTGGCTGTGCAGTGCTCCTGAAGGCTTTGCCAGGTGTACTAGCTAACCATACAGGCAAACTTTGGTGCCACTGCTTACCAACTGGGCAGTAACTTGCCCTCCCTGTACCTTGTTGTTTCTCCTGAATCAAACAGAAATGGCAGCAGAACCCACTTTAGAGGGCATGGGGAACGTTAACTCTGGGGGTTGCCGCAGGGCACTCAACAGTGCTTGGAACACTGAAAGCTTTCCTTACACTTGTGTTTTCTTCTTTACTTTCTCTATCATGTTTCTGGATTGTGGGGCCCTGTGCTGGTCCAGGTTTTCCAAGAAATAGATGTTGAGATGGGATTTTATCAGGGGAAACACCAGTGAGAAAACATGGGCAGTAAAGTGGGGTAGACCAGGAGACATGTCAGAACACAATGCCAGTGAAGGAGAGGGAAGGAAGGCTGAGTGGAAGCCCTTAGACCCCCATGCCGTAGGAGAGACTTCAAGTCAAAACAGGCCATCACAGGAGGATCGCTTGAGGCCAGCCTGGGCAACACAGGGAGACCGTGCCTTTTAAACAACAGCAGCAATAGCAACAGAAGACTCCCAGGGTTTCCTTGGAATGGGCCTGCATTAACAATACTCCTGCTGGACTGAGTTGGCTGGTGCTGCCTGCAGAAGGAGTGAACTCAGTGCAAACGCCAGGATGGGTTTCCTGAGTCCTTTACTCTTTCTGTAGTTGAGGGTCTGTGAGGCTTATCCTGTGGCCTCATAGACCCCTCCAGACTTTGAGATCGCACAGGGCTCTGGCTCATCCCCTGCTGGTAATCCCTGAGCCCAGCCTGACTGTGACCCACACAAGCATCCCTCAATGTGTGTGGGATGAATGAGCAGACTGGAGTCTGCAGTCCTGATGTGGATGGTTTTGAAGCTGGTTTCCTTGCACGGGAGAGTGCTCCAGTGTATTCTTCTCAATCTCCTTTCTTTCTGGAAATTAATGAAATGACTTCTTGTGAGCTCAGCTGGCTGGTCTGCACTTTCTCTTTGAGGGGAAACTCCTTTTATGTGTAAACTGCCCCAAGTGCCTTCTCAACTTGGCCCCTGCCACCATCTGAGCCACGTTCTCTACAATCGCTCCCTTGCCAATAATGCCGCCAAAGCTACAACTGAAAATCAAAGAACATTTTTAATGAAAAAGACCCTTTATATCTCTTTTTTCTGCAAATCTACTGCAATAATTTTGAGACTGTTAGTGACATTTAACCCCTTCTAGATATTCCTACCCTAGGGGGAGGCTGTTCTTGCAATACGGTTTCAAATAGTAAAATCTCTTTACATTTCACCTGTGACCTTTTCTTTCATATAATGTCAACAATATAGAAAACAAATGTTTGAAGTTTCTGAGACAGGTTTTGGTGCTTGGATAACCACCATTCTCGCCATTATTCATGTTCATTATTCAGGAAGTGTCTTCAGAGAACCTTTTTAATAAGGTTAATTTGCATATGCATGTCTCTTTTGTACTTCATGCTATCTGAGCATAGCACACACTAACATTTTAAAAAATATTCTTTCACATTATGAAAATATTAAGAGGAATGTCTTAATTTAAGTATCCTGACAAACTGTTCTTCCTTGGTGAAGCGTAGAATGAGTGGCTGGCATTTGAAAAACAAGTTAGCCAAGAACAAAGCAAGCTTTGCTTCTGCAGGGAGAAGTGATAGCCCCTTGGCAGTCTTGTTTGGAACCTGCATCTATGAATCTTTAAGCACCTACTGGGACCAGAATTTTGCCTGCTTTATTTCTAATCATCATAGCATCCCTGCAACCTAGAGCGTATCACTTCCATTTAATAGACAGGAAAGTTAGTCTCAGCGAGACAGCTAACTTGCCCACTGTTGTAGGGTTAATAGCTGGTAGATCAGGGTTCTGCTCTCAGCTCTTTCTGAATGCAAAACAAGGCTGTGTTCCCCTTGCTGCTCCACAATTCACAGCAGAGGTGATTGTGTGACCTGGGGTGTCCTACCTAGACTGACATTTGAATAAGAATGGGGGAGGCACACCCAGGCATCTACTTTTAAAATGCCCTCTTCCTTCCAAGTGATCTCCGTGTGCAGCTGGGGTTGGTGGAGAATGACTTCCCTGGGAGATGCAAACACACATCCACGGGCCACACTTGGCTAAAGTTGGGGAGGTTTAGTCTGAGACAGTTCTATCTTCCCCACGCGGGCTTGGGTGCAGTTCCGCGGCTTAGGTAGGGGGAGAAACCAAGATGTTTATGCTTAAAGGAAATTGGTTGAGTTTTAGCCCAAGAAACTTAGGCAAGATGTGCTTTCTGTCAGGGAAATGACTGTTCAGGGAAGCTCAATATCCCCGGATCCCCACTGTCTCTCTGGTAACAGCACACTGATTGTGTCTGGGGCAGCCAGCCTTCTCTCCTCCCTCACTATGAGTGCACCAACTGCTGCAGACTTAGGCGCATAACTCAACCCTGGCCAGTCAGGGCACAGTAGCTCCTGGCTCTGTGATTGGTTCAGGATGCTCACAAAACCCACGCCAAGAAGTCAGGTCCAATTTGCCAATCTGGGGATCATCGCTTGGATTTCAAAAGAGATGCGCTCCACTCCTCCTTCTCTCCCTCACTTCCCCTTGCTAGACTTGGGTCTGTGAAAGCCCCAAGCTGTCATGAGCCATCTTGGTTACACAAGGAAAGAGCCTGAGAATGGAGCCAGCACAGAGAAGTCAAGCTGAGAGATAGAGAGAGACCAAGTTCTGCATTGTTTAAGCCCCTGGATCCATTGAAGCTTGCTTATAAACTTCACAGTTATGGAAGACAGTAAATCCTCCTTTTTGCTTAAGATGGTTAAGGTTGCATTTTATGTCACTTACATCTGAAAAGAGTTCTAACTGATGCAAGATATCAGACATCACACTCACGTCAATCTAAATAAAGGAAATATGCTTCTCTGGTAGTAATTACATTTAGCCAGTCATTCCATAAATATTTATTGAGCTTCTGCTGTGTGCCACTCATTCTGTTACATGCTGTGGGAGATTCTGAGGCAGCCCTCAAGGGACAGATGGCCTGGTGGTAAGAGGACTGGAAGTAGAAGACAAAGGTAAAAGAAGGTGGAAAGGAAAGGTGCCCAGGAGATGCAGATCATAGGCTAAGGGATTCTGGGGGAGTGCTCTGAGAGAAGGCTAGGGAAAGGCTTCTCTTCTGATTGTGGGACTGTGTCTTCCTGTCCTCCAAATCCCAGGTGCTCAGCTCAGCACCTGACACAGGATGAGTGCTCAGTGAATCCTTAAAGGGTGAATGGCTTTGTGGAAGATGTGACACTGAGGAACAGGACAGCTGAACCCCTGAGCAGGGCCTCCAGAGAAAAGTTGAGCAGTCACAGATCCCTGCCCATAATTCATGCTGCCACACAGTCTGTTGGAAGAAGGAAGCCTTCACCATTTGAGTAGAGCGGCAAAGTCAGTTCCAACTAGATGTTCAACAGTGATCTGATTTCTATCCATTTGGTTAAATGAGAACCTCCTAGGATCTGTCTTTGTCTTTGATTTTCTTGATAAATAGTCCTTTTTGAAGAAACAGAAATATGATCGTTAATTTTTTTCTGATTATAAGTTTTCTACGCTTACACAATTTTCATGGAATGCATTCAAGTATAAAGAAGAAACAAGCTCTCATAATCATATAACCAAGAAATAACCACTTCTAAGGAGCATGCACACACACACACACACACACGCATACACAAAAATGGAAAAATTCTGATGTTTAAGTTAATCCACTTTAACATTATGCCATGTCTTTCCATGTCAACAAATAGAGATGTATATTATTGTTTTAATGAGTGCTGAATATGTTATTGTAGTGATGAAGTAAAATTAATGGAACCAATTTTCTGTTGTTGGGCATTTAGGGTTATTCCAGTTTTATGCTATTATAAAACCACTGCTGTGAACGAACCTCCTTATAGCTAAAATAGTCCACATTTGAAATCATTTCCTTCAGATAAATTCCTAGAAGTGCAATTGCTGGGTCAAATGAGATGCACGTTTCTAAAGCTCTGTGGCACACGTGGCCAGACTGACTTTTGCTATTTACTCTCCCCAATACTGGGTGTTATCATTTTTCTTTTCTTTTTCCTTTTTTTTTTTTTTTTTTTGCTATCTGAAGGATGGGGATATATAGACTTGCATAGGAGTGTCAGGTGAGGGGTCATGTTGATTTCTCCTGTTCCCTTTCCAGAGAGACTCCCTGACAAAGAAACCTTTCTCCTGGACATGGATCAGAGCAGAATAGCAGGTACCCCCTCTATGAACCTAGCCTCTAAGTTTGGAGGGGCTAGGAACATCACTTTGCCAGTCTCATGTTTCAGGAGAATTACCTCCTTTTCCCTTTAGTCCCAGGCCAGTGTTCCTCTGAGTGCTTAGGACACCAGGTTCTTGACATAGTGGAGAAACAGAGAGAGAATCAAACTGCTGGTCCTGTCAGCTGACTTGAGAAAGGAATGGGAGCTCCTAAGTCTCTCAATGATAGTAGGGTCATTTCATCAAGCCACAGTCCTAGGCAATCATGGATGATACTGGCAGGGGTTTTGTTAGAAAAAAGCCTAGTTTTATTCTTGCCACAATTACTATTCTTCCCTCTTTCTCCCCATTAAAGTTTAATGCTGCACTCTCAGCAAGGATGCTTTTCCTTAATTGATGGGCACTTCCTCAACTGAACCATCACAGGGGATGCAGAATGACAACAAAGAGAAGACCCAGTGAGAGGAACAAGCTACCTCAACCCGGAGTGGTGCTCCTGAAAGTCTCTACAGAAGAATCCAGAACCAGTATCCCTCGTTCATTCAACACCTAATTACCGAGGTCCTTCTCTGAGACAGGCCCTGGGTTAGCTCAGAGATAGTTCGTAAAGACCATTGCTCATGGTCTTTCTTCTGAGGGGATGTTCCTAAAATTCCAGGAGCTCAGTCATGTTGAAGTTCTATGGTGTGTGAAAAATCACAGGCCTTGGAATCATGCGACCTGGGCTCCATTATTGCCTGAATGACGCTAACCCATCATTTCTCCTCTCGGCCTCAGTTTCTTCCTCTGTGAAACAGCATGGCAACAGTAACTTTACATAGAATTGTGAGGATTCAGCAGGGTGACCATAAAAAGTGCTTCACATAGAGCTTGATGCATAGTGAGCACTCAATAAATTTTAGCTCTGTGATGATGATAATCTGTAAAATGAAGAGAATAATGCTAATCATATACAGGTGTTATAAAGATTAAATGAAATAAGGCTTGTTACGTAGCTGGTACCTAGACAGTGCTCATAAAATGGTAGTTTTAGGGCTATTTCTTTATGTTAGAAGTATCAGCCAGGTGTGGTCGCTCATGCCTGTCATCCCAGCACTTTGTGAGGTCAAGGCAGGAGGATAGCTTGAGCCCAGGAGTTCAAGACCAGCCTGGGCAACATAGTGAGATCCCATCTCTACCAAAAAAAATTACTTAGGTGGTGCATACCTGTAGTCCCAGCTACTTGGGAGGCTAGGGTGGGGGGATCACTTGAGCCCAGGAGGTCAAGATTGCAGTGAGCTATGATCGCACCATTGCACTTCAGTCTGGGTGAGAGGCAGGAAGACTCTGAGGAGATGAATTTCTGAACACATAGTAGTTTTGACTTTTAGAGACAGGCTCATCTTCTTCTTCTTTTTTTTTTTTTTTGAGACAGAGCCTTGCTCTGTTGCCCAGACTGGAATGCAGAGGCACAATCTCGGCTCACTGCAAACTAGTGTCCCTGGTTTAAGTGATTCTCCTGCCTCAGCCTCCCAAGTAGCTGGGATTACAGACGCCCACCACCATGCCTGGCTAATTTCTTTGTATTTTTAGTAGAGATGGGGTTTTACCATGTTGGCCAGGCTGGTCTTGACCAGGCTGGTCTCGAACTCCTGACCTCAGGTGATCTGCCCACCTCGGCCTCCCAAAGTTCTGGGATTATAGGCATAAGCCACTGTGCCCAGCCGACAGGCTCTTCTTCTTGAAGCATCTCCAGTAAAAGTGCAACAGGGAAGAAATAATTATTTCTTTATATTTGAGAATATAAAGTGTCTATCATTGCTTAGTAAATTATAGGAGAATAGCAGAACTGATCTGGACAACAAGAGAGAGGGAGAAAATCTCTTAGAAATGGAGAGAAATAGGGCTGGTGACCCAAGGGCCCAAGGAGACTACAACAGTCACTCTTGGTCAGAGGATAGGTGATGAATTTTCAGTAACTATTCGTGTCAAGCTTTAAGCTTGAAGTTTCCCCCCAACAGCCCTGAGCTGTAATTACCCTCTGTTTACTCCAGATTTTGTAAAGGTCTTTTATACACACAACCTTGGATTGGTGGTGCTTGGGAAAGGAAACGGGGGAGGCTTTGCTCATGCTTAAGGAGAAAGGGCTGGAGACGAGCTCTGAGCACAAACTCAAAGCAAGAGGGAACAGGAGCTTGCATCTTTACCTCTTGGGAACAACTGTGGGACAATGAGGTGAGTCATTTTAGTTGGGTATTGAAGCAGAGGGTGACTGTCCCAGAAGGCTGAGGAATGCAAATAAACAAATTGAAATAAACCCTCAGGATGATTTGCTTATTAATTAGGTTTCTAGGAAGGTCTCTCGGTATCCAAACTACTTGGAAACAAAACAAAACAAAATACAACATATGCATGAGTGTCTGGAGAGTTAAGAATGCCAATTTTTTTTTTCAGAAGCCGAGACTATTGGTGATTCTGCCACAGTAGAGAGATAAGCTCTGACGACTCAAAATTATACGTACATCAGCCTCAGGCATGGTTTCTAAAATGCTTTTCCAGTCCCAGAGGGACCAATTTGGCACTCAGGGCACATATTTGCCATGTGCCACCTCAAGCTTTGGCATCATAATCAATGAAAAGGAGCTTAATGATGAATTAAAATACACTCTTTGGGTATAAATTACCTGCCATTTAAAGCAGAAAGTCCTCCTCACTTTGTTAGTTGGTTGTGTAAATACCCAAAAGCCCTGTGCAGATTTGATCCACCCTAGAGTGAATGGATTAAGATTTAAGATGCAAGAGTGTCCTTGTTTATTTTCCCCCTTAGTGATCTGGCTTAATGATTTCTCCCTTCTCTGTGGCATTGCAAGGAATTGTTAAATACAGTATATGGCAAAATGGGAAGAAAGAACAGGGAAGAACATGGAAGGAAGAGAAAAACCTGATTAATCCATGACTTTTAAACCAGGGAAAGGACAGTGAGAGAAACAGGTGCAACATTTAGTTAGAGGGTAGGGACAGAAATAGAGAGAAAGTGGGAGAAATGAATAAAGACTTGTGACAATAATGCAGAAATAGCCACTGTTTAATGAGAACCTACCATGTACTAGTGCTGGGCTAGCAAGTATGCCAAGTACAACAAGTAAAAGCAGGCTTGGTCCTTGTTCTCATGGAGCTTAGCCTCTGTGGTCTACACAACTGGACTAGGTTTCTGAGGCAAAGGTCATGTCCACTGATAGGCTGGGACCTCTCCAAACTCACCTTGCACCACTCTGTTCTCTATATTTTTTCATCGGTCATTCTGGAATCTTTTCAGTTCTTCCAGCCTGCCAGGCTCTCCTGCTGCCCACATACTCCCACATACTCTTCATTGCTTGAGAGCTCTTTGCCCCTCTGCTATGGTTGAGATAGGATCTTGCTCTGTCACCCAGGCTGGAGTGCAGTGGCATGATCATGGCTCACTGTAGCTTTGACCTCCTAGCATTCAGGTGATCCTCCCACCTTAGCCCCCTGAGTAGCTGGGGCCACAGGTGTGCACCACCACGCCCAGCTAATTTTGTATTTTTTGTAGAGACGGTGTTTTGCCATGTTGCTCAGGCTGGTCTCGAGCTCCTGGGCTCCAGTGATCCTCCCACCTCAGCCTCCCAAAGTGCTGGGATTATAGGTGCGAGCCACTGTGCCCAGCAGTTTGGTTTGAATGTTTGTCCCCTCCAAAACTCATGTTAAAATTTAATCCCCAAGATGGCAGTATTTCGGGGTGGGAACTTTAAGAGGTGATTGGTTTATAAGGGCTGTGCCCTCATAAATGAATTAATCCACTCATAATGAATGGATTAATGGGTTAGTGGATTAATGAGTTATCCTGGGAGTAGGACTAGTGGCTTTATAAGAGAAGGAAAAGATACTTCAGCTAGCACAGTTAGCCCCCTCACCATGTGATGCCCTGCACTGCCTCGAGACGCTGCAGTCTCTGCCAGCAAGAAGACCCTCACCAGATGCAGCCCCTATACCTAGGACTTCTCAGGCTTTGTAACTGTGAGAAATAAATTCCTTTTCTTTATAAATTACTCAGTTTCAGGCATTCTGTTATAAGCAACATAAAACAGACTAAAACACCTGTCTTAACTGGCAATCTCCTTTTCAACTCAGCAAAGACTCTGTCTTCCTTCCGGAAACTTCCTTCACCCCAGGCTAGCTTAGAGCCTCCTGTTACATGTCCTCACAGTTCTCTGTAAGGCTTAATTAATACCTTGTAACTATTGGCTTCAGGCATGTCTTCCCCACTACTCTGTGATTTGCGACGTCACAGACAGTGGTTTGTTCACCAGTGCCTAGCACAGGGCCTGGCACGTGAGAAATGCTTGTTAAACATTGGGGAGGTGAAAGCCCTGTTCCTTACAGCCTAGAAGTTACGGGTCTTAATTTAATTTAATTTTTAGCTTTGGATTGTCAGTCTTTTTTTTTTTCTTGCTTCTATGGTATTTCTTGGTATTTGTTTATTAGTACATTTCGTTTTTACACACACCATCAAGGCAAAACAAAGGAGAAATGTGGCTCAAGAAATAAGCGAATTTTTTGTCTGACATAATAAGCAGGTCTTGGGAAAATAAAACATTTTCTTCAGGGGGAAGACTGGAGCATTGGTAAAGATGTTGCTGTAAATTCACTCGGACAGAGCGCTCCAGTTTAAACTCTATAGTATTAATCTATGATTAGGGCTTTTCTCATTTCTCACATTTGAAAAGGAAATATACATTTTCATTGTGACTTTAGATTACTATGCTCTATGAAGGCTTTAAACCCAAGGACACTGAAAAGGAGAAAATCTGCACTAGAAAATACAGGCAAGGAAACATGCTTTTATGATGCTAAAAGCAGTGTGATGTCAGGGTGGACAGATACATTTCTATGGAAAGTTGCACCCCCTTGAATGCCAGAGAGCACCCAGATGTATTAGTCTGAGGAAAATTTACCAGTGCCATAGTCTACCACAGAGAGCCAACTAAATGAAGTATGATTCTTACAGTGGCCTTTCAGAAACTGTAAGTGCCTACAAGTGGCCTATAAAGGGTGAATGATTAACATAGCCCCTGAGTGAAAATCATAGACGCTCTGTAGCTGATTTCACTAAATCCAGCAGTGATTAAAATAGCTGATAACCCAGTGAGAATCTTATGTGGCACAGGAAGAGGTATAAGAACATTTAGAGACCCATAGACCAGGATTCCAGACCTAACTCTATAGCTTACAAAGGAGAGGGCCTCGGGAGAATCACCCGTCCCCATGATCTTCACTTCCCTTCCTGTAAAATGGGTTTAATAGTCCATAGGCACAGGATGGCTTTATAGAACACCCAGCCCAGGGTCAGTGGGGGCAGCCGGTTTCCGCCTTTGTTCTCTCTGCTACCAGTCCTTGAGGGCCCAGTTTCCAGGCCTGGGCGGCACAGCCGTCAGCCAGACAGTCCAAGTGGGACCCTCTAGCTGAGGCTAATTATGAAGAAGGTTGGTAGGGTGAGAAAACTGTTTTATTCCACTTTGAAGGTTTGGTTTATTAGAAGCAGAGCCCTGAGGGGATTCGAAGGGCTATTAGGAAGTTCAAATACTGTCTTGGGTACAAAATGCAGTGATTTCTGCGGGTCAATTTTTCCTCCGACTAAAAGCACTTAGCGGTGGGGGCAGGGGTAAACGAGGCCACAGTGAGAAAAACATTGAGAAGAAAGGGAAAAAGAGCCGTGCACCAGGCTGACCAGCTCCAGACCGCTGAGTTCTTAAAAAATAAAAAGGAGCCAGATCCGCAGCCGCTCTGCCCGTGACCTCCTGGCAGGCAGCTCAGAGAAGAGGCGCGTCTTAGCAGCCCAGAGTCAGTGTGTCCGCGGGCGGCTCCCAGTCCCCGGGACATGGGGCTGGGGTCCTGGGATCGCAGGACTAGCGGCACACCCTACGGGCCGCACGCTGAGGGTGGGTGGCCCCACGCAGTCCCCGCCGCCGCGGGGGCCCCTCGCATCACAGGCCCGCCGCTAATTGACCTGCTGTTTTCTTCATTTCCTGGTTGATGGCTTTTCTTCCCGAGCCATCTGGGACCCTGCGGGGAGAGTCCCGCCCCTCCCCGAGGGCACCAGCCGGCTCTCTCTGCCATCCTGGCCAGCCAGCAGAGCCCGGCATGTTCAGATGCGTGGGGGAGCGGGCACGGGCCAGGCCGCCGCCCGCCTGAGCTCGCCCGAGGTCCGAGGAGCCCTGACGCACCCGGGCCCCTGGGCGGCAGCGTGGAGCCTTCCTTTGAGCGTCCCCACGGCTACCCCCACGTCGGTGGCTTCCGCCAGGGGACCTCAGCCAGCCTCAAACTAACTATTCTTGCCTTCTGGGACAGAACCCATTCTTCCCAAGCACGACAGCGCGCCAGGCTCAGGGTTGTGGAGCTCTCACTCTGTGCTGGCTTGGAGTGCTGACTTGAAGGCGTCTCATGGAGTCCTCCCCAAACCTCTTAGAGGTGAGGGCATCGGCCCCTGGGGTCAGAGTGAAGAGGCCGAGGCTCAGGAGGTCAAGAGTAGCCCCGGTTGCACACCTAATGTTGTGGGGTGCTTGTCGCTTCCCCAGAGATCATCCCTTGGATTTTTCCCTCGGGACTTTGCTTCCCTTACTCCAAGCCATGCAGTTTGGATGGGAGGACCTCATTCTGATGGTGGCTGCATGGTGATTGCATGGTGAGCTGAGCTTCTCTAACCTGCCTTTCTCAGCCGAGGACTGCTGGCGGTGTTGCATGGTTCTCTCCCTGAGAGGAAGGTGGGACAGCCGTCAGTTGGCTGGTCTTTCAGCATAAGAGTTATTGCCAGCTGCCTGGAGAGGTTGACTAGATTGTTCCCTTGTTGGGCCAGTCTAGGAACAACTGAGGAGTCAGCCTGGCTCCCACCTGCCCTGCCCCAGCGTACCCTTGTTCCCGCCAGGGCTCACAGGACAAAGGGCTGGCGCTGGAGCACAGAGTGGACTCCTTTGGCATGTAGGAAGAGGGCTGTGCGGGTGAGTGGAGAGCTCTCAGTGAAAACACGTACCTTCCTGTAGCTTGGTTATCACTTGTAAATAACATATATGGGCTTCCATCTACACTGTTGGTCCATACCCATACATTTAGGGGTAGACTTACTCACCACCATTCCCTTATCTTTCCCTCCCCACAATGAAATCGAGTAGGCCTATTGTGCTGGTGGTGGGGGTACAATCTTAAGGTAGAAGAAACAAAGAGGTGGCACTTCCATTGCGTATTTATCACACCTATGTCCAGTGGCCTCCCTCTGCACCAGCTCCTGGACTCCATGAGCTCCGTGGTACCCAACTGCTTAGACAGTTGACTAGATTAGCATATTGTCAATCTAAGTAACAAACAGAGAGATTCTCTAAAAGCCCCTCTATTCCCAAATACTTGTTCTTGAATAAATATCATTTTCTTTTAGAGAGCCTCTCTCTGTTATTTAGGTTGACAGTTCATTTGTTCATTCATTCATTCATTCATTCAGCCTAAAGATTTTCAGGCACTGGGCCAGGCATTGGCCTTTTCCAACTCATAACACTAAACTAATTTATCTCAAGTATTCAGAACAAAATTTTATGTTCCATGGGGAATTTTTAAGGATTTAGAAATTCAGATTAGTACTATTACTACTTCTTAAACTTATAAATTCCCACTCTCTTTGAGGGAAATCACATTAATTTTTGTTTTCATGTATCTAGAAAATTATCTTCCTGATTTGAAACAAAAATGTTTCTCTGATTCAGTCAGAATCACAGCTAAGATATTTACTGAAAGAATAAGTAACAACTACATACATGACAACTGAATAAATAAGGAGAGAAATCTCTTCAAATAAGATGATGTAGGTTGATTCACCTAACCAAATTACGGTTATTTCATTAACTCTCCAAGCGAAATTCCAAAGCCTCATTCTATTTGCTGAGGTAAATTTGTTTAACATGAAGCCCTGACACCCTTTAAAATAATTATGCTTCTAAATGAAAGTTTAATTTTTAATCATTTGCTTTGCTAAAATAGAAGCAAATGAGAGGATAATATGACAATTTAAAGGATTTGCAGTAGATCCCCTAGAGCTGGAGGAGACATGATTTTTTTCTGAGTACTGCTGACTAGTATAGGAATTTTAAGTATGGTAATAGAACTACTTCCTCACAATGTTTGCTTCTTTGATGAAAATGGAACCAGAGGGAATTAGAAGCCCACAGAGGTGAGGCAGGTCAACGCTACCTGATCAATCGCCAACCTTAATGGAGACTGATCTTCTCTCCACCGTAACAGGTCCTCTAGTGGATTTCTGGACTTGAGATTCAGGGCACTGCAATGCAAGTTTCATTATAAAAATGAGCCAATTCTCAGTGAAACAGAATTAAAACAATTTTCATCTTAGAAGAGGTAGATGCTGTTGTGTATTTGCAAATAATGAAATCTACACAATAGGAGGGACAGCTTAGTTCATCTCCTCTTTTGGCTAAATGCTGTGATTTTTGGTTTGTTTGCTTTTTAAGTCACTTTCCAGCAGTTGAATATGATATCTGCCCAGTTCAGGTTTAGAATGTGAATTCTTTTTAGAGATATTTTTAATCAGAATTACCAAACGATGAGCGAAAAACAAAGCCCCTTTTAATTAATAACTCTCTGGATAATAGGCTTGATTAAGGAGTTTTACTCTCTTCGTTGTGACACACTCTTGCAAATAACCACTTTTTTCTCTTTGCAGGAATTGTGAATTGTTGCAATTCTCTTTACCTTTTCACATTCCTCATTGCTTCAGGTGGCAGAGGATACAATTTTCAATACCACCGGGTGCTTATTTACTTAAGATAAGATGAAAACAGCATAGAAGGAAAATGTACTTGTAATTCTCTTTTGTAGGGCTGCTTCAAGAACTGAGCTCAGAGATTGAGGGCTCATTTTACAGCGGCCTTGACTTGTAATCTATATTTTGTTTGATTAACTGTCCCTGGTCCTTTTAAAACTGGTGAGAGTGCAGTGACATTCACAGTAGTCGGAGTCTTTAGGAGTTCATATATGACTTTTCTAAAGCTTACTACCATTATTACTTATTGCACAAACAACCATAAGGCACTATTAATATAAATCAAAGTGAAAGGGAAAGTTCATCCACAATCTTAATCAAATTGTTTTCATTTTTCAAGTTTCCTCCCAAATCTTGTTTATGGACAGAAGAATTTTTTACACAGTTGTAATTGTAGGATAGATAAGATTTTGTATTTTACTTTTAAATGTAAAATATTATCCACATTTTTCAGTATTACATTATAGTCTTCACAATTAAAATGCTTATTTCATTAAATGGTGAGACTCTAATTTAACCATTTTTCATTTATGAACATTTAGATTAAAAACATAGTATATAGGACCGGTGCAGTGGCTCACACCTGTAATTCCAGCACTTTGGGAGGCCGAGGCGGGCGGATCACAAGATCAGGAGATGGAGACCATCCTGGCTAACGCGGTGAAACCCCGTCTCTACTACAAAAAAAAATACAAAAAATTAGCCAGGCGTGGTGGTGGGCACCTGTAGTCCCAGCTACTTGGGAGGCTGAGGCAGGAGAATGGCATGAACCCGGGAGGCGGAGCTTGCAGTGAGCCCAGATCGCACCACTGCACTCCAGCCTGGGCAACAGAGCAAGACTCTGTCTCAAAAAACAAACAAACAAACAAACAAAACAAAAAACAAACAAACAAAAAAACCACGGTATATAAATGTTGCTGCAAAGTGTATTTTTATTGCATAATTCAAAAAATTCTTTTGGGTTATCTCCTTGGTATAATGTCCTCAAAGTGAGGTCAAAGGCTATGAATATTTTTATTCTTTTTAGCATATTACAACATTATATTCTTAATGAGTTGTACTTGTTTACGCTGCAATTTTTGACAATATCAGTTTTATCTGTTAGCATTGGGAATTCCCATTTAAATTTTTTTCCACTTGAACAGCTAGAAAGTGGCTATATTTTGACATCATTATATCATTGTCAGTAGACCAATGAATGTTATCTCTTGCTCTCTTGGGAAAGAATGTGATGGCACTTCTTTAGATCCTTAAGTCATCATTTCATAAACTAATGATTAGGATACAACCAAGGGAAATATTATTTAGAAATCTTAGCATGATTTAATTTCTATTTTCTCATCTTCTCACTTTCTTTTATCTGTTTTTAGTTGGGGTGTTAGAAGCAGAAGGGGTCCCAGCAGGGATTAAAGGGGGATACAGTGCTACTGTTCCCCAAATTGTTCACCCAATGCCCTGTCATTCCCTATGTCTTTGCTTATGCCCTCCATTTAGCCTGGAAGACCCTTTCCTTTTGTCCCCATTTTAATGACTGTGGTAGGCAGAATTCTACAACCAAGATTCCAAGCTCTACTCCCCAGAACTCACTGATTGATAAGCTATCACTCCCATGATTATGTTTTGTTATATGGCATAGTTGACTTCAAGATAGGCTTAGGCCAGGTGCGATGACTCACACCTGTAATCCCAGCACTTTGGGAGGCTGAGGCGGGGGGATCACAAGGTCAAGAGATTGAGACCATCCTGGCCAACATGGTGAAACCCCATCTCTACTAAAAATACAAAAATTAGCTGGGCGTGGTAGTGCGCGGCTGAGGCAGGAGAATCACTTGAACCTGGGAGGTGGAGGTTGCAGTGAGCTGAGATCGTGCCACTGCACTCCAGTCTGGCGACAGAGCGAGACTGTCTCAAAAAAAGAAAAAAAAAGATAGGCTTATCTGGGTGGGCTTGACCTAATCATATGAGTTCTTTTAAAAGCTGAGAGTTTTCTTTTCTGATTGCAGAGGGGAAGTCATAGATTTGAAGCCCTTGGAGGGATTTGGCATGCCACTGCTGGCTCAAAGATGGAGGCAGCCACATGTCAAGGAGTGTGGGCATCCTTCAGGAGCTGCGAGTAGCCCCACCTGACAGCCAGCAAGGAAACAGTGACCTCAGACCTGCAGCTGCAATCAGTCAGCAACCTGAATGAGCGTGGAAGCAGATTCTTCCCTGGAGCTTTCAGGTAAGAGCTGAGATGGCCAACATCTTGTTTTAGGCCTTGTGAGATCTTATGCAGAGAACCCAGCTGAGACCACCTGGACTTCTGACTCACACAACTGTGAAGTAAACGAGGATGTTGTTTTAAGCTGCTAAATTGGTGGTAATTTGTTAGAGTAACAACAGAAAACAGATACAATGACATAGAGCTTTGTCTTATATAATAAACATTAATTTTAGCCAACTTGCTGGACTTGAGAGAGTTGACATGTAACCATTGCTGACTGAAGCCCATGGCAGCCTGAATGCTTTGGTTGCCAGGGACTCATACTCCTGTCCTCTCTGCTTTGGTGGGCTGAGTTGTATGCTCCCAAACCTGCTGGTGCTAATTCTTTTTTTTTTTTTTTTTGGGACGGAGTCTTGCTCTGTCGCCCAGGCTAGAGTGCAGCGGCACAATCTCTGCTCACTGCAAGCTCCGCCTCCCGGGTTCATGCCATTCTCCTGCCTCAGCCCCCCGAGTAGCTGGGACTAGAGGCGCCCACCACCACGCCCAGCTAATTTTTTGTATTTTTAGTAGAGACGGGGTTTCACCGTGTTAGCCAGGATGGTCTCCATCTCCTGACCTCGTGATCTGCCCGCCTCGGCTTCCCAAAGTGCTGGGATTACAGGCGTGAGCCACCGTGCCCGGCCACTAATTCTATTGCTTATTATAATTATCCATTTATATGTATTTTGGTACTATGTCAACAGGGGACATAAGACAGTGAACATGAAGAGAGCTGATCTTTCTACAAGAGCTGAATGCTTTGGAAACACTGAACAGTAATCACTGAAAAATGCCATGGAATTAGGTGAGTGAGGCAACTAAAGAGCAGAGAAGAACTGTAAAGGTTTAGAAGGTTTTTGGAGTCACATTACTCTGCCAGCCACTCTCAATTCTTCCTTTATGTTAAAGACTTAAAAACTAAACTTTACACATAGTGCATGGGGAAGATGGCTTACTCAAGACTGCTGCCAGGACAACCTCCCAGCAGTGCTGTGCCCAGAGAAAAAGTGCTGGCTCGAAAGCAGAAGAGTGAAAGCATAGGACTTGGCTTTAAATTAAAATAAGGTATTTCAGGTGTTGTTTTTTTATCCTATCTGATGATTCCTTGCATTGACTGAATTTTTTTTTACTGACCTAGTGCATCCAGTTCTATCAGATAAGAGAGCTTCTGTTACAACATTAGATAGGTGCCTGCACACTCATACACACAAGCATGCTGGGTGAAGCAGGCTACAAGCCTACTCATGAAATATGAATGAATTTTTGTAAAAAGTGCATATTGCTAGAAAAAATTGGGAATACCAATAGTAGTTATATTTAAGTAGGGAGCTTATGTATATTTTCTATGATACGAATATATTGCTTTTTAAATAAGGCAACAAAAGAAAGTCATCATCATCAACATCATAAAAGAATAATTGCTAGCTATCCTTCAAGGTCAGCATCCAAAAATTTCCTCCCTGAAGTTTTTCTCAATTCACATGAAGTTTCATAAATCACTTATTCCTTTATGCTCCTATAGCTTCTTATTTGTACTTAATTAGTTCTGATATTTAGCATGGCCAATTGTGTCTTTCCCTTTCATTTGAGAGCAGGGACCGTGACTTATAAATATTCATATTTCATAACACCACACACAGTTCCCACCATTTAGGAGGTAATTGTCAAAAGAGTGAATGAATGAATTGTGTTCTGGTGTAGTCACAAATATATCAGATAGGTTTTTATTTTTAAGGCTCTTTCTTCGTGTCTTTGGTAAGCACTTTAAAAAAATCATACTTTGGCCTATGTGATCCAGATCATGTGTTTTTACATCTTATATAATCTGAAAGCAAAGGCCATACACCTAGCCCTCAAGCAGAGCCTTTCTGTACAAAATGAGAACAGCTTTCTGAAAAACAAACTTGGCGCCGGGTGTGTAGGCACCACACACATGTTGGCCAGGCCCTAGAAGAATCCGCATAGCAGAGTTCCCTGGACACTCCTGTCCTGTTCTGCATCTGGACTACCTGTGAGCAAGCTTCCTCATTGTGCAGGGGAGCATTTGTGAAGTGTTTGCAAGTATTTTTCATCTCCTGCAAGCAGACTGGGCTATGTCCTGATTTTGTTAGTATGATTGCTGAAAATGGAGTGGTCTATTAAAAAGTAATGGTCACTGTCTGACGGATTTGCTTCTTGCAACATTAGTGTCATGGTGATGGATCAGGAGAATCTCCAAAGTGGAAAGCATGTTTCCACAAATATTTTGTATAAACATAAATTCACTTGCCAACATGACTCATTTCCCTTTTATTTTTTAAGTATTATCCATAATATTTGCCTTGCATCTTTTTCAGCACACGTGTCCCTCTCCGGAAGGCTCTGATAAGTGATTCTAGCAGGGCCAGAGGAAGATTGGTGTTGTCTTGTGCCCATATTTACAAAGTTTTCCCTCTGTTTCTGAGCTGCTTGCAGGAGGGGAGGAGAAGGCAAGAACCACAAGGCAGGACCAAGCAACCTCGCTGGGCTAGGAAAGCCCTGAGAGGAATCTCTTTTTACTAGAAAGGTGAATCTGCTTAGTGATTTGAAATCTCCCTGCCTTCATTTCATCTTTCACTGAAAAATTAAAGGACTGTTTTTTATGTTGCCTTTTGACATCTAGAAGAACAAAATCAAGAAATGCATGATTTCTCCCACTAAGGCTGGACTCAACAGCTGACATAGCTGAACTATGATGTGTTTCCAGGGATTGGGACTAAAACACTCTTTCCATTAAGGTCATTCCATTAAGGGCTTTAGAAAAATGCATTTAGTTGGAGACAAGGCTTTCCCGCACAAGAGAGGAAATATATTAGGAAGCTTCCCCAATAGGCCAACAAACCCAATGGACCCAGAGACCTGAGAGACTGGGATACCATTGGGGAAGGACCAAAGCTAGTAAAAAGTATTAGTGACCCAAGCATTCTAATAGACAGAGGGGACACACACTCATGGCCCCTTTTCGATATTTCTGACTTCACTTATCTCTGGCTCTATGGATACCCATTTATCTATTGGTTTTGCTGCCCAGGATTCATTCCCCCTTCTGCTGGTAGCTGCTTTTGCTTTTCCATGGGGAAGGCTTTGTTCATGACTCTTAGATTTAAGTTGGATGAAGTTGACTTCGCCTCTGACCTTAGGAGTGGGAATGTGGCCCAAACCTGCCAATGAAAGCCTCACCCTTTCTAGACCCCACTGACCAGTACAGAAATGGGTCAGCAGCTGACCCAGTTGGCAGATGCTCAATTATTGCATGTTGGATGATTTCAGAAATTTTCCTTCTATACATGAAGGACTTTCTTGGTTCCATCTTATAAAAATCTCCCTAGCAACATTCCTTCCATTAGGCTTAATATTTCTTTCTTTTATTATTGTTGTTCAACGTCAGATAATTTGCAATGCAGTCGAATTAACATACACACAATATTGTAGCAGCCTGGGGGGTTAAAGATAGTTAATCAGCTGGGAGAATAATTCATTGTCTAGCATAATACTCAGAGAAATGTGAAGGTGGGGTGCTTTTGGTTGAGCATTCTAAGTTAAATGAATCTTCTAACAAATGAGACCTGCAAACTGGAGTCCAATGGATTGCTTCAACCAGATCTGGTTAGCAGTAAATGTCATTAGCTTAAAATGTTTTCTCTTACCTCTGTTGTCTGTGATAAGATGAGCCTCCTAAAAGGCAAAGTGCTGTTCTTTCACATTTTAACTCCTCCTGGGGGTGTTAAAGCCAGCTGAAGTCAGGCTTCCTGCAAGCTACATTAAGCTTTTGTTCCTCCAGGCCAGAAGGGAAATTGTGATGTCTCTTCCAGGTTGAGAGGCTCCAAAGGGAAGGCGGCTTTCTAAAATCAGGGCCTGCCTTCCTTTCTTTCTTTCTTTCTTTCTTTCTTTCTTTCTTTCTTTCTTTCTTTCTTTCTTTCTTTCTTTCTTTCTTTCTTTCTCTCTCTTTCTTTCTTTCCTTTTTCTTTCTTTTTTCTTCCTTTCCTTTACCCTTTCATTCCTTCCTTCCTTCTTTCTCTCTCTCCTTCCTTCTTTCTCTTCCTTCCTTCTTTCTCTCTCTCTTTCCTTCCTTCCTTCTTTCTCTTCTTTCTTTCTTTCTTTCTCTTTCTTTCTTTCTTTTTCTTTCTCTCTCTCTCTTTCTTTCTTTCGTTTTTTGTTTCTTTCAACGGGGTCACCCTCTGTCACCCAGGCTGGAGTGCAGTGGTATAATCATAGCTCGCTGCAGACTCAAATTCCTGGGTTCAAGTGATTCTCTTGCCTCAGCCTCCAGAGGAGGTGGGATTACAGGCATGAGCCACTGTACCTAGCTCTTAAAATATGCTAGTTTTATGGAATTTTTCTAATATTCCTACTTGCCCCGCCCCTCCACACTATAGTATTGATGTTCAAGATGGAGATTTGCAAGATTTTGATATTAAAAAATGAGTCTGATTTTCTTTTTTGAGATGATTATTTTTACAGTGAGTTCTCTGGCGGTGTTGTCAAATCATTCTTTAAATTTCCAGGAAACACTTTATGAAACAGTTAACCAAGTACAAGTCAATAACATTAAAAAGCAAAAGAAGAAGAAGAAAGAAAAAAGTAGTGGTGATGATGGAAACTATTCTAGATTTTAAAAAGACTAGATTTTAGAAATGAAATGGTCAGTCGGACTTTATATGGATCCTAGTTCAAACAAATAACTATAAAATACATTTTGGGCAGAAATGGGGGAAATTTGAATATGGTCTAAGAATTAGGTGATATTAAGAAATTGTTGTTAATTTTGTTAGGTGTAAAAATGATTTTGTGGCTATAAGATATCCTTATATTTTAGAAATGCTTGCTAAAGTATTTAGGGATGAAATGTTATAATCTGTATTTTTTTTAAAGACTAAGCAAATATGACAAAATGTAAGTCTACATGATGGTTATACAGAGTTAAATAGACAATCTTCTATTTCTATGCACATTTGAAGATTTTATAATACAAAGGCTTTTTGAGAAGGACATAGAAATTGCCAGTGGATTTCTTTACTACGTCTGTTTACTTTTTGTTTTTTTTTTATTTTTTATTTTTTAGAGGCAGAGCCTTGCTATGTTGTCCAGGCTGAACTTGAACTCCTGGGCTCAAGCAATCCTCCTGCCTTAGCCACTGAAGTAACTGGGATTACAGGCATGCACCACCTCCCCAGCTTCTACATCTATTTTAAGGAACCAATATGGGCACAATGTCTGATGAAAACTGTGGAAGAAAACTCCAAATATAAGTTAGGTAGATTTAAATGAGCTTTAAAAAATATTATCAGCTACTAGAATATAAAATGATGCAGCATTTATATGTAAAAAGTTCATGAAGCTTTCTTAATTCATTTATCCCCACCCATGTTCTGTGGGTGGGTATAAAAGAATAATAAAAGCATTGCCTGTTGAAGGAATAAAATTTTGACTCATAAATTGAACTTCATGAAAATTATTTAAAGTACTTCTAGATATAATAGTTTCGCCAGAAATAGTTCTCATTTGCATGATAGCATTTCCTATAAATGAGCAGAAGTTACGTGTCCATTGTAAAAAAAAATACAGATAATCCATTAGGAGAAAAAAAGGCCCATAATTCCACCCTGTTATTAATATGTTTGTATAGTTCTGTCCAGTACTTTCTTTGAGCATAGGTGTGCATCTCTCTTTTTTCCTCCTCTCTCCCTTCTTTCTTTGTTCCCTTTTTTCACACCACCATTAAATGTGAAAATAAAACCAGAAATAGGAAAAAGTGGCTACACCTAAGAGTGAAATCCACTTGTGATGAAAGCACTCCACTCCCAGAGTAAAGCAGTCTTTACTTTGGTAATTTATGTTTTCTTTTAACAGTCCTATGACTTTCATTTTTATTTTTTAATTTATGATTGACACATAATAATTGTACATATTTATGGGGTACAATGTGATGTTTTGATACATGTATAATTGTGTAATGATGACAGTTTAACATCTGTTGTCTTAAACATGTATTATTTCTTTGTGATAAGAACATTCAAAAACCTCTTTTCTAGCTATTTTGAAATGCACAATACAATGTTGTTAACTCTAGTGATCTTTCTATGCAACAGACCACCAGAACTTATTCCTCCTATGTAGCTATAGCTTTGTACCCACTGACCAATCTCTCACCTTCCCCGGCTTCTCCCCATCCCCCCATCCTCTGCTAACCACTATTCTGCTTTCCACTTCTATAAGAACAACTTTTTAGACTCCACGTATAAGTGAGACCTTGTGGGACTTATTTTTCTATGCCTAGCTTATTTAGTTTAAAAATGTTTTCCAGGTTCATCCATGTTGCCACAAATGACAGGATTTCATTTTGTTATTATAGCTGAATAGTATTCCATTGTGTGTGTGTGTGTGTGTAAACTATAATATGTATATAAACGTACCATAGTTTCTTTATCTATGCTTCTGTTGATGGACATTTAAGTAGATTCCATATATCAGCTAGTGTGAATAGTGCTGCAATGAACAAAGGAGTTCAGATACCTGTTCAATATACTGATTACATTTCTTTTGGATGTATACCCTGTAGTGGGATTGCTGGATCATATGGTAGTTCTATTTTTAATTTTTTTTTTTCTTAGAGATATAGTCCTACTCTGTCACCCAGGCTGGAGTGCAGTGGCTATTCACAGGCACTAGCTGTCCTAGGCTCAAGCTGTCCTCCTGCCTCAGCCGGCTGAGTAGCTAGAATTACAGGCCCATGCCACTGTGCCCTGCTGTTATTTTTAATTTTTTGAGGAACTGCCATACTGCTTTCTTCCTAATTTGTTGAGAGTTTTTATTATGAAGGGATGTTGAATTTATGGTATTTTAAATATATATTTTTAAGATCTCTTATATATGAGGGTCATTAGCCCTTTGAGAGCTGAGTTGCAAATATATTCCCCAGTCTGCCAGTTACTATTTTAAGTGTTTTACAACTTTATTATTGCACGTGGTCACATTTATGAAGGCTTCATATAATTACAGATAGTTATAATAAGACAATTATCACAATGCAAAGGAATCGATCAGCACCTCTTGAAAATGATATTATTATTGCTGGGCACAAATATATAGAGATAAATCTAATCATAACTTTAAAAAATCAAGGCATAATTTTCACATAATAAAATGCACATGTCTAAAGTATTCAGTTTTTACAATTTTGGCAGGGGTATTCACTTGTGCAAAAACCACCTAAACCAAAATTTGGAACATTTGTATAACCCCAGAAAGTGCCCTTTCTAGTCAGTTACCCAATGCCTCTCAACTGGGCAAGCATTTTCTAATTTGCCACCATTAGTTTTTGTTTGTTTCTGGACTTCACATATTTTAGAATCATTATAGTATATACTGTTTTGTACCCTGCTTCTTTCATTCAAGCATAATGTTTTTGAGATTCATTCATGTTGTTTGTTGGATTCATTCATGTGTTAACAGTTCATTTTCAGTGCTGAATAGTATTCTATTACATGAATATACCACTATATGTTTATCCAAAGACTTGTTAATGGACAGTTGGATTGTCTTCAGTTAGGGACTAGGAGCATTTGTGTATAACTTGTAGGCATGTGTTTTCATTTTTCCTGAGTAAATACCTAGGAATTTCTGGATTATAGGGTAGGTATATGAGTATAAGAAATTGCTCTAGTGTTCCTCAAGATGGTTGTACTCTTTTACACTCCCATTGGTGGTACATGAGAGTTCTAATTGCTCCACATCCTCACAACACTTGGTATTGTCCAGCTTTTTAATTTTAACTATTCTAGGGGTGTGTAGTGATAACTCATTGTGGATTTAAATTCATATTTTCCTCTTAAGTAATGATGATGAGAATCATTTCATGCACTTTTGTTTTTTTGCCATAGATTTTCATTTGTGAAGTGTTTGTTCAATCTTTTGTCCATTTGTAAATCGTGTATTTTCTTACTATTGAGTTGTAGGAGTTCTTAATATGTTCTAGATACAAGTCTTTTATTAAATATTGTTTTATTTTTATTTTCTTACAGTGTTTTTCAAAGAACAGATGTTTTTAATTTTGATAAAGTGCAAATTATCAGTATCTTTTTTTTGGTTAGTTTTTATCATATCTAGTCTGAGAAATCTTTGCCTATACTAGGGTGATGAAGATATTTCTCTCATGTTTTCTTCTAAAAGTTTTATAGCTTCAGCTTTTAAGCTAATATCTATAATCCATTTCATTTACTTTCTGTGGACAGTCTCATGCAAGGGTTGAGGTTCATTTTTTTTTATACAGATATACAATTGTACAAAGATTATTCTTTCTTCGTTGAATTACCTTGGACTCTTTGTTCAAAATCAATTGACCAGGTAAGTATGGGTCTGTTTCTGGGATCTCCATTCATTTTATTTATCTTTATGTCTATGCCTAAATCAATACATTATCTTGATGATTGTAGCATTATAATATGTTTTAGAGTTGAATCATGTGTCTTCCAACTTTGTTCTTTTTCAAGATCATTTTGTCTACTCTAGGTTCTTTATATTTCCCTATGCATTTTAGAATCACCTTGTCAACTTACACAAAAATGACTCCTGGGATTTTGCTTGGGCTTATGTTGAATTAAATTGGGAAAATGGACATCTTAACAATATTGATGATATATCTCTATTTATTAGGACTTACTTAATTTATCCCAAGAATGTTTTGTTGTTTTCAGTATAAAAGTTTTGTACATCTTAGATTTATTCCTACCTGTTTGGTGTCTGTTGCTAATATTACGCTATTTTTAAATTTCACTTTTTAATATGATTTGGATTTGTATCTATGTCCAAATCTCATGTTGAATTGTAATCCTCAGTGTTGGAGGATGGGTTGGGCGGGAGGTGATTGGATCGTGGGGGTCTATTTCCCCCATGCTGTTCTCATGATAGTGAGTGAATTCTCATGAGATCTGGTTATTTAAAAGTGTGTAGCACCTCTCCTTTTGCTATTCTCTGCCTTCTCTGGCCGTATAACACATGTCTGCTTGCCCTTTGCCCTCTGCCATGATTCTAAGTTTCTTGAGGCCTTCCCAGCCATGTTTCCTGTGTATCCTGCAGAACTGTGAGTCAATTAAATCTCTTTTCTTTATAAATTACCCAGTTTCAGGTACCTTTTCTTTTTTTTGAGACGGAATCTCGCTCTGTCGTCCAGGCTGGAGTGCAGTGGCGCCATCTCGGCTCACTGAAAGCTCCACTTCTCGGGTTCACGCCATTCTCCTGCCTCAGCCTCCCGAGTAGCTGGGACTACATGCGCATGCCACCACGCCCGGCTAATTTTTTGTATTTTTAGTAGAGACAGGGTTTCACCATGTTAGCCAAGATGGTCTCGATCTCCTGACCTCGTGATCCGCCCGCCTCGGCCGCCCAAAGTGCTGGGATTACAGGCATGAGCCACCAGGCCCGGCCTCAGGTAGCTTTTTATAGCAATGTGAGAACGGACTAATACACTTTGTTTGTTACAAATATATAGAAGTTCAGTTGCTTTTTATATATTGACTTTGTATCTGTGACCTCGCTAAGTTCACTTATTAGTTCTAGTAGATTTTTTAAAATATACATTTTTTTTGTAGATTCTGCAGAGTTTTTCTATGTACACAATCATGTCATCATGATTTTCTATGTACATAATCATGTCAGCAAATAATGAAAATTATATTTCTTCCTTTCCAATCTTTTCCTTGCCATATTGAACTAGTTAAGATTTCCAGTCCAGAGTTAAATACAAGTGGGCATATTGCCTTATTCCCAGTTGTAGGGGGAAATTATTCAGTGTTTCACCATTAATATGATGCTATCTGTAGGTGCTTTTGGCAGATGATCTTTATCAAACTGAGGAAGTTCGCTTCTATTCCTAGTTTTAAGCTATTTTTAAAAATCTTAAATTTGCATTGAATTTTTCGATTTTATTTTGCATATATTAAGAGGAGTGCACTTTTTTTTCCCTCTCTCCTTTATTCTGTTAATGTGGTGAATTACATTGATTTTTCACAGGATGAAACAATTTATGTTTCTATTATTTTTCAAAAGATAAAATCACTCTTGATCATATTACCATTTTTTATATATTGCTGATTCAACTTGCTAATATTTTGTTCAGGGTTTTTGCATTTGTGTTCATAAGGGATATTTATCTGTAATTTTTTTTATTTTAATGATCTTGTCAGGTTTTTGTATCAGAGTTATGCTGGTCTCATCAAATGAGGCTGGAATTGTTTCTTCCTCCTCTATTTTCTTAAAGTGTTTGTGTCTATAATTATTTATTTCTTGAATCTTTATAGCATTTACTGCGAAGCTACATGAACCTAGAGGTTTTTATTTGTTTTATTAAAATTTAATGTATTTTATAGATACAGGGTTTTTATATTTTCTTTTTCTTCTTGTTTCTATTTTGTATGAAGTTGTGTTTTTCTTTCTTTCTTTTTTTTTTTTTTTGAGACAGAGTCTCACTCTGTTGCCTAGGATGGAGTGCAGTGGCGCAATCTCGGCTCACTGCAACCTCTGCCTCCCGGGTTCAAGCGATTATCCTGCCTCAGCCTCTTGAGTAGCTGGGATTACAGGCGCACACCACCACAGCCGGCTAATTTTTGTATTTTTAGTAGAGACGGGGTTTCACCATGTTGGTCAGGCTGGTCTCGAGCTCCTGACCTTGTGATCTGCCTGCCTTGGCCTACCAAAGTGCTGGGATTACAGGTGTGAGCTACCGCGCCTGGCCGAAGTTGTGTTTTTCAAGGAATTTGTCCATTTAATTTACATTGTCAAATTTGGTGGCATAAAGTTTTTCATAATATCCACTTACCGTTTTTTTTTTTTTTTGTTTTTGTTTTTTTTGAGACAGAGTCTCACACTGTCGTCCAGGCTGGAGTGCAGTGGCATGATCTCAGATCACTGCAACCTCCACCTCCCAGGTTCAAGTGATTCTCCTGCCTCAGCCTCCCAAGTAGCTAGGATTACAGGCACCCGCCACCAGGCCGGGCTTTTTTTTTTTTTATTTTTAGTAGAGACAGGGTTTCACTATGTTGGCCAGGCTGGCCTCGAACTCCTGACCTAGTGATCTGCCTGCCTTGGCCTCCCAAAGTGCTGTGATTACAGGCGTGAGCCACTGTGCTCAGCCCAATTACCATTCTTTTAATGTCTATAGGCTTCATAGGGATTTCTCTCAGCTCTCTCAGAACTTCTACCCTACCTTTAGACTTAGGAGAGTAGCTAAAGTTTTCATGATGAAGGCCTGGAGTCCTTTAAAGTAGGGGTCTCCAACCCCCAGGCCATGGACTAGTCCCAGTCCATGGCCTGTTAGGAACCAGGCCACACAGCAGGAGGTGAGTGGCAGGCGAGAGAGTATTACCGCCTGAGCTCCACCTCCTGTCAGATCGGCGGTGGCGTTAGATTCTCGTAGGAGTGTGAGGCCTATTGTGAACTGCACATGCGAGGGATCTAGGTTATGTGCTCCTTATGAAAATCGAACTAATGCCTGATGATCTGAGGTGGAAAAGATTCATCCCAAAACCACTCCACCACCCACAGGTCCGTGAAAAAATTGTCTTCCGTGAAACCGGTCCCTGGTGCCAAAAATGTTGGGGGCCGCTGCTTTAAAGGTATTTCTCAGAGTTATCTGCCCTGACACCAGCCTTTGGTGGACTGCTGCCTTGTAGTTGGGGAAAGTCTCTGCTTTGCACATAGAGGAAGACCCTGTTTGCAATAGAGGGATGTTTGTCAACAACTTTGCCTTATCCCCAGCCTTTAGCATACCACTGCCATGTGTTCAGTGCAGACTGTGGGAGACAGTCAGCAGGTGAGCGGAGACTTGCTCTATTGCTCTATGAATGGGTGTACTCAGAATTCTAATCTATCATGCCGGTTCTCATGCAGCCATCAAAAGTTCAGGTAGTTTCTTTTTATCTCTATCTATGATGAATGGATTTCTTTTGTACCTGCTTCTCCACTAAAGGTTTCGTAGGTTTCCAACTTGTTCTCTCTCTCTCTTTTTTTGAAACAGAGTCTTCGCTGTTGCCCAGGTTGGAGTGCAGTGGTATGATCACGGCTCACTGCAGCTTTGACCTCCCAGGCTCAAGCCATCCTCCCATGTCAGCCTTCCAAGTAGCCAGAACCACAAGCATGTGCCACCACACGGATGCGCTGCGACACATGGCTAATTTTTAATTTTTTTGTAGAGATGTGGTCTCCCTATGTTACCCAGGCAGGCCTTGAACTCCTGGGCTCAAGGGATCCTCCTGTCTCAGCCTCCCAAAAGTGCTGGGATTACTGATGTCAGCCACCACATCTGCCTGTTTCCATTTTTACAGTGACAGTGATAGTCTTTTGAAATAATAACTGGAAGTCTGTTGTCATTTGACTTTGCTTAAAATATTTTTCATTAACCGTACTCTATGTGATTTAAACTTCTCTATGTCATTTAACTTTTTTATGACTTCTAGATTTGAGGTCACAGTTAGGTAGGTGTTTCTCATTCCAAGTTTTAAAAGAAATTCTCTCATGTTTTCTTTTAGTGTATTTTTGGTATGTGTATTAGGGAAGGGGAATTGTTTCTTTATATTTAAATCTTATATCCAAATGAAATTTACCCTGATGTGGGTGTGGTATAAACCCAAATTTAACTTTTCCAAATAGATATCTAATTGTCTCAACACCAAGTACAGTTCTTTTCCATTTTCATTGAGATCCTCCTTTAATCATATATTAAAGGCCTGTATAGTATTTATTGGGTTTATTTCAGGATTTTCTGTGCTGCTTCTGGTTGTCTGTTTGTTTTTGTTTTTTGGTCCAATTATTTGTTCATGATCCAGTATCACATGGTTAAATTATTGAGGCTTTATATTTTAATATTTGTTAGGTGTGCTGTCAAGTCAAATCCATAGCTGTAGTCACCCTAAAAGCTGTAGCAGGGGAATTTCTACAAGGGACTGCCTGAGATGGGGCCAGTTGGGATTTCAAAGAAAGAAGGACGGAATACTAGGATGATCAGTGTAGAGCGTTCATTAGGGGAGCTTCCATATAGAGGAGTCTGCTGCAAATCCTCGAGTCAGACAGTGAGACAAGGGATGTTCTACCTAGGTACATATGCCTTGAGGGGGTCAGGTTTGGGGTTTTATATGAGCGTTTAAGGAATTTGGTTCAGGACTGAGGCTAATTTCTACATGTTTAGCAAAAGAGTTACATTCTCAATGTTTTTGAGCAACAACCTAAGCAGCTTTATCAGTGCCTGAGAATGTTCAAGGCACCTGGTTGGGCTCAAGCCTGCAGGGAACATGCAGCTGGCTAGGTCACAGAGTGGTCAAGGCACTCTGTTTCTAGATCAGGACACAGAAGGAAAGTGAATGTGTGCTGTGGGGAGTTGCGTGGGGTTCACTGGGGAACCTATAGTAGGCTTAGTCTTCCACTGTTATATTTCTTTTTCAGGATTTCCCCAAGTATGTTAGTTGTTTTTTCCATGTGAACTTTAGAGTCGTGTGTTCTAAAGCACAGTTATTGATAATTTTTATTAAACCATATTAAATGTTTAAATTAATTTGGAGATCACTGATATTATATATATATTATCTAAGATAATGATATCTTTCATTCAGGGCATCTTTTCTGTCTTTTAAAGGTGTTTAAAATTTTTCTTACACATTTCTTTTAAGTTTGCCTCTAGGCATTTTGTCTTTCTTGTTACTAGTACAGTATATAAGGTATTTTTTTCCATTACATCTTCTAACTAGTTGTGGTATATATATGTATACATGAAAGCTATTAACTTCTACATATTCAGTTAGCACCACGGTATTTTTTAAAATTCTCACACTGGTTTTTCAGTTGATTCATTTTGATTTTCTAGGTACACAGTTAGACCATCTTCAAATAATGATAGTTTTATCTCCTCTTTCCAATTTTATGACTTTAGTTTTCTTTATTTTTTCCTGCTATCAAATTACATTGACTAGTACATTAAGTAGGTACATCAAGTAAGCATGTTATTTTATGTTAAATGATGAAGAGCTAGTTGGCATCCTTATCTTGCACTAGTTTTGATCAGAATGCTTCTGGGGTTTCCTCATTAAGCATTTCAAGCTGAGATACATTCATGCTATTATGTTAAGGAAGTATTTTTTTGAATCCTATATGATCATGTATTTTTTTGAATCAAGAATAGTTGCTCCCTGGTTGAAGGGAATATGACACACTTTAAGGGACTAATGAGAATCCAAGATCTCCTTGCTGGGTCACAAATCATAATTGAGAGTTATGCCTTGGGAAGGTAATATAGATTACTTTCCTTATAACTATGATTTTACATTTGTTGAAGCTTATTTAATCTTTAACTGCCCGTCCACTTAGGCTCGTAAGACCTTTCCGTTTTATTATAATAATTATTATTTTAAAATTTAAACATCATACTGTTTATTTTCATAACATAATAAGTCGCATTGTTTAATTTAAATGTATTATAGTCTATTAAGATATAACGAGAAAATCGTGGTGGTTAATAAAGAAGATGTGATAAATGTTGTCATTCAGTGTGCCATTTAAGATTAATGTGCATCATCATATGAATTATAGATATGCAATTTCAATGTATAATTTCGGTCGTGTTGTGTATTCTAGGTTGTAATCATCACATAACTCAGTGTATGTATATATATTTATAAATATATATGCAAAAATATAAACTTGCAAAAGCAAAAACCAAACAATAACAAAAATTTAAAAAGAATAGTTGCTGAATTTTGACAACTGTCTCTTCAGCATTTATGGAGATAATCTTATTAGTTTTCTTAGTTAATTATTAATAATATTTCAGGATAAATTATATTAAAAGATTTCCTACTATTGAACCATTCTTGAATTTTTGAATCAATCTTACTTGGTCATGATAAGTTATTCTTTCAATATGTTGCTAGATTCTATTTGTTAATATATAATTTGGGGATTTGCAGCACCATAAGTGAGATGGGTCTATAGTTTTTTGTTTTGTGTGTAGGCGTATGTGTGCTTCCTTTATAATTTTTTATAATGTTTCTAATCATTAGTTTCTGCCTTTAACTTCACCTACTCCTTCACTGAGCTTTCCTATATTGCCATTTTTCTAAATTTCAGGGTCAAATGTCTATTCATTGGTTGTCTTTTATCATTTTTATTGCTATAAACATTTAAAGATATGAATTTTCCTCTGAGTACTGCCTTAGCTACATCCCCATAACCTTTTATTTAGTACTTAAAATATTTTTATTCCCTAGGAATCTTGCAATTTCTGTTTTGCATTATGATCAGAAAATATTGTCTATAGTGTTCATTTTTGGAACTTTATTGAAGTTTTCTTTATAGTCAGTTTCTGTGAGTGTTACACAAGCATTTGAAAAGAATAAATTTTCTCTATTTTGGGGGCAGAGTATTAAAAATATATCAATCAGATCTACCTCATTAATAGTGTTATTTAGAACTTCTATATTCTTATATTTTTTTGTCCACTGGGTCTACCATGGTGAGTTCATCTTTCCCAGTAATAGTGTTTCTATTTCTCTAGTTTTTATGTTGTTGTTCTATGGTATTTGATAAATAAATATTTATAAATATTATATCATTTTAGTTTATTATTTTCCTGACCTAAGCTTATCTAGGTTTCAGCCACCATTTTAGTTTCATAAAATGTTTTCCTTTGTCTTTTTAAATGCTTTTTGGCAGTAACTTTACCTTGTTTCTTATTTAAAATTACAATTCTTGCTTTCTTTTTGTTTGCATTTATTTGGCTTTTCTTTACCACTTCTATTTTTTTTTCCCCTGTGAATGATCTTGTTGAAAGTAAGCTCTTTGTAATAGAACATAGAATAAGGCTTTACTTTTTGGTATTCAATTTGAAATTCTTTGTAAAAAGGAGAATTAAGTGAGACTCTGTCTCTACAAAATAAAAAATAAAATAATTAGTTAGGCATGGTGGTGTGCACTTATAGTCCCAGCTACTCAGGAGGCTGAGGTGAGAGGATTGCTTGAGCCCTGGGAAGTCAAGGCTGCAGTGAGCTGTGAGCTCACCACTGCACTCCAGCCTGGGTGACACAGCGAGACTGTCACAAAACAAAACAAAAATAATTAAACCCATAAAAAAATTTTAATGTTTTTGGTCTATGTGGTATTTTTTTGGAATAAATCTTTCAGTATATGGGCTATTTTTGTGTTTTGTTTTGTTTTGTTTTTGCTTTTTTTCCTCTCTGTAATTCTTTCGATGTTTAGGAAGGTATGGATTTTTGTTCTGATAGTTAGTTTTAATTTCTATGATACTCTTAATTCTTTATTTCTTTGAGCAGTATCTATTTAATAATAAATAATGAGCTATGATAAGATTAAAACTCTCTCTCTCTCCCTCCTTTTTTCCATCCCACACCTAACTTTAGGCAATAACGCCATCTTTTATGTTTAACAGTGTGCCATGAAATAATAAACTTTATATTCTTTAAATGATATCTTTTGACACTTAGCTACTTCAGATGTGACAATCAACAACTTATATTGCTCCTTCCTTCTTTTCCTCTTTTACCTTTCCATATTTTAGATACCTTACCTGTCTACATTGTCTAAGTAATAGTTACATTCTATTGTGTTCCCATAATCCACATTTGTTTGGTCTTAATTTTATAGTGAAATATATTCATCACTCACCTACAGTTCTTTTACTATTGTTCCCCAGGCATTTCTTGTTGAGCTAAAATTTGTGTTTTGATAGCGTTTGCAAGAAGATCTCATGTATAGAGCATTCTCTGAGATTTTCCTTGTTTACCACTATTTGTATGAAGCCTTTACAGTAGAAAGTCAGTTTGGTTGGATATAAAATACTTATCTCACACTTTTTTTTCCCGTAAGAATGGCTGTAGGAATTGCTCCATTATTTTTTGGCCTTCAATGTTGTTATGGAGACATCTGAAGGCCAGCCTGATCTTCCACTTATAAACAACTTCATACTTTTGCTAAGCTATCCAAAGGATTCTTCCTTTATCTTTAAAATCCAATTTCTTTCTCAAGGCTAACCATTCAGTATAAGCTTTCCCTAATATACAGCATGTCATTTCTGTATGTAGATTCATGTTTTCTTATATTTCCATGAAATTTTCTTGAATTATATCTTCAAATATTTTCTATATTCTCATTATCTTGGTTTCCTTCTTTGAAGACAATCATGCATATATCAAATGGCCTTAGCCTGTCCTCAATATCTCATTTTCTAGCTAATATTTTAACTCTTCCGTTATTTCCATTTTATTTTGTTTGCTTTTATAGTTTCTATTCTCTACTTCCCTTAGTTTTTTTTTTTTTTCTGGTAGTTATTCTCCATTTCATCCTTTCCAATTTTATCTTTATTTCGTTGCTGATTTTATCAGTTTTGTGTAATTCTTCCCAGAATTCCTCCAGCTTCTGTGTCATCCCCTCCTGTGTTATCATCTTTGAGTTCCTGCATTTTTGTGTTGTGATCTTTCATCAGTGAGGAGGATTGCTTCTTATGCTCTTAAAGTTGGTGAAATCAATGGTTACAATTTTTGTCTGCTCCATAGTAACATTTTTTTTCTGATGAGTGTTCTTTGTTCTGTGGTAAGTGTTGCTATTCTTTTTACATTAAAAAAATTTACTGTACTGATGCTGGGCCAGTTGTTTCTCTTCTTCCTCCTCTTCCTTTTCCTCCTCTTTTTTGCCTCATCTTTCGCCTTTTTCTTCTTTTCCTCCTCCTTCCTCTTCCTCCCCTTCCCTCTTCTCACTCATCATTGAACTTCTTGATTTCCTAGGTTACTAACTTTGCAGGAGCTTTAAGTATGTGCATATGGATAGGACACACATACAGGGGAACAAGCTGAGCTAGCCTTCCTTCATAACCCACAGACTTCCTCCTTTTCTGCTGTCATGACAGTCTCTTCAATTTAATATGGCCGTGAGATTCCTTGTGTGGTTACCATCTCTTTTGCTTCAAGCAACAACCCTGAGTCCTGCAGGGCTTCTGCCTCCAGTTTTGTCCAACTTCAGTCCTGTATCCATTGTTGCCACAAGAGACAGAGCATCTGCACTTAAGGAGAGGCCTTCACTTGAGTCGCTGTGATTTCTGGAGTCTGCTAATGCTGAGACCTCTCACAGCTCTCTGTCCTTTTGCCCCTGCATCCTCAGGGCAGCTTCTGCATCACCTGCTCCTTTGAGGGAGTCTTTACTTGTATTTGGTAGTCTGCAGGCTATACCTGCCTTCAAGTTTTGATGATAATGGAGTTTGTGGCTTTTTAAAAAATAATCTTTGCTGCTTTTTATTATTTCTCTGAGAAAGGAAAAAAGGCTGATTTGATAGAGCCGTGTTCATGCCAGGAGTCTGTGTGTTCTCTGTGGTTGCAGTCACCCTTTACCGCTTCACAGAGTGGTCATCATAAGTACATTGCTGTTCCTTATTGTAAATGTGGCCTTTGGGGCTTTTTTTTTTGAGATGCAGTCTCACTCTGTAGCCCAAGCTGGAGTGCAGTGGCGTGATCTCGGCTCACTGCAACCTCCACCTCCAGAGCTCAAGTGATTCTCCTTCCTCAGCCTCCCAAGTAGCTGGGACTACAGACACGCACCACCCTGCCCAGCTAATTTTTTTGTATTTTTAGTAGAGACAGGGTTTCACCATGTTGGCCAGACTGGTCTCGAACTCCTGACCTCAAGTGATCCACCTGCCTTGGCCTACCAAAGTGCTAGGATTACAGGTGTGAGCCACCATACCCAGCCGAACTATTTTAAAAATTATGTGAACACATTGCTTCTATAATTTAAAAGAAATAATTGAATAGAGACAAAAAGAAAAACATAATCTCACTGATAATAAAGACATTTGAGATACTTGTATGGTTTATATGCATTCATTGGTAATAACTATTTTAATGTATTGGATTAGTATTATATAAATTTGTATTACATAACAATACATTTTTAAATCTTTTTTTGTAGTTAAGGTATCAACATCATTTTTTATAGCAGCACAATATTACATTAATCAACTATGATTAAACAATACCCCATTTTTAAGGCAGGTAAGTGGTTTCTTATTCTATTATAGACAATACTATAATAAATATTCTTACAGCTAAATATTTTATGCTCATGCTTATTTCCCTAAGTAAAATTCTTAACATTAGAATTTGCATTCCATTCCCTGAAAGAAAACAAGAAAAAAAAAGAATTTGCAAAGGGTTTGAAAATTTTTGATTAAATGATATTTTCATTTTAATTCACATTTTAAAGAGCAAGTATGTCAAATAAATTTTAATTATTCCAGTGAATTTGTATTAGGCCCTGTACTCCTTAACTTCAAACATTTCTCCTTAAATATGTGATTACTAAAGATCTACCATAGAAAAAAAAGTCCATGTTTATTTGACCACTTAGAATATTTTGTAATAACTAGGCTATTACGTGATGAGGGGTCAACTCCTCACCAGCTCATGTAACAGGAAATGGTATATGTGCATAATCATGATGGAATGAAGTGGTCATACAATTAAGGGACCCCATACTCTCTAAATGAGCTGAGGATTTAATGTTCTCTTTTTAGAATAGCACGTTATGCTCAGTTCTTGCTGCCAACTTCAGTCTATGCTGAGAGGCAGAGAGACAGAAAGACTGAGACAGAGAATGATTGACTAGTACTTAAAAATAGTGGCAAACTTATATTCACCTTTGGAATGTGTGTGCGTTTAAATAGATCATTTACCACCCTAAATAATTTTATTTAACTTATCTTAAAAGTGGCTTGTTTTCCAATGTGTAGCTTATTAAATAGCGTGAGGGGTTGCTGAATAGCACTGGGGAACCTGGCCTGGGATGAGAGGTTGAGTCCAAAGTTGACTTCAAACAGAGAGACTCCATATATATTTTAAATCTGCTTATTTCATATAAGATTTTAAATACTTATCTTTATTATAAAAGTAATACAGGCGAAGACAATGTTTTAAAATTATAGATATTCTTGGAGTTTAAATACTGTATGTCCCCAAAACACAACCATGAAAAAATGTTTTAATGGGTAAGATATATTTACACTACTGAAATTCAGCATTAACTTATTGAGACAGGGTCTTGCTCTGTCACCCCTGCTAGACTGCAGTGCCTGATCACAGCTCACTGCAGCCTCGACCTCCCAGGCTCAGATGATTCTCCCACCTCAGCCTCCTGAGTAGCTGGGACTACAGGCGTCCACAACCACGCCTGGCTAATTTTTGTATTTTTTATAGAGACAGGGTTTCACTGTGTTGCCCAGGCTGTTCTCCAATTCCTGGGCTCAAGCGATCCTCCCACCTTGGCCTCCTAAAGTGCTGGGACTACAAGCATGAGCCACCACGCCTGGCCAAAATTCAGCATTTAAAAAATAGTTGTTATCAATGAAAACAACTCAATGAAGGGAAGGCTGCAAATGCATGCATTGTAAGGAGGTCAGGGGCCACATCACCTGGTTTGGGCCTGCTAATGTGGTCATGTTTCTCATTTTAAGAGACATGTATCACTTCCTGCTGATGGGACATCCACTCCAGCCTTGAGGAGCGACCTCTTCCCCTGCCTTGCTCTTTAGCTTCCATAGGTCTTCCTTTCCTACCAGGTTATGATTTTAGAAACAGGTGATCACATGCCAATCATCCTTTTGAAACATCTGCATTGTTTGAATGTTTCACATGTTAATACCTCCTGACATACCATCTTCCACCCTACATGCTTTTTGTAAAGATTCCTCTGACAGCTTCAAAAACAGCATTTGATGTGGCGTTTTTATAGTGTCTTCTTTATCCCTCCTTCTCCTCCTCTTTCAACCGGCATCCTCCCACAGGGATGTAACTGAGGATTCTCTTGAGAGAAACAGTTTCCCAGGTTCTCTTTTTCTTGGCAAATCAAGTGCTTTTGTAAAGGATCTGTGTCTAGGGTAAGCCACAGCCTAGGAAGAATGGGAAGAGGCAGGACCTGAGCAGAAAAGAATTCCAATCTGGCATCCTCCCCTTCTTTGCCCCTCCATGCAGTTGATGCTTATTGAGCTTCCACAACATTTAAGGCCTTGCTAACCCATTATGTTTATGTGATGAAGAAGGTGGACACATCCCATCCAGTGGGGGAGACAGTGTAAACAAATAACAAATAAATCAGTAGTGATAACTGCTAGGAAGAAAAATGAAGTAAGGTAACAGTTCAGAGGGGTGTGTGTGTGTTTCTTTTTCACCTGGGGTGTTCAGGGAAGTTCTCCCCACACAGGGGACTTCTGAGCAGGAAACCAAATTCAGTGAGAAACAATGTGGAAGAAGAGCGATCCAGGCAGAGGGCACAACACAAGCAAAGAACCGAGGTGGGATCAAGCTTGGCTTGTTCTGGAAACTCCAAGGAGAAGGAGGCTGGGGCACAGCAGGCAAGGGAGAGAGGGAGGGACAGGGAGGCTGCAGGGGTAGCCAAGGATCTTGGGTGCTCTGGTAAGGAGTCTGCATTTGAATTTGAAACAGAAGCCATTGGAGGATTTTGAGCAGGGAATTCTCAGGGTCTGATTTTTGTTTTTGAAAAGATGGCTCTGGTCACTGTGGGAAGAAAGATGTATTTGAAGGGGACAAAAGGAGGAGGGATGACCCAGTAGGAATCAGTCGCAGAAGTATAGGGATAAAATGATAAAGGTCTGGGCCAGGCAGCAGTGGTGGGGGGATGGAGGGAAGGGTTCCCTGTGGCTTTGCACGCCCAGGCAGAGTGAGAGCCAGAGCAGTACCTGGGTGCTGAAAGGCTGCTGTGTTTGCCAGATGAAGGTAATAAATAATGCTTATTGAATACTTAGCTGCATTATCCCATTTCATCCTCCGTATGTTCGTGTGAAGTCAGTTCTTTGTTATCCATCCTTTGCGGTTGAGAAAAGGGTGTTTGGAGAGGTTAGGTAACTTGACCAACATCATGCAGCTAGGATGAGGGTAAGCCACAATTTGAACCTAGGTTTGTGTGACCCCAAAGTCCATACTTCTGTAGGCTCTACACCTGTAAGAGAAGCTTTGTGCTTACAAAAAGTCCTCCATGGCTATGGGCATCAGAATCCTCCCAGAAGCTGATTAGAAATATAGATGTCCCTCTGCCTCACACCCCAACTTGGACTTCCTGAATCAGGACCTCTCAGGGTTTGAGAAACACTTCTGTAGGGGATCAAGGATTTTAAATGTCCTTCACATTTCACTCTAATGTCTGCTCCCTCCACTCTAGCCCACACCCCACTAGCTAAACTGTTACAAAAACTATGAAAAGCTGTATTCTTATTGCTTTGAATAAGTAATATATTCACATAGCTCAAAAATCAAAATGAGGCCGGGCATGGTGGCTCACGCCTGTAATCCCAGCACTTTGGGAGGCCGAGGCGGGCAGATCACGAGGTCAGGAGTTCGAGGCCAGCCTGACCAACATGGTGAAACCCCGTCTCTACTAAAAATACAAAAATTAGCCAGGCATGGTGGCACATGCTTGTAATCCCAGCTACTCAGGAGGCTGACGCAGGAGAATTGCTTGAACCCAGGAGGCAGAAGGTTGCAGTGAGCTGAGATCACGCCACTGCATTCCAGCCTGGGTGACAGAGCGAGACTGCAACTCAAAACAAAGCAAAACAAAACAGAAGATTTACAATGATATACATTGTAAAATGTCTCTCTCACTCCTGTCTCCATCTCCTCTGTTCCCCCAATCTCTGAACATGGAATAACTATTAGCAGTTTCTTGCATATCTTCCATTATTTCTTTAAGCAAATACACAAATGTGTTCTTATTTTTCCCCCTTCTCACACAAAAGTAGCATCCCATATACTCTGTTATGTACCCTGCTTCTAAAACAATTAATATATCCTAGAGATATTTTCACCTCTATATGTAGAAAGCCTCCTCATTTTTCAAAAACGGCTGCATAATATTGTATTGTGTGGATGTATCAGTTTCTTTAACCAATCATATACTGATAGTCAGCTGGGTTGTTTCCAGTCTTCTGCTCTTGAAGATAGTGCAGTGATGAGTAACTGCATATGCATGTCATTCAGTAACTGATATCACCCAGATCTCAATTTGAATTGTAATAATCTCCATATGTCAAGGGTGGGACCAGGTGGAGGTAATCAGATCATGGGGGTAGTTTCCCCCCATGCTGTTCTCATGATAGTGGATGAGTCTCGCAAGATCTGATGGTTTTGTAAGCATCTGGCATTTCCCCTGCTTGCACTCATTCTCTCTCCTGCCACCCTGTGAAGAAATGACTTCTGCCATGATTGTAAGTTCCCTGAGGCCTTCCTAGCCATGTGGAACTGTAAGTCAATTAAAACTCTTTTCTTTAAAAATTACCCAGTCTTGGGTATTTCTTCATAGCAGTGTGAGAACAGACTAATACAGTAAATCGGTACCAGGAGTTGGGTGCTGCTATAAGGATACCCAAAAATGTGAAAGTAACTTTGGAACTGGGTAACAGGCAGCGGTTGGAACAATTTGGAGGGCTCAGAAGAAGAAAGGAAAAATGTAGGAAAGTTTGGAACTTCCTAGAGACTTGTTGATTGGCTTTGACCAAAATGTTGATAGTGTTATGGACAACGAAGTCTAGGCCGAGGTGGTCTCAGATGGAGATGAGGAACTTGTTCAGAACCGGAGTAAAGGTCACTCTTGCTATGCTTTTGCAAAGAGACTGGCAGCATTGTGCCCCTGACCTAGATCTCTGTTGAACTTTGAACTTGAGAGAGACGATTGAGGGTATCTGGCAGAAGAAATTTCTAAGTGGCAGAGCATTTAAGAGGAAGCAGAGCATAAAGTTTGGAAAATTTGCAGCCTGACAATGTGACAGAAAGGAAAAACCAATTTTCTGAGGAGAAACTCAAGCCAGCTGCAGACATTTGTATAAGTAACAAAGAGCTGAATGTTGATAGCCAAGACAATGGGGAAATATCTCCAGGGCATGTCACAGACCTTCACAGCAGCCCATCTCATCACAGTCCCAGAGGCCAAGGAGGGAAAAATTGTTCTGTGGGCCAGGCCCGGGGACCCCCTGCTCTATGCAATCTCAGGACATGGTGCCCTATGTCCCAGCTGCTTCAGCTCCAGCCATGGCTAAATGGGGCCAACATACAGCTTGGGACTGTTGCTTCAGAGGGTTCAAGCCCCAACACTCGACAGTTTACATGTGGTTTTAGGTCTGTGGGTCCACAGAATTCAAGAATTGAAGTTTGGGAACCTCTGCCTGGATTTCAGAGGACGTATAGAGATGCCTGCATGTCCAGGCAGAAGTTTGCTGCAGGGGCAGAGCCTTCATAGAGAACCTCTGCTAGGGCAGTGTGGAAGAGAAATGTAGGATGGGAGCCCCCACACAGAGTCCCACTGGGGCACTGCCTAGTGGAGTTGTCAGAAGAGGGCCACTGTCCTCCAGACTCCAGAATGGTAGATCCACTGACAGCTTGCACTGTGCCCCTGGAAAAGCTGCAGACACTCAATGGCAGCCCATGAAAGCAGCCAGGAGGGGGGCTATACCCTGCAAAACCACAGGGGTGGAGCTGCCCAAGGCTGTGGGACCCCACCTCTTGCATCAGCAAGACCAGGTTGTGAGATATGGAGTCAAAGGAGATCATTTTGGAACTTTAAGGTTTAATGACTGCTCTACTGCATTTCAAACTTGCCTGGGGCCTGTAACCCCTTTGTTTTGGCCAATTTCTCTCATTTGGAATGCATATATTTACCTAATGCCTGTACCCCCACTGTATCTAGGAAGTAACTAACTTGCTTTTGATTTTACAGGCTCATAGGCATAAGGGACTTGCCTTGTCTCAGATGAGACTTTGGACTTGAACTTTTGGGTTAATGCTGGAATGAGTTAAGACTTTGGGGGAATGTTGGAAAGGCATGACTGCATTTTGAAATGTGAAGACATGCGATTTTGGAGGGGCCAGGGGCAGAATAATATGGTTTGGCTCTTATGTCCCCACCCAAATCTCACTTTGAATTATAATAATCCCCACCTGTCAAGGACAGGACCAGGTGGAGGTAATTAGATTATGGGGGTGGTTCCCCCATGCAGTTCTCGTGATAATGAGTGAATCCCACAAGATCTGATGGTTTTATAAGCATCTGGCATTTCCCCTGCTTGCACACATTCTCTCTCCTGCTGCCCTGTGAAGAGGTGCCTTCTGCTATGATTCTAAGTTTCCTGAGGTCTCCCCAGACATGTGGAACTGTGAATCAATTAAACCTCTTTTCTTTACGAATTAACCAGTCTTGGGCATTTCTTCATGGCAGCATGAGAACAGACTAATACAGTAACTGTAAGATAAATTTCCAGAAGAGGAATTGCTGGGTTAAATGTGAAAGCATTTGCCATTTTCCTCCTTTTGAGTGAACCATTTTGCTTCCTCATCAGCAACATCTCAGCCTTTTAGCTGGTATTCCTTTCACAGTAGATATTTACCCAGATAGACTCAACACCTCCTTTACTATCCTGACATGAAATTCTGAGACAATATAACCTAATCAAAGTCAGAATTTTAAAAAGACAGTATGATGCCTTATTTGGCAACAGCAAAGAGAAGTAAAATAAAAGTAATTTATAATAAAATAAGAAGTATTTAAATGAAATGCTCGCACAAGATGTAACTACAAGATCTAATGACATTATTAGCTGTTTGTGCTTATGTGCAGACTAACTGTGAATGCCACACCCCAAATGCAGACTGATACAGGTGTGTGTGTTGGTAACTCAGGATCTGTGAGCACAGTTGCTGTTGGAGATTTTCCAAAATGAAAAACAACAACAACAAATCAAACAAACCTCAAGCAACCAAACAACTTCTTGGTAAGGTTCTGAACAAAACAGAAGACAACCATGCCTTTATTTATATTGTAATTGCATTCCTGGAAAATATGGTGTTTATTAAAGCCATGCAAAAACTCCTCTTAATTTATGTACAAAATGGCTTTTAATGCTAGATTCAGATGCTTATAAGTGGGGTTTTTCTCTTACCTGAATGTTCAGTGGGGTACTTGAAAGTCCTTGCATGGGCCTGTTCTGCCCCTATCAACTAAATGCCAGTAGGACCCCAAGTCATGACAAACAGAAAAAATCCCAACTAGCCCAGGCATAGTGGCTCACACCTGTAATCCCAGCACTTTGGGAGGCTGAGGCAGGCACATCACTTGAGATCAGGAGTTCAAGACCAGCCTGGCCAACATGGTGAAACCCTGTCTCTACTAAAAATAGAAAAATTAGCCAGGCATGGTGGCAGGCCCCTGTAATCCCAGCTACCTGGGAGGCTGAGGCATGAGAGTCACTTGAACCTGGGAGGTGGAGGTTGCAGTGAGCCGAGATTGTGCCACTGCACTTCAGCCTGGGCAACAAAGCAAGACTCCGTCTCAAAAAAAAAAAAAAAAGTCCCAGCTGTTCAAAATGCCCCCAAGGGCAATGCCCTCTTGCGCACTGAGAACCACTGCTCTAGGGGCTCCTCCAGAATCCCTTCCATATGCTGGATCAGGTGAATGCTCCTAAAACATTCACTTCTGTGTCATCATCTTTCACTTCTGTTCAAACACCTCCAGCAGCTCCTCACTGTTGCAGGACAAAGTGCGACATCCTCAGCTAGGTGGGATGGAGTGCATAGGTCTACCAATGAAAGTTTTATTTCTCTGGATTCCATGCTTCAACTGAGAGTTGGGTGTTGAAATATAAGCTTTTGGGTGAAAATGGCAAGTAGTGCCCAATGCCCTGGTACTGCATTTGGCTTACTGGAAGGTGCTCCTGGTCCCTTATTCTCATGTAGCTGCAGGAACTCCCTGGTTCAAAGTGAGGAGATTCTCTTTAAGGGGTGTGTGCCTTTGGACAAGTGGCTAAATCCTTCTGGGCCTCAAGTTTCCTCTCTGTTAAAATAAGACTGCAAGACTAGATTGCTTACAGATCCCTTTCAGCACTGATTTTTGTGATTCTGGAAAGAATATTACAGTGTGTAAGTGGTAAGACCCCAAATCTTTGGACACTTTGAGTTCTGAGTTTATTAGTATTAGTTTAAATATTTTTTATTTTTGAGATACTAGGATATGGTTAGCGGGATCCATCTTAAATGTAACGTGCATAATGTTCTGCCTAAGATGGCCTGCGTTACAAATGCTCAAAACACTCTCCTCCTGGGACTGTGACTTCCTGTGCCTGGCCTCTCATCGCTACTCTCTAGTTGCCCGAGACAACTGCGAAATTCACCTGTGTCAGGCTGGCAACGCATAGTGACTTTATTACGAAATGTCTTCATGACCTTGGTGCCCAGGTGGTCTTCAGTATAGTCCAGCAGTCAAGCAGTTGCTTAAATATGACTTAAGCTGTATGACTTTGCCGTGCCTCGATGTTCTCATCAGTTAATAGGCACAACAATAGTATGGGTGTCACAGGTACTTTTTCTTCATACACAGTATTGTTTTTCCCTTGTCAAAGTGTATAATTGTGCATTTACCATTATGGTTTTTGCAGTAAAGCCTGTCCTCTTCGTAGTGTATAAACTCGGTGAGGGCAGAGAGCCTGCTTTGTTCACTACTGGCTTCCCAGCATGTCCTACTGTACCTATCAATAGAGGCTGATTGACAGTTATTGACTACATGAATGAGTGAAGGCATGAAGGGCGTCATCATATAGATACCATGTGGGAAACGGATGGTCTTACTAAGAGCTAGCATGCACTCACTCACTGGTTCATTCACTATGCTTTCATTTAGGAAGAACGATCCCGCGTTCTGATAGGAAAACACATTTTCTTCTAACCCCCAATTTGAGGGTCAACTCCTGGGACCCCTTGCCTCGGGGGTCAGGCCGCGCTTGGCTCGGTTTGGAAAGGGCTGGCACGCTTCCTCAGGCGGAGGGTATGCACAGAAGCGGAGAATTCATTATAACCGGTTAGTCATCCGTAGAGGCTGTAGACACTGCCCGCGGGCGGGGCGCACCTGGCGCTCCTGGAGAGGGGCCTGTTCCTTGCGTTGCCCCCCAAGGTGGGAGCGCGACCTGCCAGAGCCCAGGGGAGCTCGGGTCTGCCCGCACTCGGGAAAAGCACTAAGAGCCTCTCGGTAGCAGTCCTTCTCCCTCGCTGCCAACTCTGAGATCAAGCCCAACATCTGCAGGGGTAACTTTTTCCAGGGACTACTGGAAAGGAGAGCCGGCCTGGCTCCTAGCCGGACACCACCTGGCGGAAGCTGGAGCCCGCCCTTACTTCCCTGCAACCTGAGGATGCTGAGGCCAAGGGCGGGTGACGGGGCAGAAAGCAAAGCCCTGGTTGCAGAAAGGCATGCAAATATGAACCCAGGTGTCTGGTGCGCCGGGAGCCCCGGCGACGTTAGGAGCGCACTCCTTGCTGGGGTCACCGGAGTTGCGCTTGGCCGGGCAAGGATGACTCAGCCTCACTCCGGTCGGTCTTTACCGCCAGCCTGCGCGAGGGCTCCACAAAGTTCCCAATCACACCCCATACCTCGCACGGGGGAGAGGGGTTCTGCAAGCTGGGTCCCGGGGTGGGGGCAGCGGCGAGAGAGGCGGGGAGAAGCCTGGTTCCCAGAACGCGCAGGGGCTTCTCCGGCTTCCTTTCTCCTCGCCCCTGAGGGCGGCGAGAAGGCGCCTCCTCCGGCGCTCACTGCCTCCTGCCCAGTGCGGTGGGCGCCGGAGTGGGGAGCAGGCAATCCCCCAGGCTCGGAGAAATCTTTTATCCCGAAATCCAGGGTGTCCCCCGGTCAGGATCGACTCGGCGCCGCGTTGGCTTCCTCGCTCAACCCTGACATCCCGGTCCCCACCAGTCACCGCAGCCGGGCGGACTCCGAAGGCAGCGGCCGCTGGGGAGCCCCGGGGCCTGGGTCGGGCGCGCAGGGGGCCGCTGCGCTGCGGCCGGATGCCGGGAGCCCCGCGCTGGTGCGCCCAAGCCGTGGTGGCAGCACCGCCCTCCGTGCTTTCCCCTGTCGGGCGCCGCGGCCGGAGGAGCAGCTGCGGGCGGTCACGCAGCGCTGCCCTAGCCAGAGCCCCGAGCTCCCACCCAGTCCCATCCCCAGCCCGATCCGCCCCGCGTGCGATCCCGCCTGCCGCCGCGAGCCTGTGCTCCTTTCTGAGATTTCTGCTTCTTCCCCAGCTCCCTCCCCGCAGGAGAATCGCGCGGCGGGGGCGGAGGGCGCGCCCCCTTTAGGTTCCGCGGCCCCCGACCCCGCCCGGCCCAGGGGCGGAGCGGGCATGCTACGCCCTCTCCTAGCAGCCGCCCGCAAAGTGCGGAGCGCCGCGCCCTGCCCTCGGCTTCCCTCCCGCGCCCCCAACCCCCACCCTGGCTAGGGTCGCCCGGCCCGGGGCCAGCCCCAGAGTCGCGCCCGCGGTGGCGGACTGCGGAGTTGTAAAGAACTCAGCGGCCGCAGTAGCCCGGGTGGGGCAGGGCGCGCTCCGCCGCGGCCAAGGACACTGGAGTTTCCGAGTCCCCGCCCGCGCGGCGCCTCCTGCCCCGCCGCCCTCCCGCCGCGGCCCGCCGGACTCCCCGGGGCCGCCGAGGCGGGGCCGGGCGGCTGCTGCTGCTAGAGGCGCGTCTCGCTGCCTCCTCCCCCGCCCGCCTCCCTCCCCACCTCTCCTCCCTCCCTCCCCACCTCTCCTCCCTCCCTCTCCTCTCCGCCCTCCCCGCCCCCCCCACCCGCTCCTTTTTCTGCTCCCCAAGTGAGCCGGGCGCGCGAGAGGCAGGCGGGGCGGCGCGGAGCGGAGCAGGCAGCCCCGCGCGCTCGCCCACCGCCCGCTCCGCGCAGCTCCCCGCGGCCGCTCTCGTCGCCGCCGCAGCGGGCGCGTCGGAGGGAGCCCAGCATGGCCGGGCCGGGCTCGCCGCGCCGCGCGTCCCGGGGGGCCTCGGCGCTTCTCGCTGCCGCGCTTCTCTACGCCGCGCTGGGGGACGTGGTGCGCTCGGAGCAGCAGATACCGCTCTCCGTGTAAGTGCCGGCTCCTGCGCCGCCCGGGGAGGGGACCTTGCCGCCTGCGACCCACTGTGCCCAAGTTTGGGCGCCTGCAGGTGCGGCTGGGCAGGACCCGCCGCGGGCGTCGGCCTCGCCGCTCGCACCTGCCTTTCGGGACCCGCGTCGGGCGGCGAGGCCGGGGTGGGATGCTCTGGCCCCTGCCCGCAGGTTGCCGAGTGAGATCTGGAGAGGCTCACCTCAAGTGACGGCACCAACTTTGGAGCCTGGTTACCGAATCCAACTTCCATGGGCCGCTGAATTTCCCCCCTCTTTGCTCTACTGCCGCCCCACTTCTTTTTTTGGGGGGGGGATGGGTGGATTTCTTCTGACTGCTATTTGCCAGGTGATGCCCAGTTTGGGGGGTCGAGTCCTCGGGCAGTGGTTCGAATGAAACTCAGTGGTCTTTTTAGAGAGCCTGGGAGACTTTGCGCATTCTTAACTCCGCGACCCCCCTCGGGCCCCCTCCCGCGCTGCGCTTTGCAGTTTTGGTGCTGGCAGTTTCTACCAAGCCGCTTTTTCTATCTTTTCTTCTTTTAAAACATGTTACATCGCACTGCTCCTTCAGCCATAGTCCCATGTGTGCGTGTGCGTGTGCGTGCGTGTTGACTGTGACACGGGTGTTACATATCTTCCTGTGCCCCTTCTCCCTGTAGGGTGAAGCTCTGGGCCTCGGCTTTTGGTGGGGAGATAAAATCCATTGCTGCTAAGTACTCCGGTTCCCAGCTTCTGCAAAAGGTAAGGTTTCTGTGGTGGCAGGAAGCGATGATTTTTCCGGCACAGAAAATGGAGGCAGATTTAGTTTTCCAAACAAACGTGAGCCCCGAGCAGCATCAGTTATCGGAGGACTCTCTGATCCCCGGGTTTCTTGGCATTGTACTATGCAGTGACTTCTTCCTACCAACCGGTTATTTTTAGATGACACTTGATTCTAACCACAAAGAAAAGCAGGATACTCACTCGCACTGTCCTGGCTGGGGCTCGGAAACTGAGTGTTTTTGCATGGCTCTCGTCTCCGTGTCGGTATTGCTGTTTCAGTGCCAGAGCAGATGCTCCTCGGGCCAAAAAATGCTAACTTCATCCAAGGGGCAGACTCAGTGCCTATTTTGTGATGCCTTTCACCTTGCGTTGGAGGCGTGGGGTTCAGTGTATCAGAGAAAGACGCTGCACTATTGTTTGTCATCCCTGCAGTTGTACAATCCCATTATTCCCCAATCATCTAGACCCAGGGCTAGGATGCATTACATCATTGCAGATAAGGAGAATGAATGTGGTTATCTTTCCACTCAGCTGCACTGCCGGGTAATAACCTATGAGAGTAGTCCACAAACTTAAGAAATGGGTCTGCATCCATGTAATTCTGGAGAGTAATGAGAATGGAGAATTGATTATTAGGTTCTTATCACAAGCTGCATCAATTTTAATTCAAATAGGCAGCATTTTAAGCATAAGCTTAAAATTACATTGTGAGATAAATGGTCCTTCGTTCTCCCCTTCAGGAAATAAAGAAAAAAAAATGGGTCTGGGAGGAGAGATTAGAGGGGTTCAAAGAATTTCAAGTTAGCAGATCAACAGGATTAATCAAAGTATTCTCTTGATGATAGAAAATAAAATTGGCCTTTAGGGAATAATTCTCTGAAAATGGGTACAAACAGCTTAAATTGTTAAGTTAACTTTTAAACATTTTAAAATATGATTTTTGGGCCAATGTACCATATGTGTTATGCATGCTGCCTGGTAACCAAGTACGTATTTTATTTATGGCATTCCCCTTCAGAGAGTAGCATTTTTGGGGACAGTATATGAAACAGTTTGCCACATGAAATCCAAATATCGTAATAAAGCGTTGGCCCACCATGGAATGACAAAAGTTATTATGGTTTAAAAATCGCCAATAGCCTTATTCATTGAAACCTTATTCATTGAAAGATTGCTTGCTCAACTCTGTTGTTTGGGAAGGTGTTCTTGAATTATAGGCAGTTGGTAAACAGTTGAGGCTACGAAATGCCCTCGTGGAAGATGAGAATTTACATACCTGTGGCCCACCTCGGCACTTAAAGGAATTGCATAGGAATTGCCTCTTTCCCTAGTATTCTTTTAATCTGGACCAATCTGTCTCCTGCTTTGGCATTTTGCCCACTTGTCAGATGTTTGATGTGATGAATTCTGGACTGTAGCATTGCCTTTATATTTTTCTTATGCTTTTAAAGAAGATAACATTTTGTATAACTTTAAAGAAGTATTTCTCATCTGCACGTTGTAGTTGTAGCAACTCTAAAAGAATCCCTTCAGAGCCTGTTAATATTTTTTGGTTGTGCTTTCATATCTTTTATCCCACATTTTCTAGGAACACATTAAATATGTTTTTTTCTTTCTCTTTGAAGTTACACACACACACACACACACACACACACACACTGCACAAAACTCCGTCAACCTTATTATTTGCTACTCTATAACAGCAAATTGGAAAAGGCTGAAATGCTTCTCTTACCTTCTCATCAGCATCCTTTCTGATATTGAATTCACTAGCTTTGCTTTGCTTTTGTCATGTTTGCAGCTTGACAATTGTGTAATTATTTCCAGCTGTTTATGGCTTTGTTATCATTTCTTGCTGCTGCCTGGCATTTTGTAATCTGATGCGAGGGAAAGGTGAGGTGTTGCTTGGCATTGCGTTCCAGGGTGGGTGTCCACCCTAGTCCTTGGTTTGGAATCGTCTGCTCTGGGGGTCCTGAAATACTCACGGCTTTGGGTTACTTGGCAGAGACTTTCATAAGTGGTGGGGGAGCATGTTAGACAACTTGGGGAGCATTTTTCAGCTATGTTTTGGCTGTTTTGGTCCACTATCCCCGCAAATGCTTTTGTATTTTTAAAATTAGCAAAGAACATTGGTTTAGAGAGTTCAGAGTATGAATGGGAGTAGATCTGAGTGCTCAGAGTGTAGGAGACATAACATCATTTGGAAAAACAAGTGGATAATTGCTTCTCTTTTGCTAATTTTCAAGTTTCTGTCCATTTGCATGAGGAATTACTCCTCTAAGTCAGAGCTCTGTGCACCCTGCCATCATATCACTGTGTCCTTAACAATTAAGATGCTTTCAAAATGAGTTAGAAAATTTGGCTGGAAAATGCATTAACACTGTATTAAGGGGACTCAAAGATGACAATACTATGTTGTATAATAGAGTGTAATTGCTCTTTTTAAGGCATGGATTTTTAAACTTGATTTTCAGTTAAGTAAGGTGTGCTGTATACCACCATATAATTTTATGTATTTTATGTAGTTTCACTAATTGACACTTCATGTTGTGAATCAATATAGTGTGTTCATTTTTAGAATGGAAGTTTAGTCATTTTTGCACTAAAACATACACTTTACAAAGTAGTTATTATGAATATAAGTTAAATAATAATTGGCCATGCATCTATTTTAAGGTGTTTAGTGACTGGGAAAACTGCCATTTTGGTAACATGTTTTTATTAGGTGATATAATTTGAGGTAGCAGTATTGTTACTGACTTCATCAATGTAAACACAAACATTTAGCAATGTACCTTGTTATGGCTTCAGAAATAAGAGTATTTTATCAGTTGTTTCTATGTTTAATACCATGGGTTTTGCCGCTTTAGCCTATTATAATATATTAGGTATTCAATGCCAGATAGCCCCTATATTTTTTTCTTCTGTCTTTACTGAGCACAGGAATAGCAACCTGTTAGGTCCTTAGAAATAGGATAGTTTTGATTTTATAAAACGCAGTAAGCCATCTTTTAGGAAATTTGTCTGTTTTCAGTACAGAATGGAAGATTGTGGGACTTGTCTGTGGGCGCTGGAGTTCATCTTGAGGGGTTTTAGATGCTGTGAGAGAATAGCAGGCCCCTGGAGGGATGGTGCTGGTGCGCCGCTGTATGCCTGTGTGCTGCCTTGCTAAGCTGGCAGATACTGCAGGGGTTTCCGTTCACTTCAACTTTTAATTAAGTTTCTGATTTGATATATCCATGCCAGTCAGTATTCAGCTGCCTTTATCTTGCTTCATTTTCCCCGAAGAATGGACTTTGTTTGGTTCTTTTGGGGAGGCATAGTTTCATTACCGCTGTATTTTGGGATTCAGTGAGAAGCATTCTAGTAGGTCCGGGAACCTAGGCTGTTAAACTCAGTCTCCACACCTCTAACAATCACAATCAAAGGCATTAAACTGGCTGATTCTCATTTCATCCTCCTCAGGGAGAATTGGATAGGAGCTGGGTTTTTCATTCTATTTAGACCTGCATTCGGGGAACCAATGTTCACGGGAATGAAGGGTTCCAGTTACATTTTCCAGAATCATGATGATAAATACACAACGGAAATACAGGTAATGTGTGTCTCTGCCAGTAACGCTGGAACAGAATTGACATTTACCTTGGACGCCTCATGGAGCACTTACCAAACACGCACATCTTGGAATGCACAATCTGTTTTTTACATTATCAACTATTTATTGAGAGGGCAGCCTTAATATATAAAGTTGATATCTCTTTCCACAGGACAGAGTCAGCAAAGTAAAAGGTTGGTGCTTTAAGCCATTTTTATAATTATGACTTTTCATCAATGTGAAAATCGGTGGACTTTTAAATAACTGAATAGGTGTATTCACTTATCAGGAATTAGGTAGCAGTGCCTTGCTGCTCGTGGGAAGCCCAGCACTCTTCAGATTGCTCTTGTGGGGGAGGCGCTGTTTTGCTAACATTTTGTGTTGAATAAACACAGTTATTTGCCATCCTGAATGATAAATGCGTTCAACCTATGCTGCGGATGCTTTAATTCATAGCATTACTTTAAATACTGGACTTTTCCTTAGCAGGTTATTTTTAAAAGCTTGAAATCTCTGAAGTGACAGTTTTTAATCATTCAGGGCAGTTTATTGGTCTCATTAACACAATCACCCAGACAGTAGCAGAGCAGGGCAAACCAATGAGCATTCAGTTTGTGCCTCTTATGCATATAGCTCATTGCACTTGTAGAGTTACTCATGACCACTTGCTAACTTTCGGTCTGAGCCTTTTTTGCTCATTTTTTTTTTCTTTTCCTTTAACTTGTTTTTTTTCTCCTTAAAATTTCTTTTCTGCCAGATACATTTCTACTTTGCCTTTTCTCCCATTAGGAACTGCTGCGGCCTGTGTTGCTCAGGAGACCAACAGATGCTACTCAAAATTAAGGGAAAATGAAAATATAGGCATGGTTTTCTGGTTGGAGGCAAACTTCAAATTTTTAATTCCCATGTGGTTATAATTTTGATTGATTAGCATGGTGATCGCATGCTGATTTTAATTAATTAATTCTAACACTACTGCAATTTTTAGGCAAACACATGAATACCAAACCACCTGATAATTCTGAAATCCATTGGGCCTGAGCTGACACAGTTATTATTTCCAGTTTTTGATGAAGACATAGCCATATGTCAGCATGAGCAAAAGTAAAAGAAATGCGAAACCATCACACCCGGCACCTGTGGCCCTCCCAGGTGTTTCATTTCCCTAAAGTTTGAAGCACATATTCTTGGAGGTGCAGGTTTGGGATTCTAGCCTTCATCAGCCTTGGATTTATCTCCACTTGGTGTTTAGGGTTCCCACTTACATTGATCAATCCATGGTTTGGTGTGTTGGGCCTACCTAAAGAAGTGTACATTTTCACGAAGGAGCCTGTATTTCAGGCCTGTCACAAATCCTGATTTACCATCATAGATGCTATGATGCCAACAAACGGGCTTTTTCTTCACCCCAGCACATCTCCTCTGTCAGACATGAGCAGCAGCTACTTCAGGGGTCCCTCCATCTTTTGTAGTCACAGTGCTTGTTGGCACAGTCTTTGGGTTGAGACCACAGCATCTTCTACACAGGCAATGTTAGCAGATTGTGTGTTCCCTGGGACACTGTGATTTGACTTAGAGGTTTGCTGTGGCCAAAACTGAGAAAAAAATAAAACAGATGTTATAAAATGCCAACCTATGAATTAGCATATGTGATTTTTTTCCCCTTTAAATGTAATTTTTATACAAGAGACATAACGGCCTAGGTTTCATCTCGAGTGACTGCAGTGAAGCTTTTGTGTATCATTCAGTGAAAGGAAAAGTTCCTAATGTCAGGCTTCTGGTAAAACTGACAGAATCCTTATCAGCCCTCTTTGGTCCATTAAACAAAATTTTGCTTCTCCTTTACAGGAAGAAAATGATATGAGGAAGAGGAGGATGCTTGATTTTTTGTGATTTTCCTAAATATTTAGTGACCAACAGACTCTGTCTGAAGTGGTTGTTCTATAATGTAAAACCAGACTCTAAGCCCCTTCGACAGCCCAGTACTTTGGCCTGTACTTACAGCTCACCCTTGGCAGATTAGGTATTTGTATAGCTGATGTGTTTTAGGGGATTTCTGTGTGCATAGCCAGCACGTCTACTTTTCAGAAGGGAATTATTTTTTACAAATACATACTTGAAAATAGTCCAGTTCATTTCTAATAAATGGTAAACATTTCAACTTCCATTTGCTTTGAACAACACTCATTGGGTGCTCATTCCAAGGCTGTTTAAGGCACTAAATTTATAACATGTATTAAATTTATATGTTGCATAGCTTCCCAGTTACCCCAAATCAACATTATGAAAATAAACAACTCAGAAACCAAACTATTGGCGCACATTTCAAGGCCATATTGGAAAGGAAAGCATTATCTTTTCACAAGAAATGGATGGCTGTTCCTTCACTTTGTGCACTTCAGAGTATTTATCTTGGCACCTGTTAATGGAAAACAGTACCCTCCCAAGGTTAAAAGGACTGTTATGCATGTAAATGATCTGGACAGGCAAGGTGGGTAAGGCTATAAATGCTGTGGGTTCACAAAACAGACCTCGAGTTTTCCATTTTAGGTGAAACAACTGCCAGTTGATATTTGGGGCCTGCACATGCCATTACCGTAATACTTATTAAGTGTGTGTATGTGTGCGTGCCTGTGCCAATAAAAATGGATGCTGCTCATCACAGAACGTGCCAGATAATGCTTGCTGATGGGGAAGACTGTTCTTGTCCTCTTGGATGTTAGAGAGGCTGACTTGAGAGAATGAACCAGGGCAGTAGGACAGAACTGAGTCACGCCAGTCCAACAGGCATGGATTTGTTCAGCGTCTGGAATTTTGTAGGCAGTTGAATCTGAGGACTTGCTGAGATCAGAACTGGCTATGTAATTTGTGGTCCTCAGTGCAAAATGCAGAATCCCTTGTTAAAAAATTATTAAGAATTCCAGGATGTGGCAGCAGAGCCTCAGACCAACTGCGGGGCCCTGGCTAAGCCTCCTGTGGGACAGGCTGTCCTCGTTTTGGCTTTCTCTCTTTCCTGCTGGATAGCTTACCCTCTCAGCTCCATTCAGTCTAGGAGGCTTCCTTTGCCCACCTTTGTTCCATCTCCAATGAAATCATTTTCTTATTTTATGAGTAACAGGTCAAGAGCTTGGAGCATTTTCAAAGATTCACATCTTTGGAGATGCTGTGTTGTTAAAGGAAGGGTCATTGGCCTTAAGCAGTGGCATCTCTCTTTTTATCTTTTCTGTGTGCATTTCCACCGTGGCCCTGGGCAAATTGCTTAATCTAATAGTAAAAACAGGTAACGCTCAATGCTGTAGTTTCTGCATTCCAGGTACTGTGATAAGCCCTTTACTTATGACATCCCATTAAATTCTCCCAGCAACCTAATGAGGTAGGGACTACCATTCACCCCATTTTACAGATTGCGAAGCTGAGGCTGGCAGAACTGAAGCAGCCTCCCCAAGGTGACTGAGCAGGGTCTACACATCTGGCCACAGTGCTATATTTTCTTGTCTTTGCGTGATCCTTTCTGACCTTAGTTCCTATTTGAAAAGAATGTGCATAATACCTGAATTTTCGATCTCACAGGTGTTTGGGAGGATTAAATGAGAAACATCTGGGATATTAATTCAGAAACAATTAAAGCCTGGGTTAACAGCTGAGAGGGCATAGCCTTGGAGTCAGATGGGCTTGGATTTGAGTCCCAGATCTGACATTTCCTCTTCAGCGTTGCCTTGTAGTTTAACATTTCTGAACCTATACCCTTAAATGAGAAAGGAGACCAGTACCTTCTATCTTATAGGCTGTGATGAAGGTTAAATGAAATAAAATATGCAAAGCACTTAGCACTGTGCCTGGCACATTGGCTCCTGCCAGTGAGTTGTTGTTGTCATTCCTAGTTGCAATATACAAATACAAGCTCTTCAGGTAATCTTCATTGAGCTTCTGTGGGGCCTGGCTGCATACATACATGTGTACTTGGTGAATGAGCAAGTGCATGAATGGGTGAGTGCCAGGCATTGGCATGTAGGCAGATGATCCCCAGCTGACCCCTGATGAGAGCACTTCAGAGCAGGAGGAAGGCTGCAGTGGCGGCGGCCTCTGTCAAGATATGCACCCTTCCCCTAGAGATCAGCTCCCTTCTCCCTGAGCATGGGGGGAGATGCCCAGAGAAGCCCATCACCCAAGGAATTGGGGTTGCCACATCTGCCCCACAGCCCAGAGTGAGGTCCTTATGCCACAGGAGATCCCAGCATACCCAGCCATTTCCCTTGCTGTGGGAGCTTGTTCAGAAGCCAGCTGCAGATAACCTCTAATCCCGATGCCCCCTTGGGCAGCATTTCAGTTGTTTAGGACGATATGTGGCACCTGGGAAGCCTTGGTTCTCAGGCCATCCTCTCACTTATACTGTCCCACTTCATTATTCATGAACAAGAGAGACTTGGAATTTTTGTCACTTTGATCCCATAATTAGTTCATAAAATTAAGGCAGTGTATGTTATGCACATTTAGTGTGGCAGGGGCACAATGACAAATGCATTTATTATGTCCCTAGGGAGGTGGATTTTTTTTTTTGCTTTCTTTCCAAAATCCTCCTAATCTTGTCCTTTGCACAGCAGAAGTGGGCAGCTGTAAGACTAAAATTTGCTGTTGCTGTAACATTGTGCTATAATTTGCGAAGCAAGGTGAAAGTTGGAAATATAGGGCAGGTGTTTGACTCTTTGTACATGTGCCATCCATAACGCCTTTTCCATTGTATTGTTTGAGGCAGAGGTGGAACAATATTGTAAAAAGAACAATAGATGTGGGAGACAGTAAATTTACTGGATTCAGGTAATCTACAGTCGCGAGTCATAACATCCAGCTTTACGCTCAGCCTCCTACTGGTTTTCATTATTAGTGAAATGTCTGTTAGTGCAATATGACTGCGTCATGTACAAACAGCTCAATGGGCATAGGCTTTTGCCCCACTGACATAATAATAGTCATTTGACTTCTGGAATGCTAATGCTACGTTTGGATATTCTTTCCTCTTGACTTTGGCCTAGGTCCCTGTTGGAATGCTATTGTCATTTGCTTTTATAATACGAAATTCGCACACCAACTCAGACAACACACTTCAGACAAATCATTATCTGGCAACCAATAAAGGGTGTTTGTGTGCGGGTGTATGTGTTTTATATACATGGGTTGTTTTCCTTTGTTAGTAAATACTGGTAACTAATTTAAAATTCCAGAGTGTGTGGCCAAGTTCGAGTATTTCAGAACATCAGGAGCCACCTGGTCGCCCTGAAGTAAGATGTAATCCTCTCAGGAGAGGGCTCACAGCTCACTAATCTTTTGAAAAAGTCAACAGTATACATTTCCTGGAACGGGAATTTCAGAATTATAGAGCCATAGCTGGATTTTCTACTTGAACAGCGAGGTTTTCAGTTTTTTTGCTTGAAACAAATGCTTTATGAATGATAGGAAAAAAATATGTATACTTAGAAAGAAATCAGAGGATTGACTTTTAAAAATCTACTTTTAAGAGAGGTGGCTGGTCTTGGGAAGGCAGAACTGTGTAGAGTTGAGAGTCTGAATCTGAGTGACGACAATCTGGGTTTGAATCGAGATGCTACTGCTGACTGGTCATATGACCCTGACAAGTCAGTTGCTGAGCCTCAGTGTTCGCACCTCTCAAATGGGCACAATGGTACTAACTTCTAGGGTGAGTTGAGAGGCCCAAATGAGAAGATGCATGCAGGATGCTTGGCAATAAGTGACTCATGGGAAGTGTATAGAAAAGGTAGACTGTTGTCATTGTTATTATTATTCTCAAGGAGTTGCTTCTACATACCAGCAAGTGTTGGTTGCTAAAGACAGTAGTTTGTCCACTTGAGGGGTTGTTAATGCCAAGCCACCTGGAGGCCTTGTTTTGAGACCTCCATCAAAGTTGCCTACAACTCAGCTCTACAAGGGGTTTTCGGCAGTAATAATAATAATGATGCAGGCGTTTTTTGTATTTTATGATGTGTGCTTTATTTATGATATATCATTTAATTTCTCATAGCAACCCCTGAGGTCAGATCTATTATCATCTGCATCAGTTTTAGAGATGCAGAAACGTCTTTAACATCTGAGACAGAGGATGTAACTTTGCCCCAGGCTACATGGCTCCACGTGGCAAAGGCAGACTCTGAGTCCGCATCATGTGAATCCCAGTTCAGGTGCTTGAGCTGTTGTCAGGTCAGAGGAAAGGCATTTGGGGGATTTCTAGGACCAACCATTTATCCTTTGCATTGGTGTTAGTGTGGTATTGGCTCATCAGAGCGTTTGGTGGAAACTTCTCCACACCCTTAAAATTGTCCCCGGTGGAATTCTTAGTCTTGTTGCTTGGGCATTGTCATTTGCTTTCATAATGCGGAACATAAAGGGGTAAGAGCTGGAATAAGAGGAGGGCTGGTGAGCCCTCTAGCTTTCTATACTTCTCCCTTTTTGTCATAATAAACTGATGCTGCTTATCTTTTAGTTGCCCTTGAGGGTCAGCCCTCCCCTCATGTGGTCTGACTCCTAAGATGCGTTTCTGAGAATCTAATTGAATTTGGCTAAGTTTTCCTTTGTGTATTCCCCATTAAGGTAATGGATGATGGTGTAGGAAAGCCAGTGTGGGCTCTTAAACTCTGGGACCAGATGGATCTGGCTTTGAGATCTGGCTGGATTCTTAGCGTTCAGGGCCTCAAGTTCCTTACCTGTAAAATGGGGTCATGATAGGGAGGATTAAGTACGGAGGCATGTGACGGTCTTAGCACAGAACTGTACACCCAGGAAGTGCCGAGTAAATTTTAGCTTCTCTGTTTTTGTTATTCCTATTCTTTGTCTGTCTTTCCTAGATATTTATTGGTGCTTATTTTTTTTCCTTTTGATAAAGCCACAGTTCTGTTTTTCTGTACAATCGACAGCTAGCTTGAAAGCCACAGCCCTGGACTCACTAGGATCGATTTTATTTTGCTTGGAGTGAGTCTTGTTGCAGGGCCTTCTGTGCCTTCGGCAGGTCTGGGGTTCTGGGTTGTGTGAAATCCTGTGAACCCCTTATCTCCTTTGGTGGTGAGCGGGGAGGGGTGAGCAGAAGGCTGGTAAGCTAGACCTTAAATTTCCCCAGGGCGTGCTTGCTCTTTCTGACCTGGAGAGGCTCCCCCTGTGGCACTTAGCACAGAGCGATCTATGGGGTGGGCTTCAGGGGTTGTTTGTATGTGGCCAGCACGAAGGTACAGATAAACAAAGGGAGGAATAGCCGCCCAGCCTTTTCCCTGTCCTTGCATGCTAGTGATGGAAATAAGAGCACCGTAGAGCACAGGCAGATCACCAGGTCCTTCACAGCCCTTTCCCCATTTACTCTCCAACGCCAGGGTTTTATGAATCCCAACATTGGGCATGGATGCTGCAAAAAGTGGGGGCTGCCTTCCAGCTACAACAGTCCAGCCCCAAAGCCCTGCAGGCAGGTCCCTTGCCCACAACCCTTGCAGTGCCAGCAGGGACTGCCAGACAGCAGAACAAGCCGGTCCTCAGTTCTCCTAGCTGGCCTTCCCCCTCCTTGCCTCTGGGAGCATCCCTGCCCATCTGGGTCAGCACGCTAGAGGCATGCTAGAGTCTCCCCCAGAAGCATCCAGTTGGGCTGAGGGGTCCAGGCGCCTCTGCAGTACCAAGCTGAGCAGCTGCTGCGGGAGCACCGCAGTGCAGGGCGGGTGCACGAGGAGCACCAAGCGAGACTGATGGGGCCCTCGCAGCCGCCACCATCAACCTGGGGGAGGCAACTCAGCAAAGGCAATTAGGAAGCTGCTGCAGCTAATTCCATAAAGCGCTTGAGTGCCACATTATCACTGATATTAGGGAGAAATGTGAATTTTAATTTCTGTTCCCTTCGCCTTCACATGGGGTTGAGGCCCTGCCAGCATCAAGATGTGTGCGTGGTGTTTGCTATGATCTCACCTTCTCGGGGAGCTGCTTCTTTAGTTTGTTTATTTGTTGTTTATATCACCGGGGCTGAATTTCTGAGTCTGTGCTTTGAAGGCTACTGGGAGCTGCATCATCTTACCTCTGCAACATACCTGCAGCATCCACAGAACGTTCCTTGGGTGATCTCACTGCTGCACCCTGCATGGGGCCTGTCAGGCATCTTCATGCAGGAGGAAATCTTTAAGAGTGGCCATCAAGTGAGTTTGGGTTGTTTTTATTTGCATTTGCATCCTGCAGGCACAATGGTCTGCTCTCTTCCCCAGGCGCAGCCTGCACCAACACACCCCCGGACATGAGGGGAGATAGCTGCTGGGAAGTGAGAGTTATATGGATTTAATGGGGGGCAGTTTTGCCAAAAGACATTTCACTCCAGCCTCTGCTTCCTTCAGATATCAGGACTGAATATTGTGTTGTGAGGCTTTTGGAGGAGTCTTGCCTCCAGCGCCTCCCTGGGATGTGACTCCTCCTTGGAGCTATGACTTCTGCTACGTAGAGCACTGTGTGCCCTGAGTGAGCAGGATCTGATGCCCACCTTGCACATTCCTCCTGAGCCTGACCTACTCATTTAGAAGGAGATGAGAGGACTTTGGAGAGGGGGCAGGTCTTGGGAAACAGTCCCTCCACCTGTGAGTGTGTGTGAGGGCTCAGTGGCCTGCCGCAGGTCTCACAGTGAATCAGAAATGGGCCAGGTCCTGAATGCTGGAGTCCTGACTACCAGGCTTGGGCCCGGGCCAGTGTATTGAGGCCACAGATGGAAGAAGGGTTCCACGTCCCACCGTGGGCTTCTTGGACGACAGGGGGAGGCAGCCCTGAGCCCCATGCCTTGTCTGCTCCCTGTCCCATGCCTTTCAAAGCTACCCAGCTGATCTCCACTGGAAATCTGTTCTAGTTTATGCGGAAGGGTGTGTTTGTGAACTCTCCTCAGATTCAATTGCATTTGAGCCTGAATTTCACCTAGAGAAAATGTTCCTCCAGTGCATCTATTTTTAACAGCCAAAATATTTGGTCCCAGTGTGTCATCAGGGAACAGTCCCCTTATTAACATTATCTGTATAAGTGAAGCTGATAGGAGACAGAACAATTAGTCAATCGTTTATTCAACACTAATAAACTATCTGGAAACCTGAAGCCTCCAACCTTCTCCTTTTCCTCAGTTGAGGTTCAGATGATCAAATGCTTTCTTTTGGGTAGAATATCATGGTTTAGGGGAATCTTTAGCAATCTTAACAGATTCCCAAGCATACATTTGCCTTTGTCTAAATGTTGGACATCCTTTTCTTTCTTCCTTCTCTCACTTCTTCCTGCTTCAACAAACATCCATTGAATACTCAATGAGGTGTGCAGAGCTATGTTGGGCACCCAAATCCCTTTGCTGCTGCATCCACCTTTCCCATCCTCACCCTGAGTGCTTCAGTGACAGCACACTGCTTGAGTTCCCTGCACACATCCGGCTGTGTCACGCCTCTGTGCCCATGCCCGTGCCATTGCCCTGTTTATACTGCCGACCCTGCTGTCCTTGTCTGGCTTCTGAGCCTCAATTCTACAGGATGTCAGGCTTTAGCCTGCAGAAATGTTACCTGGGGAGCTTGTTAAGATGCATTATTTCAGGAGCCTACTCCAAGAGACCCTGGCCCAGTAAGCTTGGCCCCGAGCCCCAGAATCTGCATGTGAACAGACATCTCAGGTGACTCTCATTTGGTGGTCCGTGGACCACGCTTTGAGAGACACTGTTTACATGTTGTCTCTGGGAAGGCTTCTGGCTTTCCCTAAAGAGACTCAGTCATTCCCTCCCTTCCATTCTGGCCTATGCACATCTTGATTGCTGCCCTGTGCACCTCTTCTCTCCCGGCCTGTGCACATCTTCCCTCTGTGATTTTTTTACAAATCCGTGTGCGTGGAGGCTGTGTTGTCCTGGGCCAGAGGCTGGAGCTGCTCTTCCCCTGAGCCAGGTCTGAAGCATGGGCTGGCACAGGGTATAGCCTTTCTCAATGTGGGCGGCATGAATGGAGATTTTCCCTGCCATAGAAATGAGGGCTTTGGAGCAAGTCAGACATTTTATCTTTTAAGTCCAAAGGTACCCACATACACGTCTGCTTGTTGAAGCAGTTTATTTAGAAATCACTGAGCACAGTTGAGTGGCCATTCTCCAATTTGTGAGATGGAGGGAAATTTGTTGACCTGTCACCGATGGCTTTTCTTCTTACCAAATAGGTTACCGGGACCTGTGGTTACTAGCCCTTTAACAGAAAATTGTTTAGTGAACATCAGTTTGAAAGACGCCATCTGCTTCCTATAAAAGCCTGCTCCTAATCTCCCTGGTGCAAGAATTGCTCCCTCAGGGGCCTTTTGGGCACAAAACTGTGTTTTTTTTCTAAGTCAGTGCCTTTCAAACTTCTTAAACCGTGGCTTACAGTAAAGAATACATGTTACATTGCAACCCGTTACAACCTCACATGTGAAACATGTTTCATGAAACATCACTTAGTCTTATTCTTTGCAGTGCAGGCTGGTATTTTGTACTTTATTCTATTATAGTCTATTCAACGCAAGTTGACTAGACGGGACTCTGTTGTACTCTATTCTACACTATTCTACTCTACTCTGTTTTCTATTCTGTTCATTTTAGAAGGCTGACTCTGACCTATAAATTGATTTCACAATATAATAAATGTGTTTTAAAAACCCGTGCTCTAAATGTTACCGGGGTAAATTATAAGTTAGTTCAGTTTTATTCTGGGAGGTGCAGCATTGATCTTTGAGACCTAGGCTGTGTTTTCCCCAGTAATAACGATCAGTGGTGATAGCTAATGCTTATGAGCCAGTCACAGTGCTGTGCTGTCTGTATAAATTTCATTTCACCACTGCGACGATCCCATGGGACAGGTGCTCTGATGGCATCATTTTCCAGAGGAAGACATGAGTTCATGGAGGTGATGTGACTTGCCCAGGGCAACACAGCTAATAAGTGGTGGCCTCGATTTGTGAATCCAGCGCTGTCTGAACATGAAGCCTGGACTCTCAACTGCATTTGCATTTGCCTCTTCCTTTGCCAGCAGCCACTTTAGTTGGTTCCAAGTGTTAGCACTGGGCTATGCAATGTGGAAGGCCAGAGAGAGGAAATTTGGAGATGGCATGCTGGGGAGCAGTGGGGAGGACATGTGAGAGAGAGCGGGGAGATTGGAAGAGGGCAGTCTGTGAAGCTTGGGGTGAGCGGTGGTCCTCGGAGCATCTGGTATTTTGCCTAGCACCTAGAGAACCTGCAGTGTTTTTGCATCTCTGGTTATAGTGCCTGCCTCCTCCTTAAAGCACCCACTGCATCCGGTGTTTGTTATTGTACTTGCTGGACAAATACTTGTTTTCACATCTCCTTCTCTGACCAGGGGTCATTGTTTTGAGGCCAGAAATGATGGCTTGTACTTCTTGGGATGCCAGGACCTGGCCCAAGGAGATGTCACCAGGGTTTGGTGACTGATTGAGTGTATGAGGATATCGTTTAAGTTAATCCTCATAACTAGCCCATGAGTCATATTCCATCCTCATTCTGCATTTGGGGAAGTAGAGCCCAAGATCACGAAGCTAGTGATGGAAGAGCCAGGTGAAGGACCACCATCCCAGATGAAAAGGTGACTATTATATTTGCATGTGTTTGTTTTTTGTTTTCTGAAGATTAATTTTGTCTTGTTCCACCTCCTCCTTAGGATTTCTCCTCTTACCATCTGGATCTGGTTTTCTGTATTTGGATCCCTTTTCTTTTTGTTGTTTGGGCAGGATGTGGTTGGACCAGAGAGACACTGGGCTGGAGGGGGCAGGAGTCTGGCCTGGGGTCTGGACGTCCAGGTTCTAGTTCTGGCCTGACACTGCTGAGCTTGGGGATCTGGGGCAGCTCGCTGCTTCTCCCTGGGCTTGCCTGCAGTAGAGCTCAAAGGTCAGCACAGTTCCAGAGGACAGCACAGTTCCAGAGGACAGCAGATCCAACCTCATTTCCTGGTGCGTTCCACCATGAGATGGGTGGCACTTGGTTCTGGGCTTTCTTCTTTTCACTTTGTCCCAGTGTGCCCCCATCCCACCCATACCTGTTGCCCTGCAGCTGTCTGCATCAGGTGTCTCTGTGAGTGGAGGGAGGCATGCACGGGCTGCTGTCCCCACCTCGGGGTGCTGTCCAGCAGGCTCAGCAGACTCACGCCTGCCCACGCTCTGCAGACAAGGCAGACTTAGCTGAATGGCCAAGAGAAGACTAAAGTCGCATTCATGTCAGAGCAGGCAGAAATGACATAGCATTTTGGCAAATTCTTCTCTGCATTTTTGCTGACATTATCTCCCAGGAGCCCTTGTACCGCAGCCTCATTCTTAGAGTTGTGTATGGGAATGGAGTCTTCCTTGAATGTAAAAGGCAAAAATAAAAGGGACTAAAATATTTGACATATGATGAAGTTCTGTGATATTTTAGACAGTGAGTAAATTGGTATTTATATAACCTGGTATATTCATTTCCCTGATCCACCCTCCCTTGAATGTTGACTTAATAACATGCCTGACTAAATGACGTTAATTGCTTTAAACTGCCAAATAAAAAAAAAGCCAGCATTCATTCAACAAGTGTGGTGTGTTCACAGCCCAGGCTGGAGGCAGGGAGGAGAGCTGAGTTCTCTCTGGGGATGGAAGGCTGAGATGTAACCTGAGAGGCTTAGGGGAAATGCACATCTCAGGAACACTGGCTGCTTGGGCCAGACATAAGCAATGGAGCTGAGGGGTGAGGTTCCTGAAACCGGAAGCTGGCCGTGGGTTCGAATCCTGGCTCCACCAGTGGCTTAAAGCAGTTTCTCAGCTTCTCTACTTCCCATTTTCCTCTTCCTTAAATGATCCCTATTTCATTGGACTGTCATGAGGATTAAATTGGATCAGGAATTTAAACTTTATCTCAGTGTCTGGCAGTCATAGGAATTCAGTGAATGGGCAGCAACCATTATTTTAATTCTTGGCATCAAAGGTGAGACATCTCCTTGGGCCAGGTCCTGGCATGCCGTCATTCCTGGCCTCAAAAAGATGATCCCTGGTCAGAGAAGGAGATGTGAAAACAAATATTTGTCCAGCAGGCACAAAAACAAATACTGGATGCAGTGGGTGCTCTAAGGAGGAGGCAGCCACTATAACAGAGATGCAAAAACACTGTAGGTTCTCCAGTGCTCAGCAAAATACCAGGCGTTCTGAAGACCACTGCTCTCCCTGGGCTTCACACCCTGCCCTCTTCCACTCGCCCCACTTTCTCTCACATTTCCTCTCCATTGCTGCCAGGCATGCCACTCCCAAATTTCCTCTATCTGGGCCTTTGACATTGCATAGCCCAGTGCTAACACTTGGGACCAACTAAGGTGACTGCTAGCAGAGGAAGAGGCAAATGCAAATGCAGTTGGGAGTCCAGGCTTCGTGTTCAGACAGCCCTGGGTTCACAGATCAGTGCCACCACTTATTAGCTGTGTGGCCTTAGGCAAGTCACGTCACCTCTCTGGGTTGCACACCCACCCTCTGATGTCAGTGGTAATGCCTCATCCAGAGAATGTTGGTTCCCTAGAGCAAGACCTTTGTTTGGTTGGTCCTGGGCTCTCAGTTGCTACTGCCTTCGGATTTTTGGCTCCTGTAATAGTCTCTGTCAGAAAATATCTATGGAATAAATGAATGAGTGAGTGTGGAGAATGAATGAACACTTTACCAGCTGAGAAAACTGGGGCTTGGAGAAGTCAGTGAGATCAAAAGAGACAAAACAGAGGTCTGCCTGGTCCTCAGCCATGACTATAAGCTAGTGGGGGCTCGTTGGCACCTCTCTGTGGTGTTGTCTAAATTTCCAAGAGAAACACTGTCTGATCTGCAGGTGAAACCTGTGTGTGTGTGTGTGTGTGTGTGTGCGCGCGCGCGCGTGTGTGCATGCATGCCTGAGATGTGTCATATTAGATGTAGACTCATGGTTGTTTAGATGATCAATTCTCATTCTTGGGTGCAATGGCATACTGGTAACCCTTCTCTATTTGGGGGAAAAAATTCCCTAAAAGCTCTTATGTGCTGAATTAACCACAGAGTCCCCCTAGGAAGTCGAAACAGCCCATACCCAAGGCTCCATTCAAAGTGCTTTTTCTGGGACTTAGTAAGGGAAAGTGTTTCCCATTGAGCTCCCTGTGTATGTATCATCTTTGCCTTGTTTATTGCAATAGTGACTTAAGCCTCCCAACCAACCTGTCCAAAACCTTCATTTTCCCGAGGCAATGGTCTATGAAACTTTACTGCTCATCTGCTTTCTCAGGTCCTGTTTTGTGGGCAAGAATGCTGGGTTAAGAGAGGAAGAGAAGGAGAGGCAGAGGGGCTGAAGTGTGAAGAAGAGCACTTTGTATTCTTTTTTAAAAAGTCCTCGAACTCAGCCCTTGAATAGTGCAGTATAAATTTGAGAGATGATGGCTATTAATACTATGCTTCTTGTGTAGCAGCTTTTAATCCAGGATGTCAAAATACATCAATAACACATTCTTTTTCCATTTCTCCACTTCATTTGTAGGGAGGAACTGGAGAGCATCTCCAGAGAAAATGTTACTGCCTTGGTCCCCAGCAGAAGCACAAGAAAACAACCTGAATTTGATAATTTTATCCATTCATTTATTCATTCGTTTATTCAACAAACATTTTTGCATCTTGCTACTCTGTCCAGGTATCATGCCGGCTCTTGGATTAGAAGAACAAGCAAAATAAGATTGCACCCTCGTGGAGATTACAATCTAATGTGAGAATCAGGCATATCTCAAATAATTAGACTAATGCATGCAAGTCTCCTTGCAGTTCCATGAAGGAATGCTGATAGTTCATGACCTGAAGACCTGCTCTGGTCTGGGTTCGGAGGAGGCTTGCCAAGGCATGATTCTTTACTGAGACCAGAGGGATGAGGAATTACTATGACAGAAAGGTGGAAGAGGGGTCCCTGGACCCTTTGTGCTGCTGTGACCCTTTCCTGTCCTGGTCCAGCGTCACCCTCACTGCTCCTCCTTGTGTGAGTTCAGGGACTTATCCTGTACTTTCTTCTTGGCCCTTCGTTCTCTTGTTTCTACTGCCCCAAACTCCCTCCCTTGCCACTATAGCAGCTTGTTAAATTCTCAGTCTTCCTGGCCTGATTCTTTAGTTCAGCAAAGAGCTTTTCAGTTCCTGCTATGCCAGGGGCTCAGTGCTGGGCTCTCAGTTGCTACTGCCTTCAGGAAGCCTTATTCCAACCTCCTCCTCTTTGTACCTCACTTTGTTCATTATAGCTGACCTTGATTTCTAATTACTGTTGTAGTATCCGTGGGCCCTTTCCTCAGCTCCACAAGTGTTTCGAGGCCCTTTTCTCATCTTTGTTTTCCTCTTGGCTCCTTAGGGCAAAGCCTGATGATGGTGATGATGATGATGATGATGATACACTACTACTTGTTGAACATTTAATGTAAGCCCAGACAGCATTCAGAATACCTAAGACATATTACCTCACTAAATCCTCACAACCCTGTGAGCAAGCTACTCTATTACCATCCATATTTAACTGATGAAGAAGCTGAGGCATGGAATATGTTAATTGGCTTTCCCAAAGCTATTTGGCTAGGAGGCAGTAGAGCCAGGATTCCACAATGGGCATTTTGACTCCAGTGCCTATGTCTGTAACCACTATACTATACTTCCTTTCTCTCATGGCCTGCATTTGTGGAGTTGTATCTGTGAAAATGATTGTGCTAGTTAGGGACAGGTATAAGCCATCCCTCTCCCTGAGTGTGTACAAGTACAACAACCCTGAGTGATAAGGAGTAACTAGCTAACACTGGTTCTCCAAGTACAGTGAAAAGCAGGCTGTGACTAGGTTTCTTTGCTCCAGAATTTGTTCCCATCACAGGAAGTAGGTAGCAAGGCTAAGACACACACTGGTTATACCAGCAACAACTGCTTGGTTCTGGCCAAATTCTTTTGTCCTAGTTGCTTTTCTTCCCAGGATTGAAGAAGCTCCCAGGGCAGTTGTCATGTAAGTGGCTTCCCCTCAACACAAATGCTGAGTTCATTATTGCAGGTGTGGATGTTTTGTATGATGGCACGGGCTTCAGAAGTGCTAGAGACAAGAATTTCCTTGTGTTCATGTATAAATGCTGGATGACTGCTGGGAAGAAATAATAACTATGATCAACTTGGAGCTTTTAAAATTATAAAACATTGCCTGTTCACTATGGAAAATTTTGGAAATAATGGATAAATCAAAAAGCAAGTAACAACAAACTGCTATCCCATTATTCTGGCCTTGTCATTGTTAATTTTTTTATTTTTATTTTTATATTTTTGAGATGGAGGCTTGCTCTGTCGCCCAGGCTGGAGTGCAGTGGCGTAATCTCAGCTCACTGCAAGCTCTGACTCCCGGGTTCACACCATTCTCCTGCCTCAGCCTCCCAAGTAGCTGGGACTACAGGCGCCCGCCAGCATGCCTGGCTAATTTTTTGTATTTTTAGTAGAGACGGGGTTTCACTGTGTTAGACAGGATGGTCTCGATGTTCTGATCTTGTGATCCACCTGCCTCGGCCTCCCAAAGTGCTGGAATTACAGGCATGAGCCACCGTGCCTGGCCGATTGTTAATATTTTGATGTATTTCTTTGAGTCTTTTTTCTTTTGCTTACATGTATGTATATTTGTGTATATGTATATGTACTTTACATAAATGAGATCATATTGTATCAGCTATGTTATAATGGGAAGATATTTTAAAGCAGATTCAGGCAGTACTGTAGGGACCACAAAAAATGCTGCTTTTTCATATGATAGATAAAATTTATCCTCTTCTTTGAAAAATTGGAATGTACCAGATGATACAAAAAGAAAGAAATTTCTGAATCTTATGATGCAAGAATATTCACATTAAAATTTTGCAGCATTTCTTTCAGGCTGCTGAAAACTGAAATCAGATTGTCAACATAAAGTTATTTTGCATTTTCTCCCAACTGTATCTTATGAGCATATCCCCTATTACTCATCATTTTCCGAAATGATTTGTGTTCTGGCTACAAAACATTTCCCCCTGGGGATGTTGTGTGGCTGTGTCCCCTTTTCCCCAGTGTGGAGCATGAAGGTTGTTGCCCAGGTTTCCCCCAGTGTAAACAGTGCTCTGATGAACATCTTTTCTGTCTCTGTGAATTTGATTACTGATTATGCCCCTCAGAGCATCCTCATAAGGGGATTCACTGTGCCAAGGGTGTGAACTTCATCAGCGCTCTCCATTCTCGCTGCCCTGTGTGTGTGCATTGCATGTGCATATGTGAAATTCTCCTCTTTGTTTCTCTTGTAGTATCCAGCTCTGTGTCTGACACAGGCTTGCCTGGGAGACCAGACAGATTTGGTTGGACCAAATGGCCTTTACTCTTCCTTATATAGGCAAGATAATCAACATAAGATGCAAAGCCAGGCTCTGGGGCCAGGCATACCTGGGTTCAAATACTGGCTTTGCTGCTTACTAGTTGTGTGGATTTGAGCAAAGTACTCAACTTATTTGAGTTTTAGTTTGCTAAGGGAAAAATAATATGCACTTACGGAGTTATTATGAGGATTAAGTGAAATAATACATGTCAAGAGTTTAGCAGAGAATTGAACACACAGTAAGGGCTCAGTAATGCCAAGTGTTTTTATCATTTTTACTGTTTATTCCAACCTTCAAGCTTAGGACTATAGGAATTCGATTCATTTAAAAAACTTCTGCTGTTTTTAACAGAATTTAAAGATATTCAGAGATTAGTTGTGTGTTTGTTTTAACTACTCGCTGTGGTTTAGAGAGAGGTCTCAGGGTGTCAAGCTTCACTTTAAATATCTCTTTATAGGATCTCCCAAAGACTTTGAGATTTTAGATTGGCTCCTACCCTAGAAGACTGGCATTAAAAAGATAGACCAAGATCTAAGTGTTGGCTGGGACAGAGCAAACTGTCTGTTTAAGCTCCCAAATGCAGTTGTTTTAGCAGTCTAATAAATTAAGGGTAACAGTAATAATAGGAATTAACAATGGCTAATTAAAATGCGGTAAGTTGCCAATTATGTAATGGGGTCTAAACCCCGGAGTAAATGGAGATATTTGCAGATGCGAAGTTGCGCTGTGCACGGTGGTAGGGGACCAGGGTGTTTTGATAATGAAAGTACCCTGGATGTGTGTGTGTGGAATTCTGGAGCCTGGTTGCCAAACTGCAAGCTCTTTACTGCTAGCTTGAAAAATGGGGAGCTCTAGACACTGTAAAGAATTGCAGTTTTTTTCTTTTAGGGAAGTGTCCCTCTCAGCCATTTAATATCACTAAGATGTCTAAGAAAGAAGAAGGATTCCAGGTGGTTTCTGAATGACAGGCTTGTTATATGCAGCAGAGCCTAGCCCTGCATGGCATATCCCCACATCCTGGGGGCTCTGCGATCTACGTTTCTCTGGGTAGGGTCTGCCCTGTGCCTGTCTTTAGCACTGGTCATCCTCAGCACCCAGTGCAGGGCGCAGCATCCAGAGACTGCATGAAGTCGACAAGTGAGATAGACCAACAGGCAACTTTTCAATAGGGAGACCCCTGTCTGCTTTCAATTATGGAAGAGTGTCCACTTTTATCTTTTTCAGTATTGCTTCGTCATTGCCTCTCTTCTCTCCGGGATGGCTGTTGGAGCTTTTCATTTTAGCCTTCACGTCTCTTAATATCGCTTTCATATTTTCTCTTTATCTTTCTGCACTGCATTTTGAGGGGTTTCATCAGTTTGTCTTTTTTTCACCTACTTTCTCTTCAGGTGGGCCTAATCTCACTGTTTTTACTTGCTTATATATTTTTTAAAACCTGTATTATATTTTTCACTTCTAGAATTTCTATTATGGTTGTTATTGTTGTTGTTATTTAAATAGGTCTTTTTTCCTGGTTCTCTGTTCGGGATGGGGCAGCCCTCTTCCCTGCTATCCTCATTCCTGCAGCCTTGACTTCTGCCCTTGACCTGGTGTTAAACCCTAGCCCTAAGCCCTGTATGCAGTACTGCTACTCCTGGGACTTTCTTGAAGGCGCTGGTCCCTGGGTGTAACTGTTATGAATTTGTTGGCTAACTTCCTTCCAGTCTGTGACCTCCACTACACTCGAGGTGACCTTGGCCTCTAGTTCCCGAGCACAGGGACTGATGCTGAGAGTGGCTTGGTACATCCACGGATAGTGGGGACAAAGGCAGGCCTTTTGGGAACAATGCTGCTCTCTTTCCCACTGCCGGGAGAGCAGGAGGCTTAGCTGCAGCTGATAAGCTAGGTCTGCCCAGCTCTGCCCACACAAGTTCACTGGCAGGGGAGCAATGTTTGTGTCCAGTCTCTCACTCTTCCTCTGTAGGGTTTGGTGCATGTTACCATTCCATGGGCTGACACAGGAATGTGGGGAAGGGGGGCGTGGCCTAGTGTGTCTCTTTGATGAGTGAGCTCCACAGAGTTCTCCACACATCCAGCAGGGCCCATGGAAGCTACAAGGGAGTGTGGTCTTTCTGAGCCGCATGTGCACAGAACGTCTTAGGGGGAGGCCCTGAGGGAGTCTGCGGGGTGTCACCGTTAGGGCCCCTCCATCCCCGTTGGCTCCTGGGCCCTGTTTCCCGCCTGCGATTGCCACACTTTGTCACAGGGTGGCAGCAAGAGGCAGACGTGGAGGCTGCGCAGGGCTCTGTCACAGTTGTGGACACTGCCAGGCTGCACGCCTGCCCCTCCTGGAGCTTTGGACAGATGTCCGGGCCAAGGCTGCGGCTGAAGGCCTTCTCTTACCTGCATGAAAGTTTCAGCAAAGAGGGAAAATTTCCCCTTTCAGTGAATGAGGCTGATAATATCCCTAGATTTCCAATTTGCCTTTTCTGCATCAGAACCCATACCTTTTTCAGAGGAACAGTGCACGCCTACCAAAAAAGATGAAAAATAAATGTCAGAGTGAGAGCTGGGGGTGAGGGGACAGCTGGGAATTCCCCCTGCACTGCCTGCTGGCTGTCACTTGGGTGTGTGGCTTTGCTCTTCTGGGCCTTAGTGTCCCCATCTGTAAAATGAGGAGACCAGTCACATCTGAGTAGTGAGGCTGACGTGTGAAGTAAGGACCTTGAGTGTCTAAGGCCGTCAGCTTGGCACAGAGGAAGCGTTGGCTCTTCTGACTCTAAAAACCAGTATTTGGCATATATGGAATTAGCAGACGAAAGGAATCAGAGGAGCCCTTGCTTGGAGAATTTCCCACTAATCTCTGGTAAAGGAGGGACCAAAACAGACTCCTTTCTTCTCCCTCCCTCCTTTCCTTCCTTCATTCCTTCTTTGCTATTGTCAGTGGTATCCCATGGTAGAAACAATGACAGACTTTGGCTCCAAATGGCCTGGGCCAGAGCCTGACTCTTCCATACTCTGTGTGACCTTGGGCAAGTTATGTAACCTTTCTGTGCCTCTGTTTCCTCCCCTGTACAATGGGGATGCTTGTGAGATTTTGGTGAGGATTACAGTGTTAGTGTAGATAAAGCCTGGAACATGGTAAGCCCTGTATTACTGTTTGCTTTTATTGTCCTGCTTGACTCTGAGAGCCAAGGTGGGCTTTTCCAAAGGCTTCAGAGGTAGTTATGATGGGAAGATTTTTCTGTTTGTTTGTTTGTTTTTGAGACGGACTCTTGCTCTGTCGCCCAGCTGGAGTGCACTGGCACCATCTCGGCTCACCACAACCTCCGCCTCCTGGGTTCAAGCAATTCTCCTGCCTCAGCCCCCCGAGGAGTTGGGACTATAGGCGTGTGCCACCATGCCCAGCTAATTTTTATATTTTTAGTAGAGACAGGGTTTCACCATGCTGGCCAGGCTGGTTTTGACCTTGTGATCCGTCCGCCTTGGCGTCCCAAAGTGCTGGGATTACAGGCGTGAGCCACTGCGCCCAGCTGATGGGAAGGTTTTTATGCCACTGGCTTCCGCGATGGCCCAAACATGCTCCTTGACATGCCCACGGGCTCTTAGCTCCAGATGTCTCCTTCATTCTTGCTACCCTTCCATATACTACATACAGTGCTGGGATGCAGAGACCAAGCTGAGGTCCCTCCCTTGAAGGGCTCACAATGTGGAGGGACAGGTAGACACAGAATCAGACTTCAGAATGGTCAGAAATGCCTTCCAGTACAGGCTGCAGACCCAGGGAGAGGAGCCACTTGGTTAAATTTTGGGAGGCATTGGGGTGCAGGAGACCTCAAAAAGGTGACTGTGGAATCAGAACTAGGCGCTGGAATGGGCTTGCCAAGTGAAGAACGTGTTCCCCACTGGAAGGCAGCTTGGACACTAGCATGTGGCAGGGGGTTGGGGTTTGCAGGGTCAGAGTCAGTGTGGCCTGAGCCCTCATATAGGTGAAGCGAAAAAGGAGGTGGAGTTGGCCAGCAGGTCAGGAACCAGTGGACCACAGGTGGCTGTGTTTTCATGTCAGATAAGAAGCTTTCACCGTGGACTGGGTGGAGGATCTGACCAGTTTTATGCCTTAAGAAGACAGCTCGGGCCGGGTGCGGTGGCTCACGCCTGTATTCCCAGCATTCTGGGAGGCTGAGGCAGGCAGATCACTTGAGGTCAGGAGTTTGAGACCAGCCTGACCAACATGGTGAAACCCCATCTCTACTAAAAATACAAAAATTAGCCGGGTGTGGTGGTGGGCATCTGTAATCCCAGCTACTCAGGAGGCTGAGGCAGGAAGATCACTTGAACCCGGGAGACAGAGGTTGCAGTGAGCTAAGATCGTGCCATTGTGCTCCACCCTGGGTGACAGAGCAAAACTCCATCAAAAAAAAAAAAAAAAAAAAAATAGACAACTCAAGCACCAACCAATACAGATCACAGGGAGAAGTGAGGGATCCTGAGGGGAGCGAGACAGTCCAGTGGTGAAGGTTTTATGCCACGACAGTGAGAACTGCAGAATGTGCACTGGGGAGATGTTCTGGAGGTAGAATCCATACTTGTCCCTGACATTTGTGGACTCAGGGAAGGAGCAAAATCGCAATGTCCTCAACCTGTGGCCCGACCCCTTTCTTGGCCATCCTCCTGGCCCTAATCACTACAGCAAGGGGTCCCATGTGCACACACACACACACACACACACACACACACATATGTGTGGAGCCCTCAGCTTGCATAAATCTATGCTACCTCCACCAGCCACCTCTTGGCTGCCTTGGGCCTAGGGTTGCACACATAGGCAGTGTTGTCTGCCCTCAGGAGGACCACCTGGGAAAGGGGCCCACACAAGTCCAAGAAGCAAGCTCAAGGCAAACATTTGGTTGGGGACTTTCAGGATCCCTGAAAGTATTCGGAGTGAGGCGTAGATGAGGAAGGGTGTGGGTTCCGGGTTGGCATGTCCCCTTGGCCCACAGACTCCTCCTCTCTTTGAGAGGATGTGGCTGTAGGAAGGAGACAGGGGACCCTCTGATGCCTGGAGCCCAGGGCAGGGCCTTCAGTGGCTGGGTGGTCTCATCAGCCAAACAAGGAACACATGACGAGGAGCAGCTTGTAGGGTGAGGACAGCAAGCTCGGTCCCCAGTGTGATGTGTTTTGGGTACCCACAGCAGTGTACCTCCAGGTTCTCTGAGATTTAAAGAAGTTTGGTTAGGGGGAAGACGGACAGTGTCTGGCTCTTGAATGAGTGCTTCACTGTGTACTATTTTAGTAACAGAGAGGGCTGTCCTGAAGTATCTGTCTCTCTCTCTCTCTCTCTCTCTCTCTCTCTCTCTCTCTCTCTCTCTCCCTCCCTCCCTCCCTCCCTCCCTCCCTCTTCCTCCCCCCTTCCTTCTTCCCTCCCCTCCCCCTCTGTTTCTCTCTTTATCTCTCTGTCTCTGTCTCTCTTTCTGTCTCATATGGAAACACATACAAGCACACACAAGGACTAGTAACAGATTTGACCTTCTCTGGGGAAGTTCAGTTTTGGGGATTTGCTTCCCTCCATAGAAGAAAAACCCCCAAAACTTCTGGTGGTCTCTAGGGAGACAAAACAAAATAAAAAAGATGAAAAACCCCTAGAACTCCAGTTTTAGGATGCAGTTTACCTGCTGGGAACTGAATTTGTCATTTTCTAGTTTTTCCTTTTCAGTTTCTACTTTAAATGTTAAAGGTCTAAACTTTGGGAAATACTTAGGGGATTTTGAAGGAAAAATATAATGAAAATGAAAGGCACAATGGAATCTTTTCATTCCAGGGGCAAGAGTATGGAAATGAGTGAAACCCAAGTGGCTCTCCTCAGCCCCCTTCCCTCTCTGGAGAAGGGCAGGGACTCCACAGGCCTGGACACCTCATTCCTGTCTTGCTTCTTCAGCAGTGTGACTATGTAGTCTAAGTTTGGGAACATACTGGTATCTCTGGGAGCCATTATGAGGGCTCACCAAATAACTTGGGACATGGTAAATCCTCAATAAATGGTAATGTCATTATTATTTCTCTTATTATAATTACTACAATTTAATTCCTTTAAATGGTAGAGCCATGGTCAAATTACCCTGGAAGAGGCGTAAGTCATACATGAAAACAAAAATACTAGAGAGGAATAAACAAAATGATAATTATAATTGAGCCAGGAGGATTAGGATGTATTCTAAGAGGAGATAACTCTTGGTGTAGCTGTGGAATTGGTGCTTAATACATGATGGATGGATGGATGGATGGATGGATGGATGAGTGGGTGTATGGAGAAAGGGACAGAGAGGTGAGTGAATGGATTGGATGGATGGGTGAATGGATGGGTGGGTGGGTGGATAGACGAATGAATGGATGTAGGGTTGGATAATGGATGGATGGGTAAATGGATGGATGAGTGGGTGGATAGATGAATGAATGGATGTAGGGATAGAGGATAGATGGATGGGTGAATGGATGGATGTGTGGGTGGATAGATGAATGAATGGATGCAGGGATGCATTAATGGGTGGATGGGTGAATGGATGGATGAGTGGATGGACAGATAGATGAATGAATAGATGTAGGGATGGGTTAATGGGTGGATGGGTGAATGGATGGGTTGGTGGATAAGTAGATTAATTAATGGATGTAGAGATGGATTAATGGATGGATAGGTGAATGGACCGGTGGGTGAATAGATGAATGAATGGATGTAGGGACGGATAATGGATGGATGGGTGAATGGATGGATGGAGAGATGAGTGGATAGATAGTTGGGTGAATGAATGGAGTGGACAGGTGGATGAGTAGATGGATGAATAGGTAGAGGGATGGATAGTTGGGGGAGGGAGGAAGGAAGGGATGGGTGAATGAATTTCTGAGTGGAGATACTTCAAATAACTGTGTTTTTCTGCTCTCAGGGGCCTTGGAATTATTGGCCATTCTCCTGGGCAGTTGTTCTATCTCCTCACCTAAGTCCATATATCTACTTGCTTTACCAGTGCTGGGGCAGTGAGCAAGGTCACCAGGATGCATGGGGGCAGTGTGACCCCCATTAAGAGGGATGTTTTGTTGCAACAATGCTGAGAGAATGATGTGTCCATGGACCAGGGACATACTTGCCCCAGCAGTTGGCATACTTATTCTTCTGTGATCTGTGCTATGCTGCCTGCTCCTTAAGCCCTTCCTGTGTAGTCAGGTGTCATACACAAAGCTACCTTCAGCCGCCTTTTCTGGACTCCGTCTCCATTCCTCTGCCTTTATCTCCCCCTGCCCCCAGGGAGAAACCCTGTTTTCTCAGCCATCCTCTTTCCTGCCTCCTCATTGTTGCCCATACTGTTCCCTGCTAAATCCTCGTAGAGCTGTTACTATTTCAAGCACCTTTGCAGGTCCTGCTCAAATGCCACCTCTTCTATGAAGCCTTTGCTAAGCTCCTTAAAGGGGTTCTGATTAGAAACATGTTTATGCTACTATGATCCCGGTCTACACCATTCCCACAGGCTCTCCAGAATGCTGATCCAAGATTGACTTGTGTTTGGTTATCTGTGCCCTTGGGTCTCTCTTGGGACACTGAGCTCCTTCCTAGAGGGCAGAGACTGTCTGCTTCAGCTCTGTCTCCCACGTAGCCTGGCACCAACATGTAGTGGTTAATATCCCAGATCATTCTCATCTCAGAAGCGGGGGCATTGTGCTGTGGTTGAGTGCGCTACACGCCACACCTGTGGATTTCGATCATTGGGTGTGTGCCTGTTTCTTTAAAAGCTGCATTCCTATTGGCAGATCTTCTGATTTGATAGGACTTTAAAATGATGCTCACTTAAAAAAAAATCCATGAGCGACTTTGTCTTCTCTTCAAAATCTTTGATTCAATGCATATGAGCCCATCTTGAACAGTCTAGCAAATAGTAGGTGCCTCAAATATTTCTAAAGGAATAAGTGGATTTTTCTCAGAAGCTGTTCATTTGTCCACCTCGTGGCCCAGGGAGCAGTGGCCTGGGCGATGGACGCACTGAGTGGTAAGTGAATCAATCAAGGGCCCAGAGAGGGAGAGGCAAAGGCAAAATGAAACCACAGAATGCAATTGTCCTGTCTTCCCTTCTTAATGTTTAATAGTGTTTATGGGACAGTGACACATGGAGAAATATTTAAGAGACATTTATAGATATTTTAAAGTATAACTTATGATTGATCTTTTTAATACCAGAAGAATTTGTATTTAAGTGTGAGAAAAAAACTCTGTGGCTGTGTGACTCAGGGCTTATTTTTCATGAGAAGATTGCCAGGGGAGCCCCTCTTGCTTCTTGAACTTCTGGAAAGCAAGAGAGGTCCCCTGGGAAGGAGCTTTCTCTAAGTTGGATGCATACAGGTGACACTCATGATGTGGGCAGGAATCCAGGGCTTGGGAGAGCTTTATCACACTTGCTTCCTCATTGTATTGTGTAAATGAGCCACAGGCCCACTGAGACCCCAGTCTCTTTTTGGAGAAGAATGCAAACAGATTCTTCTATATTGAGGACCCATGGTGCAGAATGTGCAGGGCACAGGGTATCAGGTCATAGAGAAGTTGGTAGCTCTGTGACCTTGGGCGGGTATAAGTTGCTGTTCTGGGCCTGAGTGTCCACGTCTGCAAAAAAAATGACAGTGCTCTCCTGGGGAAAGGTAAGATCATATGTGAAAGCTCTGACCACAGCAGTTGATAGAGGAAAAAGTCAATGTCAGCAGCCTGCCTGAATCCTTTACTTGAAGACAGTGAAAGCAGACAGTTAGGAAAGGAGAAATGCACTCATATTTATTTTGCAGCAAAAATAAATATCTAAGTGAGAAATGGGTGGCCCCTGGACTTGTGGGCTTGTGGAATAACTCAAACCTTATTTATTCAGTCAACATTTGTTGAGTATCTGCCATGTGTTAGGCACCGTGCTCATGTTATTGTTTATGAAGGTTGAAAAAGACAAATGTGGCCTCAGGGAATTGAGTTTGGGAGGAGAACTGGATGGATAGATGCTAAAGAAATAATAAAACAAATGTATGGCTGATGAAGAGAAACCTTAAAGGAGCTATGGCCCATCTCATGAACTTTTAAACATGACTCACAAGAAGTATATTTGCATAGAAGACTGGTGTGTGTGTATGTATGTGTAGCAATGGTTTTTCCTTATATGGGCATTGCACTGGTATTTTTATTTTATTATTTTTTAAATGGAAGTTCCAACCCACTAAATTAATTATATTGCCTATTATTGGGTTGCCACTTGCATTCTAAAAACTTCTGAAGAACAATTCTTAACCTTTTCTGCTGCAGTTCCTTTGGTGCACTTTTGATAAAGTGAAATGCAATATAAAGCCCTTCAGAGCGTCCATTTTGGGTAGCATTCACTCCCTGAAGAATTAGAGTCTAAATAAGATGGTAGACTATAATCAATAATTGAATTCTAGACCTAGTCCTAGCTTTTTAGCTGCAAAATATGGGCATTTGTGTTGGCATGATTGCTAGGATTTATATGCATATTTTTAACTCCCGATAATAAGTGGACAAAATGACTCTCTTTAGCTAATTTTAACGCTCTTTTACATCCAGATACTTATTTTCTTTCATTCAAACTCAAACACCTTTTACTAAGGTTTTACTATGTATCAAGTTTTTTTAAAAAAGAGAAAAAACATAGCCAATACTTGTCTAGTATTTGTTATGTTCAAGGTACTAATCTCAGCACTTACATGTAATAACTCATTAAATACAATAACCTGATTAGGGAGGTTGTCTTATTATTTCCATTTTACAAATGAGAACCAAGGTTCATGGAGGTTAATTAATGGGCCCAAGGTCAAGTGATGGAGTTACATTTGAATCCAGAGGTCTCGGGCTTAGGAACCTGTGTTTTTAAAATTGTGGGCTTTACTAGCACATATGTTAAAACAGTCTTTTCCATGCCGCAAACGCCCCTTACTCTTTTTCCCCCCCGAATGATTATTGTTTCCCCAATTATAGCCATAATATGCCAGTTTAAGTCCTTCTTTTGCAGGTAGCTTGTCCCAAGGACAGGCATCAGTGTCTCAGCACCTCTGCTTTGATCCATCCTCTGGGTGGATTTACCCAGTCTGCCTTTGTAGAGTCTGGCCAAGTGAGGTTTTGTCCAACCAGATTGTGAGATAACATGGTGTGGTGGTGTACAGCCACATTTAAAAAATCCACGATCTTGTTGCAGATGTACGATTCTGTTCCGTCAAACAAAAAAAAACCTGCCAGCTGCGATTGCCTCTTTCTCCTTCTGTGAAGCCAATGTCATGTTTCCTACGTTTCAGTCATTTGGTTTTACCTTCATGGTTTTACCTGATACTTATTGTTTTTCTATAAATTGACTTACTTAAAAAAATTTCAATAAAATTATTTAAATGAAAACCTTGAATCAGTACTATAAATAAATAACAAACCATTATCACCTTCCATGGTAGAAATAACTGCTATGAAAACAAAACAAGAGCATTAAATCCTAGCTGGTTATGTTTGCCTGCTGATGGCCATTAGCTCGAGGCCTGTCCTCTCTCTGTAAAATGGAACATTGGAAAAGTGGTTATAGTGGTCAGGGTTTAGTGGTCTATGGTTTAGTGGTCAGCATGCTAGGCTATGCTGTGGTAGTAAGTACAACATTGAAATCTTGTGACTTACCCCAACAAAGCTTTACCTATGGGTCACACAAAGCCTGCTGGGCTCAGAGTACTCCCCAGGGTCGTGTCCATCCTGAATCTCCACTCAAGGCTGCAGACTGTATTCATTCTGGCTCCATCACCACATCATACAGCTTGTCTGGTGGCTGCAGAAAGGGAGGAGAGGGTGAGGATGCACCATCTTTACCTGCCTTGGCTCAGAAGGGACCACATAACTTCTGCTCACATCTATCGGTCAGAGCCAGTTATATGGCCTAGGTCTCACGGGAAGGGACAACACTGGGAAATAAAGAAGAACAAGTGAGTATTTTGTTAAAGGTAACCTTAAATACAACATCGAGATTTTGTTTTATTTTGATTGGTTTTGTTTGCGTTTTTCTCTTAACACAAGCAGAAACATTGAAAACAAGTTATAAAGAGGAAAACTCCCTCATGGTGTGGATGTATGTTATCTAACGTTGGGCCTGAGAACTCTTTGCCATCAGCTCTCATGTTCAGTCTGCAGGAATCCATGCTTTAGCAGGTCCCAGCACCAAACCTGTGACCGTGGGGCCATTGAGGAAGGTCATTCAGGAGCAGGGCAACTTCCCAGAACAAAACTTCAACATGAACAAATTTTGTTTGTTTCGGAAAGGGATACCTCCCAGAACTTTGATTTACCATAGTTTAAAGATGCATAGAATGTCACTTTTATTGTTTTCATGTGATCTTGGCCTTTTCAACTGAGGTTTTACCAAACACGTTATTCTCTTTAGGAACAGGCTAATTTTGTTTTTTTGAGGCTTTAGCCTGGTTTATGTGCAAATGTTAGATCTCCCCAGCTAGAAGACAGCTTCATGAGTATAGGAAACCCTTCAGTCTTCAAATTGCCCAGGTGTTCAGTCACCAGCAGTAGATCCTGAATTGGTGATCTGGGTGCAAATAGCTTATTTACAAGGCAAACCTGCGAATCACCAGCAGGGGAGCGGGGAAATGAGACAGGGACAAGAAGGACATCCATAAAGGGTGTGCTATCAAGCCAGTTATTGTTGTGGACAACTGGAATGTCATTTTCTAGGGAATTCTGGGAGCCACTGGAGCATATACACCACAAAATTATCCCACCCACGGAGGAGGGAGCTGGGCCTTCATACACTAATGCCGTCAGTCACTGGATGAGAGCTGCTCCTGGGAGTATGTTCCTCAGAACTTCCTGCCCAGCTGGAAGGTGAGCGGATGTGAAGTGGAGCACCAATTGCATCTGCTACACCCGTAGTGCCTATTGGTCAGTCTTTTTGAGTCCCTGGGAGCCAGACTCCACGATGGCCCCCATTCCCTCCCGGTCTTCATGTTCTTATATTGTTCTCTGCCACTCTGAAGCAGGGCTGGCCCTTCCTGGCAGAAGTGATGATGTGTGACTTCTCAGTCTTTGTCTTTGCCTTGGTGGAGCCAGCCACCATGTCATGAGAGGCTCATGTGGGTAGAAGCTGAAGCGCTGGACAACCGTTAGCACTAACTGCTAGCCACGTGAGGGAGCCACTTTGGAAGTGGATCCTCCAACGTCATTTAGCCTTTAGGTGATGGTGCTCCTAGCTGAGGCAACCACATGAGATACCCACCATGAGAACTGCTCAGCTGAGCCCTTCCCCAATTCCTGACCCACAGAAACCATGTGAGATGAGAAATGATCATTATTTTTTTAAGCTATTAGTTTTTGAAGTGACTTGCTATACAGTAATAGATAGTACATTAACTGTATTAGTCTGCTAGAACTGCTATAACAAAATGCCATAGACTGGGTGGCTTAAGCAACTAGAAATGTATTCTCTCACAGTTCTGGAGGCTGGAAGTCCAAGGTCAAGGTGTCCTCAGGATTGGTTTCTGGTGAGGGCTTTCTTTCTGGCCTGCAGACAGCCACCTTTTTGTGTCCTCACATGGTCTTTCCCCTGTGTGCATGTAGAAAGAGCTCTCTGGTGTCTCTTCCTGTTCTTATAAAGACACCAGTACCAGCAGATAGCTTAAGGCCCCAACTTCATGACTCTTTTTAAACTTAATAACCTTCTCAAAGGCTCCACCTCCATTACCAATGGGGGTTAGGGCTTCAGCGTATGAATTTTGGAGTGTGTGTAGGGGGACACAATATATCCCATAACACTCACCAAAGTCTTGCATGTTTTGGAAGTCAGCAGAGGTCTCCAGCCCCTGTGCTTGGATGACTTCCTCTTTAAGTGAGGGATAACAAGTCAAACAACGATGTGACTTTGGTGGGAACATAAAGAAGAAACGGGGGCCAGGCACGGTGGCTCACGCCTGTAATCGCAGCACTTTGGGAGGCCTAGGTGGGCAGATCCCTGAGGTCGGGAGTTCGAGACCAGCCTGACCAACATGGAGAATCCCTGTCTCTACTAAAAAAATACAAAATTAGCCGAGCATGGTGGTGCATGCCTGTAATCCTCGTTACTTGGGAGGCTGAGGCAGGAGGATCGCTTGAACCCGGGAGGCGGGGGTTGCAGCGAGCCGAGATGGCGCCATTGCACTCCAGCCTGGGCAACAAGAGTGAAAACTCCGTCTAAAAAAAACAAAAAAGCAAAAAAAGCAAAAAAACCCAACCAAACAAAAAAAAAAAAAAAAAAAAGAAATGGGGATAAATTATCTGTGCAAAGATTCTTAGTGAGCAGCTTCCTTGTAACGATTACATGCAGAAGTTCTTTGGGGGAGGTAGGAGAAGAAAGAAGCAAGATATAATTTTAAAAGGAGCTGCACTATTTCAGAAGGAAATTGCCACCTAAGGTGGGAGGCATTGCAGCTTCCTGGTGCTGGAAGCACTGAAGATTGCCCTGTCTCCTGTGTTGCCTGTAATCTCTGGCCTTGGTTCCTTCAGTCTGGCTACTTAGAGCTTTGTGATTCTTTAGCAGGGGCTGGGAGGTATTAGGAGCCCCTGGCCCTGTATTTCTGTGGCATTTTATTTGGCCTCTCTAGGGGGTGTATTTTCGAGCAGCAGCTGTGAGGTCACCCTGGGTGCAGCCAGATCCCCATACCTGCTAATTTAGCTCCTTTTGTGAGCTATTTTATTTCGGATGCCTTCTGTGGAAATTTTGTTCCAGACTGACTTGAAAGTGTTTTCAGCATCGATTCTCTCTTTGAACAGTATAACCAGGGTTTGCCACTTGTGGGGAAAAAAGGAGCTCATCTTGAGCTTTAAGAACAGTATGAGGTGGGCTTCCTGTGTCCAGCCCACCCCAGTGAGAATTATGCCATGTGTCTTCTCTCCAGGATAAACCGACTTTTCCATTTTACATAAAATCGAATCTCTTGAATAACAAAGAGTACTGTAGATACTGAACTGGCTTCTCGGGACTAGATGGACACCCTTAGTTTTTCAGGGCTAATAATTGTTTTTTTTCCATGATCAAGTTCCCACATGGACTTCGCCCACAGTGCTTGTTTTTCTGTGTTGTTTGAGGTAGTGGAGAGAGAGCACTTCCTCTTGGGGAAATGATTTTCATTTGCTCACTTAGCAAGCACTTTTGATCCTGTTTTGCTTGAAGCTTCATGTCAGACCTGCCCATCTGCATACATGCAAAAGAAGTAGGCTCTCTGGGTCCTTCTTCTGTGATGGTCATTAGTTTACAAATATTTCATTTGTCCTACCTCTGTGCACATGAAATCGAACTCCCTGCCCTGCTGAAATTAAGTATTGTCGTATGACTTACTTTGGCCAGTGGATTATGAGTGGGGGTGATCTGTTTTATCTCCTGGAAGAAGCCTCTAAGAGTCACGTGTCTGTTCACACTGCCCAGCAATTGTATTGTTTCCAATGCCAGAAGCTTTGCCTCCCCTCCAGTTTAAATCATCCTTTTGAATCAAACCCTCTTTAAATTATTCTTGTTTGCCTGGATCATTTATTTTCTGTTGGGATTTTGATTGATTCAGTCATCATAAAAACAGAACATGATCATTCAAGATGATTTAGAAAGTGGGGATGTAGAAATAAGTTTAAGAAAAAAAATCCATAGTTTTATACCCAAACATCCCTGATATTAACGTGGTCATTTTTTTTTTCCTTCTTGACTTTTCCTTGCTCAGTGCATTGTGCTTTAATTTGGTTGTGATCATTTGGTATGTACAATTTTAGGTGCTTTGTCATGAACATTATGTTTTACATGGTATTATTACACATCATAAGAGTCCTTTTTAATAACTGTATAATAAGTGATGCAGTTTAAGGAAAAAAATTCTAAATTTTAATATCATAAGAAATTATATTCTGCATAGCTGAAGTATATCCTGTGGTAGAAGAGGGGGTAAATCAAGAAAAACAAATTCAATGAACCTTTCTCCGGTGCCTCCCGTGTGCCAGGCTTGTGTTGGGTGCAAGATATGGAAGCAATTATGACAGAATCATCAAGTTCCCATGGGCTTAACACTGGTAAATGTTGATTCTATGTCTAATCCTCTTGGGACTAGGTTGGATTTGTTACCCACAAAATTTTTTAAAAATCTAATTTGACCAATAGAATTTCCCTCTTTTGAAAAATAATACACAAAATATTGCTCTTTTCCCTGGAGAGGATTCAAGCTTTTGCAATTTGGGGGAGATAGACTTTATAAAAAAAAGAGACAAAATCATGAATAGGAAAGAAATCACAACACATTATTTAATCTGAAAGATAAAAGTATCGTTTATATAGCAAACATACTACAAACATCCAGAAGATAACATACAATTATTATTATTTTATAAATTGTTTTAATTAACTGCCTGGCAAGCTCTGTAATCTTGTTTCTTTCTTCTAGTTTTTGGCTGAGTGCTTGTTGATCTACTCTTCATATGATGATGATTTTGTAATATTGTTTTCTATGGAGAGAATAGGAAGATGATTCATTCTCTTCTGGCAGTGGTTTTCCACATGGTCTGCACAGGAGAATATTTTGGGAACTTTTAAGAATCCTAATGTTCAGATGCTCCCTAGGTCCATTAAATCAGTATTGCTGGGGCCGGGTGCAGTGGCTCATGCCTGTAATCCCGGCACTTTGGGAGGCCAAGGTGGGTGGATCACCTGAGGGCAGGAGTTCGAGACCAGCCTGGCCAACATGGCAAAACCCTATCTCTACTAAAAATACAAAAATTTAGCTGGGTGTGGTGGCGGGCGCCTGTAATTCCAGCTACTCAGGATGCTGAGGCAGGAGAACTGCTTGAACCTGGGAGGCAGAGGTTGCAGTGAGCCAAGATTGCGCCACTGTACTCCAGCCTGGGCAACAGAGGGTGACTCTGTCTCAAAAAAAATAAAATAAAATAAAATAAAGGAATTGCTGAGACCCTGGCATCAGTCAGAGCCCCAGCTCTAGAATGGGTGATGGAAGTTTGATTTTTACTATTGATCATTTAGAAAAGTTTCCTTTAGCTTCACTGCTTGTTACTGGCATTGTCATATATGTTTTTAGGCTTGTTGTCAAATCTGGGAAGACCTCTCTCCAATTTCTTTCAGAAGTAAGCTGTGAGACTTCACGTTGTTTCAAGTTTTCTGTGCGGTAACTGATCTTAAATGTTCTTTGAATGGAAGACACTCATTAACCAATTTGTAATGTGTCCTCATTTTCTGTGTATTTTATGAGTTTTATGTTATTTTTCATTGAGATCAGTATTTTTATGTCAAAGGAGTAAGAAATTAAATTGCCTGAAGAAATGGGATTGGATGAGACCATTTTGCCGAAAGAAAAACATGAGCAAAGGCGAAGTCCAGCAGGCGAGTCCAGTGTGGGGAGGCAGCCAGGTGCCAGGTTTGCAGCTGTGTGGATGCCATTGAAAGGGGAGCCTGTGTGCAGGTGGGAAAGGGCTGTGTGCTGGCAGTTGTTTAGTAAGGGAGCAATATGTTCATGAAAGACAGTGTCATGCCATGTTGAAATTATTCCCTTCACACACGTAAAAGCGGTGTGAATCCCAGCTCTGCCAATATTACTAACCAGCAATGACCATACAGGGAAATAAAACATACAGATAGCCCTCTGCACCCAAACCCAACCCATCTCCACTGAACTCCCCCTTCACCAGATCCTTACACTGCCGTGGCCATACCATTGCCACCTGCTCAGAAGAGAAGCATGACGGGCAAGTTGGGGTAAAGGAGACAGCAGTCTTAGCCAATTGAGATTAAAATATCCTACTTTTGTTAATTTTCAAAAACATAGGCCTGTGAACACATGTTAGTTCCCCTTGGAGGGGCACCTACCAGGGAGGATCCCTGAATTGTGAGTGTCTTTAGCGTCACAGTTAGCCCACCTTTGCTTCTGCATATGAATTAGTAACTGAATGGCATATATGCTGACAAAGCTCAGGCTTAAGTGGCAACAGAAGAGTTGTTGATGACAAAGTTCTAAGCCAAGGACCTTAAAAAGCAGTGCAAACTTGTGTGCCCTTCCCAGCATGTTCATTGTATTTGAAATGACTGTTGCTTTTTTAGGTAGCAGCTTCACAAACCTGTTCAATATCATGATATGAAAAGCATCATTCTTAGGTTGCCATCCTCTTTCCATTGTGTACCTTGACAAGAGAGTCCTTTAGGAAATACAGCAGAAGCTGAACAGAAGCCAGCCTAGTTAGGGGTTCTGAGTCTCCTCATTTTCTGACACAAAACAGCGATGATTGCTCCTTGGGGAGTCACCACTGTGTGCATTTACACCTTCCCAGCTGTAGGTGCCAAGGTTTAGCAGCTCATAATCTGGTTTCACATTCCTGGTCTTTGCCATTTCTGAGATGTATGGAGCCTGGTGAATCCTGGAGGGGCTCGGGTCATGGGCAGTGCTCTTCCCCAGAACTTGTTTGAGACAAGGCAAGAGATGGAATTTAGCCTCGGTCTGAAGGCGAGGACACTGGGCCAGAGGCTGTCTTTCACTCAAGGATATTTATTGAGTGCCTGCTTTGTCCCAGGTTTGGGTTGTGTGCTGGGGATAGAGATGTTTCAGCTACTCTTGCTGAGTAACGACACACCGCAAAACTTCATTGCGAAAAATAACCATTTTGGTGTGCTCATGGATTCTGGGGTCAGGAATTTGGACACGGGAGGGGTGGCCTGTGTCTGCTGGGACCTCATCTGGGATGACGAAGACTGAGGATGACTTGATGGCTGGGGATTGGAATCATCTAGAGACAGCTTTGCTCACATGCATGTACTGGAACCTCAGCTGGGCTGTCGGCTGGAACCCTATGTGGGGCCTCTCCATATAGTCTCTGTCTAGGATGGTTTGGGCTTCCTCATAATGTGACAGGTGGGATCCAAGAGCAAGCATCCCTAGAGAACAAGGAAGAAGAGCTCGCTTCAAAAATCCTTTGGCATCACTTATGCCATCCTGGTTGAGTCTGTAAAATTCCACCCAACTTCAAGGTAGGGAAGTGGTATGAGTTTAAAACTAACATGTAGAATGGGAAATATTGTGCCCATTTAGGAAAAATGGAATCTCAAAGCACCCATATTCTGCCCTTATGGAACTAATAACCTAGTAGGGAAGACAGTGCTGCCCCAGATCACTCAACAGGTATCTATTGAGCACCTGTAATGTGCCAGATTCTGTCCTAAGGATTCAGAGATACGTAAGACAGATGGAATCCCTGCCTGCTGGTGCAGAAATGGATGAGGAACAATGAAATTAATATATAATGTAATTTCAGGTAGTAAGTGGTATGAAGAACAATAAATAGGGTAAGGGGATAGAGAATAGTGGGAGGTGCTGCCTCAGATAGGGCAGTTAGAGAAGCCTCACTGATTGGTTACATTCTAGGCAAAGGGAAAAACAAGTGCAAGGTCCAGAAACAGAAATACTCTTGACATATTTGAGAAATGGTCAGAAGACCAGTGTGGCTGGAACACAGCCAGTGAGGAGGAGTGGTTGCAAATGAGGTTGGAGAAGCATCAAGGGGTCAGATGATGTAGGGCTATGCAGGTTGTGGTGATGACTTTGGATTTGACACTAAGTGCTTATAAGAGCCAACTTTTGCTGAGTTATACTGCAGTAACAACCAAATCTCAGTGTCCTACAACAGCTAATTGTGGTAAGTACTGTGAAGGAAAATCTCAAGGGAAACCTTAAGGAATGGCTACCTACAGTCCACCTTTTAACTGAGACCCACACGGTTGCATGACCTTCATGAGTTGGCCATGGCTCTTTTCCACGTTCCTTTCATCCCAGGACTCCGGCTGAAGGACCTGCCATTCTCTGGGAGACTGCTATCCTTGTAGCAGAAGGAAAGGGCGATGGTGGAATCCATAATGGCTTCTAAAGCTGCTGTTTTGAAGTGCATGTTTCACTTCCTGCTCGCGTTTCATTAGTGAAAATAAGTCACATGGCCAAGCCTGATAGCAGCGGAGTGGGGGTGATTAATTCTCTCACAGGGAGGGGTAGAAATCAGTTAGGTGCAAGCAACACCCTCTAACTGCGAGCCATTGGAGGCTTTTGAGTGGGTAATGACATAATCTAGTTTGCATTTGCGGAAGATCCCATGCAGAAACAAATGTCACACTGCAGCTGCAAGGACAGTGAGGAGGGAGATGGCCATGGTGCCTTGGTCCCCAGAGTGACGGCATGCGGAGGCGTCAATGCATCTACCTCCAGCACACCAGGCATGATGTCAGGTGCAGCAGGAGGTACCTGGCCCTTTGCTACACAGACCACATGGTCTTGCTGGGGACAAGACCTAGGGAACAGCTCATTTTGGTACAGTGTGGTTGGTTCCTGGAGAGGGAGAGGGAATAGCCCACGGGCTAAGCAGCCCACTGCAGGTACCTAATGCAACCAGGAAGGTCAGGGAAGGAGATGGCCAGCCACGCGGTGGAGTTTGAACATCATGTAGCAGTTAGCCAGGTGAAGAGGAGATGCTGGGGAGACAGGGAGAGGCCACTCCTGGCTGAGGGACCTGTACCTGCAAAGACTCTCAGGGGAGGAGGACGGCTTTCTGTCACTGTTTCTGTGTGTGAGGGAAATCAGAGGGTAGGCCCGGCTGTCCCCTGCCTTTCCTGTGGGGCCTGACTGCACGTACCCCCTCTCCCCAAACCCTCCAGGAGTTCTGAGTCTCTACCTGGATCTTGATTCCACTGGCATGAAATCTGTGAATCTCACCTCGAGAATCCTCCCTCTGCTGCCGCAGGATGGGACCAACAGTTCCCTGCAGTGGCAAGGGAGCTGTTCACACACTGAGCGAGCAGTCACAGCTGCCCTGAGCTCCACATTCTCCTCCTCGGGGGACTCCCCTGGAATTACCTTTGTCATTTTACTTTCTCAACCCCTGTGTTTCCTCTGATATCTTACTTATCTCTGGTCTTTTTGTCCAGACAGCTCTTAAGCCTTGGGAGGAACCTTTTCCTCTGATCCCTTTTTAGGCCATTATCAAGTTCAGGGTGGGAGGGTAGAGTCACTGTCTTTCCAGGCCTTGCTGCATCCCTTAGAGACCTTCGGAGGGGGCACTTTGTGACCAGTGGGGATGGGGGAAGGATGGCTTGGTGTGTCTGTCCTCACCCACTACCCTCTGCCCACTTCTGCCTGCCCTTCCTCTGTGTGGCATATACAGTACTGCACCCCTGAGCAGGACATTCCCCAGTGAGAGCCCCAGGCCCGACACTTCCAGGCTGTGTGGCCTTGATCAAGTTAGTTTCCCTTTCGTGATTCAGATTCCTCTCAGGCTGCTTGTGCAAACTCAACATAAGAAAGTCTGCGAAGCTCTTAACCCAGGGCCTGGGCCATGCTAGGGGGATCAGTAAGCAGTTTCTGCCACCTCTGTTACTGCCGCTTTCACCTTTCCTTGTGGAAAAGAGAAGCAGCCAGAAAAGCTGGGTTTTAGCCCCAGCTCTGCCTCTTAACTAGCTAAGTAAATGTGGGCAGAATGCTTGACTTCTCTGAATCTCATTTTTTTTTTTTTTTTTTTTGTCAAACAAGATGAATGAACAAGATCGGTCTTTTTTGATGGGGACTTGAATGGTGTGTGGGGGGACAGTTCTTTGTGTGGGACGGTCCACACTAAATGCCAGTTATCCCCACCCATTGTTACAACCCAAATGTCACCCCCCACCAAGTATTTCTCCATGTCCCTATGGGTTGGTGGTGGAACTGTCCCTGACTGAGGACCACTGAACTAGCTTACCCTAAACTTCACTCCTGCTCTGGTGTCCTGTGTGGGTGGAAAAGTGAGGACCCAGTGGAGCAGGTAGACAAAGATCAGTTCAACAGGGCCCTCTGCTCCTTTGATATTGGGACAGCTTCACTTCCTCTGAATTAGAAGCTTCTTGACCTCCATATATTGAGGAAGGAAGGGGTTTCTAACAAATGAAGAAACAGGCTGGGCACAGTGGCTCATGCCTGTAATTCCCCTTTGGGAAGCCCAGTTCCATCTCTAAAAAAAAAAAAAAAAAAAGAAAAATTAGCCAGGTGTGGTGGTGCACACCTGTAGTCCCAGCTACTCCGGAGGCTGAGGTGGGAGGATTGCTTGAGCCGAGGTGGGAGGATTGCTCGAGCCCAGGTGTTTGAGGCTGCAGTGAGCCATGCGCATGCTACTGCACTCCAGCTTGGGTGACAGAATGAGACCCTGTCTCTAAAAACAACAACAACAAATGAAGAAACAAAGCTGATTCTGTGCTCTGGATCCCTCTTTGTCCCCTAGTCACATCTTATCATTAATATATGATACCATGGGATGGTATAGAGGCAACCATGTGGTCACCAGAAATATGCATTTGATCTCCAGTGGTGTAAACTGAAGTGTGCCATCCAGAGAAAGGAGTCACAAAGGGAGGTTTAGGCATGCCAATAAGAGAGGAGCCCAGACATGGGAAGAGTACAGCTGTGTGCCTGAAATACTTGTTGCCCTGTGTGCCAGGAACCCACGAGGTGGGTGGAGGCTTTGTTGAGATGGTTGGGCTTCACCGTGACTATCCATGTCAAGCTGGCTGTGTTTCCTTTCACACTGTCTCAACATTTCAAAGAGGAAATCCAAGGTTGGAGATGTAACTGCTGGGGACTTTTCTTTTCCAGCAGATACTCTGTGGTCCTGAGGACCACTGGCAACCAAAGTCCATCATGTCCCATTCCCATTTATTCTCCCGAGGCTGACAGCTCTAAATTATAATGCTCCTTGCTGAATACCATTAATCTTAAGCAAGCAACTTACTGCAAGTTATTAGCTGCTCACCTTGAAATCCTATGAATAAAGAAGAAAATTACCCTTCTGTCCAGAGCCCCTTGTTAATTGAATATGTGGTAGAAGAATACAGAGAGTGTCATTAATTTCAAGATACAGGAGTTTGTTGCCCCCTTTTTGTTTTTATTTTACCCTTGGATGTTCATTTAATTAAATTATTTAAATTTGGTAATGTGGGGAAGATAATATGGGGGAAGATTTTATTTTCTTCCCCAGTACCTTTAATCACAATCATCTTAGTTAAAAAGGTGTTAGTGATGCTATTGCCTGTGTGGTGCTTCATTTATAGGAGATGAATTTTGAAAAGTTTGTTGCACTTATCAGATAACTTTATGAACCTTTTGGAACATTTTAAATGAGTTTTTATGAGACTTCCATGACAATATTCTGTGTATCTCTTTGATGTGGAGAGAGGAAGATTGCAGACTTCATGGTCTGAAAAATTATGATGTATTTTTATTTACATTGGACTGATGATAGATTTCAGGTCATTTTTCCTATCAAAGATATCCTGATGAAAGTTAATATTTTGCGGGAAGATTTTATGAGTTATAATATTACCTGGATTACAGTTTTCTTGAATTACGTAAAAACGTCTTGTGAGATTGTTTTAGGGAAAAGGATTCCACTTGTCTTCAGGTCTTGGGGGAAGCATCTTACTCCCTTTGCGGAACAAGAATTTCTATGTACAGAGTGTCCTGCTGTTTCCTCTGCTTGCACTTAATTCCCTCCACCTTGCATTCTTATTGAGTTATTGAGTTATTCTGTTGAGTTATTGAGACAGCTGTGTTCCCCACTAGGTCATAAGCTCACCTGGGGTGTTTAGATATTCCCAAACCAGGTATATAGTTGATCCACAGTAAATTGTTCTCAGTCAAGCCATGTTCAATGGAAATATGTATGATTTTGCTAGCTCTGCAAAGGCACTGATTGGACCTGATACCCTCCAACTCTGATTAATGCCTCCCCAGCCTTCTGCTTTTCTCTCACCAAGACATAGCATCTTCCAGCGGGTTCCTTATACCCATCTGCCATTTGTCATTGCCATACACCGCAGAGCCTGGGGATTTGTAATGACTAAGCTCAGGTTTGGGAGATAATGTGTCCAACTTGACCAGCTCCCGTGGAGTCTTGGTGAGGTCAAGGAGAACCACATTTGGATTTTTGGGTCTTTGATGTAGTGCAAAGCCAACTTTTAGAATCAGAGAGTGTGGGAGGAGGGGTTGGGGTCTAGAGGTCATCTTGTTTACCACCTTCATTACTTGGGGTGCAGAGGAATGGATACCCAACGTAGTTAAGGTGGACAGAGCTGCTTGGTGGAATAGTGAGGTCCTTGTCACTGGAGAGGCTCTGGCGGAAGTGGAATGGAAGTCCATTTGGTTGTGACTGTTGTAGGAGGCTTTAAGTCTTGGGACAAGGCAGACTTAAGGGAGCATTAGAACAGAAGACCTTAAAGGGCTCCCTGTAGATTCTTATCTTGTCTAATTCAAGGGTGAGCGCAGTATTTACAGATTCTTCTTTGCTTTTGCTTTTCTTCTCCATGAATGACAGTCCCTTCCTTGTCATTTTTTTTCCATAGCTTCCTCTTCTTCAGTCCACTGTCTTCTCATTTTTGCCCTAAGCACTTTCCTTCACTCCTTTCTGCTCTATTTTTGTCTACATTTTTCTTTCTTTCTTTCCTTTCCTATATTTGACTTGTTAGTGAGCCCTTCAGTAGAGCCAGCTCAGGGCTGTTCTATTTGATTCCTTGTGACTGAAAGAAGAGATCTTGAGAAGAGAACAGTTAAGTGGCTGGTGGAAATGAGGTCAGTGGGAGCCTCTGTACAGAATCTGGGACACTAGGTTCTCCAGAAATGCTTATGGAATGAATGAGTTTGTAACTTCCATTCGCTTGGGCTAACATGATTTCACATTTGCATAAGGGTGAGTAGGTTGTGTTTGGTAATTCCTGCAAAAATATCATTGGAATTTTCTACCTGCTTGGAGTGCTTATCTTTTAAAATGTGAAGATAAGTGAACAGCCGCGCAGTGATGTTGAATAAGTTAGGGTGATTTTAGGGTGGGAGTTGTTTGCAGTTTTAAATGGAGAGCCCAGATTTGGAATTCACCTCCCATGATGCTGTGGGTACTGAGGAGCCACCTTAGGAGGCCTGGATTAATTCTGTTTATAGTCCAAATGAGATTCCCAGAGTGTTTGCTGAGGTCAGCCGACTTCTCAGCATTCCTGCCACTGTTACTGTGGTTGGCCTAGGAGCATGGGACCAGGCCACTCCTTTAGGGCAGGCTTGTTGACTCTCTGAAGTTTGTTTATGCAAATGAATTAACAACTGATGCAAATGGGAGAGATGGAAGGCCCCTTTAGGTGGTCCAGGCCAGCATTCCACAGAGTCCAAAAGCTCAGCCAAGCCAATTTGCAGGGTCTCATCTATTTCAATATTTAGTGCCAGGAAAGCTGACCTGTAGGTGCCGCATCCCAGGGGTTCTGTTCTGAACTCTCACTGTCCTGCGTGGAAGATCTTCTGTGCACTGGCCTGAAATTCCCTTGCTGCGCCATTTTATCTTTCTTGGTTTTAGTATGTATTGTATGGTGCTCAAAACGGTGAGATTGAAATAGATGTTTGAGGACACTGAGAATATGAAACATGCCATCACAACTGGCAGGGAAATGTTGCTTATCCTGAGTCTGCTTGTGAGCTGTGAGTTAGTTGTGACACGAGAGACCCCAAGGGTCATTGGTTTTAAAAGCACAAAACTGAAAAACTACAGAACAAAACAAACAAGCAGCTTTTCAGATTTCTTCGAAAGTATCAAGGCTGAAATAGATCAGTGTCTGGTCTTGAACCTGCAAAAAAAGTAACGGCCTGTGTGATTAGGGTCCATGCCTACCACAGGGCTGTGGCCTGTGCCCACAGACCCACTCAGCTCATGTAAAGGGATTTTTTTGGATATAGTCCTTTTCTTCTGGGCTCCGGAGATTGAAAATAAAGCTTCATGGTCCATGGAAAGGGATTGGGAACCAAGTTACATTTTGCTCAGTGGACCATGGCCTCTCATTTTGATTCTGTTTCATGCATTTATTTCACAGTTTATTACTGCACTTCGGCTATACACAGATACTTGCCCTCATGAAGCTCATGGTTTAGTAGGAAAAACAGAAAATAAATAAATAAATAAATAAAAATTAAATGGTGACTCATGCAATAAAGACAACAGAGAACAGTGATAGTAGTGTGCATGTATGCAAACGTGCATGTGTGTGCGTGCGTGCTTGTATGTGTGTGTATGTGTGTGCATGTGTGTGTGCAAGTGTGCATGTGTGCAAGTGTGCGTGTGTGCGAGTGTGCATGTGTGTGTGTTTGTGTGTGTGTGTGGAGGTGGTGATGATGGATCAGGGAAACATTTCCTATATAAGGTGGAGAAGAAAGGCCTCTCTCTGAAGAGGACACATTTCAGCCAAGATCTGAATGATAATGATTTTTCCAGGTCAAGAGTGAGGGAGAAATGGCCGAGCGTGGTGGCTCATGCCTGTAATCCCCGCAGTATGGGTGGCTGAGGTGGGCTGATCACCTGATGTCAAGAGTTGGAGACCAGCCTGGCCAACATGGTGAAACTCCGTCACTACTAAAAATACAAAAATTAGCCAGGCGTGGTGGTGGGCATCTGTAATCCCAGCTACTTGGGAGGCTGAGGCAGGACAATCACTTGGACCTGGAAGGCACGGAGGTTGCAGTGAGCCGAGATTGCGCTATTGCACTCCAGCCTGGGTGATAGAGTGAGCCTCCATCTCAAAAAAAAAAAAAAAAAAAGTGAGGGGGTAAGGATGGCCTGGGAGTAGGCCATTCCAGCAACAGGTACCCAGGCGGTTCTGCCAAGAGACCCAGAGAAGACCAGGATAATTTGCCCCTGGGCTCTGTTGACCTTCAGAGAGAGGCTTCCACATCAGACCCAATAGGAGCAGAAGTTTGTTGATTCCCAGTACAAAATAAATTACTGAGTAAACGTCAAAATATAATTAACAGTTAGTGTATATGATAAACATATTCTTGATTCAGATTAAGTCTTAATGGCCAGATTTAGGGCCACTCGGAAGCACAGTTTGGAATGCCAAAATATTGCTGCTGTTTTGGAATGCCAAAATATTGCTGCTGTGCACCTCCTCTGTGTTGATCATTTTGTCCTAGGAGGGCCAAGAAATCTCCCTTCCTCCCTGACTACCTCCCTCCCTCCCTCCTTTCTTCCTTCCTTCCTCCTTTCAGTTCAGCAATATCAGCCAAGGGCAGATCAGTGAGTAAACCCTTCTTCTGTTGGAATCAATTTAGCTCAGTAGAAGCTTTTTATATAAAGTCTGGCAAGTGTACATTTTAAAGCTTCTATTCTGTTTAAGAAACCAAATTTTCATCAAACTTGAACTCAGCTGGAAAGATGAGTAGATTTTATTATTTTGCCATGCCAATAGATTCCAGTCATTCTCTAGGCTTTGTCAGATGTTTTAAACTAAAAAAAAAATGACAGGTGGAGTAATTTTTATGAACCTTATGCTGAATTATCAGAGACCTTATGTATTGATAGAGAGAGCCTAGACAGGGGGCCTGACCGTCCGACTCAGGGAGGAGAAAGCGTGTGGACCAAATGTTCCTGAAGGACCTTACACATCTGGAACTTTGAGGATTCCCTATTTTAGGTACTTTGATGGAAGTTTCATGAGCCTTCTGTTTACATTTTAAAGATGATGACTTTTTTTTTTTTTTTTTTTTTTAGGAATAGCTAGATGATCCGGGAAGTTGCTTACTGAGGCTTTGTCATGAGGCATCAGTTACTTTGCTGTGCCAAAGTGATCTTGATGGGTTACTGTGAGAGGAGCCCAAGGAAGAGCTTTGATGATTCTTAAACCAAATTCTCGAGTGCTATCGGGTACATTCTGACAGGCCCTGCAGTCTTCGTGGTTGTAGTTTTCTTGGGTGGCAGGGCTGACCCCTGGCAGTGGCACGATTCACTCTGGAATGCATTCAGAGCCATTGGAGATCATGCTGCCCTAAGTAAATCACTGTCACTGAGGAAGGGCATGTTGTTTATAAACACCCAGATTCCAGATATGAAATATTTTATCTCCAACTCTATTGGAAAAAATTATAATCTAAAATGATTATTAATTAAAACAACTCAGATGTCTCTTGACACTGAGAAGCACAGATGATTAGGTAAGGTGGGACTCACAAAAAGCTTAAAGGTTTAAACTGTTCAAGCTACCAGCCAGAGGGTGAGGAGCAGAGTTCTGACTCTTCAGTTTGGAATGTTTTGCTAGCCCAAGGTCTGCTTCTCCAGGACCATGGTCTGTGGCTCTAATGGCATGCCACTTCCATGGGATATCTTCCCACTGAACTTTGGATTATTCGAGGCTGAACTTCTTGGTCCCTGTCTCTTCCCATGTCTGTCTGCCTGCTCCTGCTGACCATTTTCCTCTATCTTCTGTCCTTCCTGTCTGTCTGCATCTCCAACATTCATGCCTGTCTCTGGATGTCCTTCTTTCCTCAACTGGAGCCTACAAAGATCTCACTGTCTCCTTCCTTTTCTCCCGACTCTGGCCATCTCCTCTAAATGGCCAAAGAGAAAGCTCTCTCTTATTTCCACGGATGGCCTGACCATGGATCTGTCGAGCATTTTCCTTGCGAGCACTCCTTTGCACAGAAGAGCGGTCCTTTGCGGTGTTTGCCCTGCAGGTCTGCCCTGCCAGTGCCTCCTTCAGGCATTCACCACTCCACTCTCCCCTTCCACACCCAACAATGCTGTTTACTCTCCGTGGGCTGCCAGTGTAAATCCACATTGAAAGGTGTTCATTTGATTTGGCAGAAAACGTGTTATTCATATTAGGCCTGTGCACTTGTTTTCGGTCGAGCCTTTGACATGTAGTCTTTGGCAAGCCCTGGTTGCTACACACAGCACTGCTGCAAGCTGCTTGGATGTGACAGTATTGTGGGTTTCCCCCCTCTCTGGAAATGTAAACTCTCCCTAAATCTAAAGACTCCCTCTCCCTTTGTTGTACATTTTAAAATGTGGTCTCGCTTCCTGAATGGCCCACTACATATAGGTGGGGATGACGTAAACCCAGCTGGGCAAGTGCGGGCCTAGAACCCAATGCTAAGTACATGGAGAAGGTGACTACTAATTCTATATAACATATTTTGCAGAGTAAACCTTAGTTCTAGAATAAAAGTATGTGAATTAGATTGAAACATGAAACTGTTGATATTTCATCATTTTTGACTTAACAAAACTGCCCATTTCATATGATTCAACCTACTAGTATTGAATGACTAGAAGGCAGGGTGGACATTGTTTACAATAACTCTTTGCTTTCTATTTCATTGATTCATTTCTTCAAGGTACATCTATTGATCATATTTTCTATGCTGAACATTTTAGTAGGTATTGGGATTACAAAGAGAAATCAAGTTTCTTTCCTTCCCTCTAGCCAGGAAGACCAACACTTAACCAAATCCAAAACATGTCAGGTGCTTCAAGAAGGGCCTCTCTGAGAGAGCTGAGGGCAGGATGGGGTGACCAGCTATCCTGGTTTGCCCAGAACTGTCCCAGTTTTAGCACTGAAAGTCCTGGGCACTAAAGGAACTGGGACCAGTTCATACTAAGGGATGGGGGCATTTATGGCTCTTTGCAAAAATAACAGCTCTGTGACCTGAAATGAAGCCCATTCCTCCACCTTGGGAGAGGCAAGGAGTACATCAGCAATATGAAAGCTCCATGAAGTCTCAGAGTGGAGAAAACTGTTTAATTTGTTTAACCAGAATTTCTCTGACTTATTTGATCTTGGAACCCTTTTTGTGCTTAACATTCTGCAAACATCTTTGGGTCCTCCCCTCTTTGTCCCTTGGGGAAAAATTATATCATTCTCTATCCTAAAGTGCACATTATTACCTTGTATTATTAGCCTTCTCCATGATTTGGGCAACAATTAGTATTAAAATAGCCCATCACAAGAAAATTTAATAATAATGCAATTTTAAAAGGTTTTTCAGAAGGTTGCTAATGTGCTGTGATGGGTTATGAGTTACCACAAGGCTGCTTTTTTTCTGGCCGACACACACAGAACCAGGCTGCTTGCTCACTCTTTCTGCAAGTGAATTTTTTGCACCAAAGGCAGAAGCAAGTTGTTATGGAAACGGAAACAGTCTCCCCATCTGAGAACAGCACCTTGCTAATAATTAGAGAACATGGCTGAGCAAACTTTAGTGGAAATGATTAATCTTTGCAAAGCACAGGTACGTCTAAAAGATTGAACAGGTGTTGTTTGGCCTTTGCACTTTCCAGCCCCAGAAAATTTTAATTTAGAAAGAGCTGAGGAAGCTCAGGCTTTGAGTCTTTACTGACTTTACAAAAGAAAGTCATCCTTTAATATAATAGTAATTGGCTAATTTAAAATTTTAAAGATCTCTCCTAAGCTTATAGAGTGTCAGCGTGGTTTGTAAATCCCTGTGAGCTTGTTAAAATGCAGATTCCTGGGCCTCTGGACCCACTGGGGGATGGTTTTGGAATTTGATTGCTTAACAAACTGTCCAGATGTGTTTGATGCTAGCTAATTGGAGCTGGTCCTTGCTCTAGGTTAGGTATCGGTAAACATTTTCTGTAAAGAGATGGATAATAAATAGTTTAGGCTTTGCAACTCTATATATTTGTAGCACGACAGCAGCCAGAGACAGTACATAAAGGCAGGGACATGCCTGTATTCCAGTACAATTTCATGTACAAAAACAGGCAATTGTAGGAAACTATGGCCCCATGGAGGAATTTGGCCATAGTTTGCTGATCCCTGCTGTAGGATGTGCTAAGTGCTGCCCAATTGTTGGGACTTCCATTTTCAAAAGTATTTGTGTTAAAAGCCAGCCATCCATACAGACTCCCCCTTCAGTCCTACCCACAGACAGGCAAAAAGAAGATGCCTTTGCTAGGTGAGGGGAGACGGTTTTGAACGATTTGATGGCAAACCATTCTGATAACCACAGTTGCTGAGATGGTTTTTAAGTGGGTTGGGATCTTCTTGCCACCTTTCTTAATTGTGGATGAGGTGATTTCCTGGTTTGGGGGTTATTACAAAAGTAGAATGATGAGCTTGAACTATTTTTTTTTTGAGACAGAATCTCGCTCTGTCGCCCAGGCTGGAGTGCAGTGGCGCGATCTCAGCTCACTGAAAGCTCCGCCTCCCGGGTTCGCGCCATTCTCCTGCCTCCGTCTCCTGAGTAGCTGGGACTACAGGCGCCCGCCACCACGCCTGGCTAATTTTTAGTATTTTTTGGTAGAGATGGGGTTTCACCGTGTTAGCCAGGATGGTTTCGATCTCCTGACCTTGTGATCCACCCGCCTTGGCCTCCCAAAGTGCTGGGATTACAGGCGTGAGCCACTGTGCCTGGCCTGAAGTTGGACTATTTTGAAGAAAAATGTCAGGTTTTTCTGGAAGGAGGAGATGGACATTTGGTAGTGGCAGTGTTGGTGGAGGCATCGATTTTTGAGGTATTGTTACCCTTGGTTTCTGCCTCATTTGCTGCTATAGGCCTTTTGGTTGAGCTTCAGCTGTGTCTGGGGCAGGGGGTTTTGAAGTGAGGCACGGCCAGCTCCATCTGCACAGTTGGATTTGTACCTATCCCCTGACTTCCCAAGACATTGAAACTCTTCTTTGAGAGTTCAGACAATTCAGTGACTTAAGTTTTTCTTGCCATTTCAAGTGCCACCATAGCACAGACTGTGTCACACACATTGTAGCTGGTTTTTCATTGCTTTTAAAATGCTTTTGAAGTGAAAGGGGGCCCCATTGTGTAAGTGTTCATAGTTAGCATTAGCAAATGGACTTGTAGGGGCCATGGGGGATGTTTCCTCTGGCCCTCTCAAGATTTGCTGAGAAATTAACTCTCAAGAGGCAGATTAAGGCCGGGCGCGGTGGTTTACGCCTGTAATCCCCGCGCTTTGGGAGACCGAGGCGGGCGGGTCATGAGATCAGGAGATGGAGACCATCCTGGCTAGCATGGTGAAACCCCGTCTCTACTAAAAAAAAAAATTAGCTGGGCATGGTGGCGGGCGCCTGTAGTCCCAGCTACTCGGAAGGCTGAGGCAGGAGAATGGTGTGAACCCGGGAGGCAGAACTTGCAGTGAGCTGAGGTTGCGACACTGCACTCCAGCCTGGGGTGACAAAGCGAGACTCTGTCTCAAAAAAAAAAAAAAAAAAAAAGCAGATTAATTGGAGAAAGTGCATATACATTTATTTAATCATTGTTTTATGTTATACAGGCGCCCTCGGAATGAAGACCCAGCCCCCAGTGGGGTGCAGAAGCTGATATACCATCTTGAGGTTACAGAAAGAATAGGGGCTTGGCAAAACAGGTCATTGGAGGGGAAGAAGAGGAATTTTGTTGTGGTGCAGTAAATGATTACAGGGAGAAGTCAGTGGGCTTGAAGAGCATACAATGTCTGGGACAATGTCTTTTGGGCCCAAAGAGTGGACCATTCATTGTTTGATATAAAAGTCTGTCCAGGTGTGTTGGCAGACTTTAGTCTTCCTTCCTGAGATATGGGTTCAGTTAATGAAAACTCAGGGAAGGGACTGGAGGGAACTGTTTTCTTCTTTGGTATATCCAGACTTTAGGCTGATAAGGAACTTCAGAGAATACTGTGCATTGCCTAGCTTTGAGGGTCCTTTTCAGTTCAACATGCACAAAGCACTGTATTTTGGGGTGTCAGTTTCTGAGCCCCAACACACTTTTTCACATTTTATTGTGTTACACTGGCTGTGGAGTTGATTTGTCCTATGTGCATACATCCAACCAGATTATTGGCTTTTCTTCTTTCCTCGCTCCAGGATTCTGTTTTTCCAAATGGTTTGCTTAGTTTCAAATTTCCCTTTTATGTGTTTAAGGAAGAAACAGTTCTCCTGGACCACAGCCATGAATGCCTTGACTCATTCTGCCTTCGATGTATTTCTTTTCACGTCCTTGAAGCTTTTCTTTTTGTGTGGCAGCAATTCCTTGCTGTTATCTTATTTTCTGATTTCTTTTGAAGGGATAATGATGGTGGCCAATTTGTGCATTTTATAATGTTTTAATTCACGTGTGCTCCTACTAAAGCTGATACTGGAAACAAGTGGTATGCACACCTGAGTTGTTCTGATTCAGCCTTAAAATCTGTTTCCCACGTGAGTCTGTATATTGTGGTGTCATTAGCTTGTGTAGCTTTTTGTTGTCATTGTCATCTCACTCATAGCAATACAAAAACATTTTCTTTTGACATATTTATATCCAGTTTCAAAACTACCCTATACTTATTCATTACCAGGTGATTTAAAGCCTTCCTTTGTTGATTTTTTTTTTGTTAACCTTGGCTTTTAGCAGTCCATGGACTTTGCCTAACCTGCCCCCAGGAAGTGTTGCTTTCTCCTTTGGTTGGGGTTGGGGGAGTGCTCTGGAGGTGTTGGTGGTGATTATTTCAGGCAGCCCAGTGTGGCATTAGGGAGCTGGAGTCAAAAGTTAGAAGGGCCTTGGTTTCCAGTATAGCCCCATCCTGGCTGGGTGACCCAGGGCCTGAGGCTCCTTCTTTGCAACTTGGGGATGATAGTAGGTTACTGGGAGGCAGCTGTATCAAATGTGTGTGAAATGTTGAGCTTATGCCTTCCAAAGAGTGAGTCCCCCATAAATGGTAGCTGTTAACATGATGCCAAGGAAAAGGTTGGTAAATCCATTGTATCTGCTCCACAGCATGAGTCCCTTCCTACAAATTCCACTTCTCCCAGTTCCTTAAGCATAAATACCATCTATCTAACTATGCCAGTTCTCATGAGCCCAGGCTATTTTTGACCTAAAGTGCTGTGCCTTGTTACAATTTCAGCCTTTAAATTCCGGGTTTTTTATCTGTGGCTTGTTATTTTGGGTCTTGGACCAACATTATTTTACAAGAAGAATTTGGCAGGACGTCTTCAGTTTCCTCAGTTTCACTCCTAGTAACAGAAATGGTAGGTAGAACAGTCACATTTCAGGACTAGGTTGCTGCCCATCCAGGAGCGGTTTTATCAATCTCTGAAAAAGCTAACTCCTCGGGCTTTTTTAATGGAGTAGTTCACTTTGGAAGACTATTGGCTTTGGTGAATTATCCTGCCCCCACACTTGCATCCTGCAGTTACAAAGCTTCCTTACGAGTTTCATTTTTAGGAAACGTCTTTACTTCTTTAGTGAAAACCATCATATATGGTGATGATGCTATTTCAAAAGTTGATCAAGGGCCTGAGACAAATGCTGTGTGATGGGTGCGGAGTGCTCTACTTCACGCTCTTCTGATTGCTGCTGAGGCAACGTTTTCTTAATTTCACTGGTTTCTGTGTGGTTGGATTCCTGCTTCTTTGTCCCCTATATTTATCTTTAACCTCAAGTGAATGTTGCTGCCTTTGTAGTTCATGAGCAATGTATACTCTTGAATTCCAGCTCTGTGAAATCGGTAGAAAATGAGGTAAGGATAATTTTTTAAGAAGGATTACCTTATTCAAAAATATTACCTTATTTCCACGGATCTGTCATCTGTTTCCATGGAAATAGAATTAGGAGATGGTTTCTGACGATCATTTTCAAGGCTGGCTCCTGATCCTCACTCCAGTTTCCATAGAGATGGAAGCAAAACTAGCAGAAGACAAGGTAAAAAGGAGTCTGTAAAGTAGTAAGCTGGAGAGCTTCCTTGCAGAGAGGAGCTGTCCAGACCCTTCTCTGGAGGTTACTATGTGGTCAGTTTGGTCATGAACCCTCAGTGATGCTAAGACTCAGGGTTAGTACTCAGAAAATAGCCTTTGCCCTAAGATGAGAAGCTCTGCTGTTCTCAACCCTTATTTTTGTCTTTTAGAGTTGGCTTTAGATACGGCTTCAGCCCTCTGGGGTACCTACCTTGGCCTCCTTTCTGGAGTTGTCTCCAAGGCAGTTGAGATAATCAGGTATTGATTGCCTAGCGATTTTGGTAACTCTGGTCTCCCAAGGTGGACAGGAAGAGAGAAGCCAGCATTTGCCTACCCAGAGAGTCAGCCTCCTGAGTCTCCACACTGGCAGATGCCTTTGGATTTTCTGTGTGCTTTAGTAAGCAGACACACGAAGAAAAAGGCGAAGTTGAGTGGCATCGTCACCAACTGAGCTGTGCTTTGCTGTTTCTGAGGGCTGTCTTGGTTGTTTGCCTGGAAATTATGAAATTGGCTTTATGCTTTTACTTAAATCCAACCAGTCTGCATCTTTAACAGAACAGTTGGTCAGATGCCGACTAATTGATACCATCAACAGAAATAATCTGTCAAAATAAAAACTGATGTCCTTTGAAGAAAGCAGTTTTAAAATAAATAAGGATGAAATGGGATGGATGAATGGGATTTTCCTCCTTTGGATCCAGGGCTTTTGGTTCTGGGCTACAGAGGGGCAGAGTCTGGGACACAAACAGATGAGGCTGCCTAGTGAGGAGTTGGTTTCCAGATCTGTGAAAAGCCTCTGTTTGGAAGGCACTATAGGTGACAGCCTTGAAGCTTCATTTGCATAGCAAACTTTTTTTTTTAAATTTAGCATCTATATTGATGTGAGTTGGTGGCTGACAGTACCCAGCACTGCCTCTGCCCACACCGTCAACCTTTTTGGGAGGAGAGGGGTTAGTAGTGGCTTGAAGCCCTACCTTGAGAGGCTGTACATAGCTCATCCTGAGAAGGTCCTGTGACCCTCATCAGAGGCCCAGCACCTTTTTGATTTTGAAAGAGGAAAAAGGGAAAGAGAAATAGCCATGAAAGAATCTTCTTTGCTGAAGATTAAACTGTTTGACTCAAAGTAGGAATGTGACCGCTTGCATCGTCTGTCAGTACCTCAGAAGTTGCCTGTGGATTACTGACATGCAGAAGGATCTGGAAGGCTGGGCCTTTGGGCAGTCTTGCTCTCTTCTGGCTCTCCCAGAAGAAGCTCCTTCTGCAGGAATTCTGTTGCTACTCTTGGGGAACCTTTCTCCCATGATCCAGCTAGATTCTTGGGTCTGTCGGTGATTGGCTGAGATGTTATGTTCTAAGGCAGCTGTCTACGCCCTCATGCCTCCTGCCCAGTGGTGGAGGAAACGCGTAATTGGGGGAATTTTGCTGGGATTCCCTGCGATGGACTGAATGCTTATGTTCCCTCAAAATTCATATGTTGAAGCTTAATTCATATTTATATGTTAAAACCGAATTTGTATTCATATGTTGAAGCCTAATCCTCAATGTGGTGGTAGTTGGAGATGAGGCCTTTGGGAGCTAATTAGGTCAGAAAGGTGGAGCCTTCATGGTAGGATTAGTGCCCTTATAAGAAGAGAGATCTGTGAGGACACAATGAGAAGGTGGCTATCTACAAACCCGGAAGCGAGCCCTCACCAGGAACAGAATTGGCCAGCGACTTGATCTTGGGCTTTGAGCCTCCAGAACTGAGACGTGTATGTCTGTTTTTAAGCCACCTAATCTATGGTATTTTGTTATGGCAGCAGAAACTAAGACATCTTCCAAAATTCTTCAGCAGGGTCTGTGGGTTGTGGCCGGGGCTATCAGTATGCCTTGGAATTTCTTAGCCTTAATTTCTGAGAAGGTTTCATTTTTTCTTCCTTTTTTTTTTATTTTTGCATTTTATGTCTTAGCTGATGTTCTTTTTTTTTGGTTTTCTTTTGTCTTTTGCCTTTTTTTTTTTTTTGTTAAACCTTATTTGGGAAGAAAAGGAAAATCTTCCAGAAATGTGAGTGTAACATGATGAATGACCTTAGCTTGATGTAGTGGCTCTACATTTCTGAAACCCTTGCCCAACAGTGGCAGGAGGTGACTGGGGTACGTGAGGCTTTCAGTTGGCCAGGTGGGAACCATGCTCAGGCCCATCTGCTGTGCACTTGCTTTGTGACATGTGTGACACCAAGTGCATGACCTTGCTTTGTCCTCACAACAGCCCGAGAAGTCAGACGTAGAGTGGGCACACAACAAAGATCTGTCGACCGAGTGAATGAGTGCTACCATCTGCATTTCAAAGATAGGAATCTGAGGCTCATGACTGATGTCAGCCCAGCTCCCATAGCCAATGTCACTGAGATACATCAACCTACTACTGAAGCTAAAGTCCCACTTGGACTTCCCTTAGTCCAAGGAGGCCCAGAGCACAGAGCTGGGATTAGTCAGTTCTCCCAGCTGCCAGCCACTGCCCCCAGCCCCAATCATTGTTGGTAGCTATATATGTAGTTTCTGTCTTGTCTTCCTTTGAGGCTCAAGTCATATATTGCTGCTTCTTCTGAGTCTTCTAAGCACCATACCTGTCTCTTGCCCTAACAGACCTGGCTGTTGCCCTGCTGATATCCTGGGATGTACTTGGTCAGTGACCCTAGAGTTGGGCATATTGCATGCACTAAGCCTGTACTTGTCTGCTCAACCTTCCACCCTGGGCAGCTTTTGAGGGTAAGGGCTGTGTCTTGCTCTCTATATCCAGTAGGGGCTCAGTAAACATTTGCAAAAGGAGGCTACCTGATAGATGTTAACCTTCAGTAGATATCTCTGAGCTGGTAGACCATCTGGTTGCCCTTGTCATGATGAATAACAAAGGCTTCTTAGGGTTCCTGCCCCCCACCATATATAACAGGAGGCTTCCCTCTTCTCTGTGACTGGTGGATGGTTCTAGCCTGAGTGGAAACAGCTGACACTGAGAGTATTCACCCTTCACTTACTGTGAAAAAGGGTTTGGTTGCAGGGTCATTAATCAAGCTGTCAGGTAGAACATGAAGGTCTTATTTATTATATAAGGAGGCACTTTATAAATAAATTGAGCTATGGTGATGAATAGATATTGGACACCAATTATGTTGCTGCTATTAATCAAGATACTCATATTTAGCAGTAACAACAACCATGAGGGGTTGTAAAAGTAAATAAACTTCCCTAAGGATGAATTGTACCATTCAGTGATTAACCTCTCATTATGAACATTGGCTACTTACAAATTAGACTTGTAGAAAAGTTAGTAATAACCCTGCATTCAGACAATAGGTATGGGTAGGCATAACATAAGGAGACATTACGAATTATTTTTAAGTAATTCCAAATATATTCTTGGGTTTAAAATGTATGTGCCTGTTAAAATCTGCCCTAACATAGACCTCCATTAGAAAATTTAAAGATTTTTTTTAAGAGGTCAGAGTTAATGTGACTTGCTTCATTTTCACAGCTGACAGGGGCAGAGTCAGGATTTGAACCCATCATCTATACTTAAAAAATTTTTTGAGGTGCTTTCACGTAAATTATTTCATTTACTTTTTAAACAATTCTTGCGAGCTGGCCAGGTTGCACATGCTTCTTATTGAAGAAGTAATGGGTCACTGGTTGACATAGGCTTTGGAGTTGATTCCCTGTTTTGGCCCAGTTTTCTTGTGATAGGACCCCCTCATGGCATGATTATAAGAGAGAAATGAAACCGTGGGTGTCCTGGGAGAGCCTGACACATAATAAGCTGTCAGAACACATGAGCTGTTTTTAAAATTATATTTATAATGGTTTGAAGCAAATACCTCAATTTGGAAGCTGGTTTTGATACTTTTAATAATCTAGTGGGCTTGAAATGTCGATAAATACACCCTTCTGTAAATGTATTTACAGGCAACAATATTTATCAAAGTTAGGTTTTAGATTGCCCCAGAGCTGAAGTTATAAAATAATTTTAATGCAAATACTTGTGTTTTCTATGCTAGGACTTATGAAAAATGACAGTGTTTTGGGTAAGCCACTTAGCAGTACAGCCTTGTCCAACACTCCCTGAGAACTCATCAGCATTCAGTAATCCTGTCAGAATGGAAAAATCTTTTTGCTTTAAATGAGATTTTGCTTGATTGGTATTTTTATTTTGGAAATCCAATTTTAGCTTTTTGTCTCACTTGATAATGAGTTTTTTGATAAATATTGTCACCCTTTATTGTAAGCATAAAGAAGAGGTAACAAATGGCTTTCTGTAATGTGATACTGTAATAAATAAAATCAGATGCCAGGAGTCCGCTCGTCACTGGCATAAATAAATGCATTCCTTCCTATTGGGCAGATGGGAACAGGATGTTGATTCTGAGTTGGTAAAACTTTGATTCCCATTCCTTTGAAAAATCCAACGAATGGCTTTATTTTCACATCTAATGTTTCTTCTGTAGTCTGAAACAAATGTTACTACGTTATTTGATTTAGAGTGACTATGTTAGATAACTCTACCAGTTAATTTGGTTGGGTTTTACTTTGCTGTGGCTGAGTGCTCTGCACTTGCTGTGGTTGGTGGTTGGGAAAGTGGGCCCTGGGCGATCACTTCCTCTCTGTGGGTTTCCACTGGGATGGCAGAAACTGCTTATCATGCCACAGGCTGGAAAATAAATCCTGGAAGCACCATATAGCTCAAGAGACAATTTGAAAATAACAATCAGAGTCATGAATAGAAGCCGATGCACAAATTCAGTTAACAAGCAGAGGAACTAATCTATCAGACATTGGGTGGAAAGCCTATTTCTGAGTTTATTTCACAGCACATTATGACATTTCTTTAAATCACAACTTGTCCCCATGTAAAAGATATAATCTACATATTCCTGTGGGAAATAATCAGAGACAAAGCTTTACTGTATTTGTCGTTTCTGAAGTTGACCTCATTCCCCCCCCAAAATATTTTTCATGTTGTGAAATGTAATTTGCTTGACCCCAACAAAATTGGAATAAAAACCATCACAATTACCGGTGGTTAAGAAAGTGGAATTGAGTTTGGGAGAATTGAGGCATAAAGAAAATTTTTTTTTTTTTTTTTTCTATTCAGAAAATATATTGAAAGAAATGCAGAGAGACTTCAAAATTCCATAGTAGTTTGCACCTAATTCTGGTTGATAGGGTTTTAGTGTTTGGAGTGGTAAGCAGCTGTGGGGTTTGTGGTGGCCTGCCCTCTTGCAGGCTGAGAGGGAACTGGGGCCTGTGAAGAAGAGGTGACCTGTTTAGTGTCACATAGCTGATTGGTGGCAGGGTTAGATCTGCATCCTGGCCCATATACTTGGGTGCTTTTTGCCAACGCGCCTTTTTCCTTTCTAAAACTTTTACTTTCAGGAAGCCCATAGATTAAAAAAAAAATCTGTGTATTGTGTTCTCTCAATTTCTAGGTTCACATTTGCCTGAGTTTAATAAGAGCCTGGCTGGGTACGGTAGCTCACGCTTGTAATCCCAGCACTTTGGGAGGCTGAGGCGGGTGGATCACCTGAGGTCAGTAGTTCCAGACCAGTCTGGCCAACATGGTGAAACCCCGTCTCTACTAAAAATACAAAAATTAGCCGGACATGGTGGCGCATGACTGTAATCCCAGCTACTCGGGAGGCTGAGGCAGGAGAATCACTTGAACCTGGGAGGCAGAGTTTGCAGTGAGCTGAGATTGCGCCACTGCACTCGAGCCTCAGCAACAAAAGCGAAACTCCGTCTCAAAAAAGAAAAAAAAAAAAAAAAAAAAAAAAAAAAGAAGAGCCTTACTTCCTTTCATTTGAAGCAAAGTGGAATTACCTTGACTGTGGAATCAAAAAGCAGGAATCATCTGCTTTTTCCATGGCATGCATTCCGGTGCATTTGTGATGGTCTTTTTCAATGAGACACAGCTGTCCCAGGTCAAGCTTGAAGGCAGGGTAATTGTCATGAGCACAAGCACATGTTGTTTTCTATCTCTTTGAGTGCAGGAAATAAGTACTCTTACAGAGTTGGGAAAACAGAGTGATCAGAGATTCAGGCTGATTGGGGAAAGCTGGAGCCCTAGAGGTTCTGTCGGAACATTTGGCGCACACTTGACAAACCCTTCAGGCTGTGCGCTGCCTCTGGTCATTGCTGCAGCCCCAGACTACAGGTAGGCAATGTTTATATAATTGAGTGAATAGTAGCCACTTCCTATGTGTGTTCACTTACTCTGTGCTAAGGCCTTAAGCCCTCCCCCATCCTCCCATCACCAATTTTAGAGGCATAGAAATGAAGTATTAGAGAGTCTGGGTCATTTGCCCAAGATCATGAGCTTAGAGTCCTGAGGTCTGGGTTTGAACCCAGGCTGTGCTTAGCATTGGCTATAGGAGAAAAGGACATTTGTCTCCCCAATCCCCAGAGCATACATAGGCCTTAGTGCAGCCCCTACCTCATCTTTCCCTTGCCTTCATGGCTGGCTGACATGTGAAATGGGCCATCCCATGGGGAAGTACTTTATGGTTTATGTGGGTTATTATCATACTCGATGGCATTGAATCCATTTGGGGACATGAGGTTCTTCAGTTCTTATCTCTTCTTGGTTTGCATTTCTTTGTTTTTTCTTTGATTCAGAGTAGTTAATGTGGGTGAAATGGAGGGAGGTTGCCTCTGGAACTGAAATTCTGGAGTTTTCTGGAGCAAACAATGGAATGTTGCAATGTTTATCTCTGTCAGCAACATTCTGAGGTGAGAGCCCCAACCATTTCTAGTATTAGCGAGGGTAATGACTTCTTAGTGACCAGGGACGTAGGCTAGGTAGGGAAGCCCTTACGGGAGGATTCATTTGGCGTTGTGTGACTACCCCAAAGGTCTGAGCCAAAGGTCCTGTGCCTTAGAAGTGGGAGGGGTTTGTGTATGTTTCCTGTAAGTTCTGTTCATAAATGCTGAAATTCTTCTGTTGACAGGATAGTAATGAACCCATTGGTTAGAAGGTTGAAGTAATGGAAAAACCTGTTTCAATACCATAAGTTGTGATTGTTGTACTTTTCAGATTGCAGTTCTTCTAAATGGCTTATAGAAGTTTCCAAGCTCTGCTTTGCCCTGACACATAAGCTCTTTAGGGTACAAAAAGAAATACTTACATCAGAATTGAACTTTTTTTTTCTGGCAGAAGAGGAGCTTTTGGAACACAAAAAGATTTTGGAGCAAAGAATTTTGAGAAATTCTACTTTAATTTTTTCCCAAGTATTTGCACATTAAGGGCTCTTAGAAGTCCTTAAAAAGAAGCCTGCTTAATTTTACCCTGGCATCTCTCAAACTTATTTAAGATCCAAAATTTTAATTTGTCTGCAGCACACTTCTAGAATGGGGCTTTAGATTTTTAGAGGTCAGTAACATGACATCTAAAGGTTAAATTATGTTTATTCACGAACATATTATTCTATAGATTCAACACTAAATCCTGTAGACCAAAGGATCAACACATTTTTTCTTTAAAGGGCCAGGTAGTAAATATTTTGGGCTCTCTAGGTCTCTGTTACAAATACTCGACTCTGCTGTTGTTGTGTGAAAGCAGCCATAGACAATATTAAATGATGGACATGACTGTGTTCTAATAAAACTTTATTTACAAAAACAAGCAGCAGTTGGATTAGGCTTGCAGGTCATAGTTTGCCAATCCTGTGTTAGATCTGATGACCTGGTCTGCTGATCACACTGCTGCACATTCCCTGCTGTTCCTCTGGAGGTAATGCATACCTCCTCCTTTGATTCAATAACCCCTACTCAGCCTCCCTAACTTGCCTTAAGCATCTCTCCCTCAGAGGTTTTCTTGCATTCCAGGACAGCATGTGGTTTGCTCTCCCATCCTCCCCCAGATCTCTATTGTATCCTCTGTTCCAGCCCTAAGCAACTGTGCTGCCATCACTCCTTTCTTTACCAGTCCTGGCACCAACTTTGAGCTCTTGGAGGGCAGAGACCTTATTACTAGTCTGTATCTCCAGCCCTGAGGATGGGAATGAGGGTGAGGATGGTGTACCCAGCAAGTTGCAGACACTCACTGTGAGCTTGGTGAATGAATATGATGTTGCAATAACTTGATACAGTGTTGTGTTGTGTTTTGCTTGGATGAAATTTTAGAGTTAATAGTAAGTATAGCAGGAGGAAGTGTTCTTTTCAAATAGTAATTTTAAGTATCCCCAAAGACACAGATCGGTTGGGTGAATCTAGGGGTGAATTCCACATCCTCCCAAGATATATGCATCTTGGGTGAAGAAAGAAAGAAATGAGGCTAGTGTGCACTGTGGTAAATTATGCATGTAAAACAGAAAAGCTGGGTGAAAATGATAATTTAGGGGGCATTGGGGAAGTATTTGAAAGATCTGAAGGTGTATTTTTCTCCTTCTTTCTTTACTTTTTAGAGATTAAGTGATATAGACCTTTTTCTCTTTTCACCCAGGCCTTTACAATATTTTTTCTGGTAATTTCTCTTCATACTACATGACTGCTCTAATTACATCTCTAGTTTTAAGATAATAGAACTGCATTTTTTAATGTGCTCTCTGCTGTGTCTGGATTTATGATATCTCTCCTTCCTTATGTCTTCTGAAAAAAAAAATTAACTGAGTTAATATTAAAATAAAGTGGGTGAATTAAATGGGAATGAGACCTTAAAATCTGAGATCCAACCCAAAATGCTCACCAACGGCAGGCCTCTCCATCTCTGAAGCCAGGACAGCGTTGCTCCTGCCTTCCTCCATAATGGGAAGCCCTGCCAAGCTCCAGGTGTGGCCATGACCCTGAGTTGGCCTAGTGAGGAGGGAAAGGAAAGGCTGGCCTGATGTTCCCAGAGGTCTGAATGCCATTCATCTACAAGAGACACTGTGACCACTTTTTCTGAGTCTGCTGCTGGGAATCAGATAATCTCTCGGCATTTTGGGCTCCTGCTGCTGCTGTCCCTGGGAGTGCTGTAGGACGCGGTGACTTTCAGAGTCTTGCAGGGAGAGCAGGTCCTGTGTTGATGCCATTGCTGATGAACGGGGTGACCTTGGAAGAGTCACTTGACATCTTGGCCTTCAGCCTCCAGATGACTGTATCTGTGTCTGGAGGGATTGATAGGCCTCCTGGGCTGTCTTAGATGTTAGCAAATAAAACTTAATATACTCGGTTGAATACCACCAAGTCTGTCTCTTGCTTTGATCTCATAGCAACTGGGTAGACAGAAACTACAGAGATTTTAAAGGCTTGACAATTGAAATAATTGAACACCGCACTTGTGTTCTTAATTTTGTTAAAATACAGGCCCTTTCTTCAAGGAGAGCACATCTGAATAAAGGAAGTAGACACACAAACCCAGAACTGCAGGGCTGGAGGGTAATGGGATCTATGAAGCACTGTGGGGTGTGGAGGAAGGCATCGCTAGTTGTCTGTCTGGAATGGGGACTGGCAGTCAGGAAGGGCTTCCCGGGTGAGCTCATGATTGACTAGGGCAGCAGTCCCCAACCTTTATGGCACCAGGGACCAGTGTTGTGGAAGACAAATTTTCCATGGATAGAAGGGGTACAGGGATGGTTTCAGGATGAAACTGTTCCGTCTCAGATCATCAGGCATTAGTTAGATTCTCATAAGGAGCGTGCAACCTGAATCCCTCGCATGCACAGTTCACAATAGGGCTCATGCTGCTATGAGAATCTAATGCCACCGCTGCCACTGATCTGACAGAGGTGGAGCTCAGGTGGTAATGCTCACTTGCCCCTGCTCTGTGGCCGGGTTCCTAACAGGCCACAGACCAGTACCGTGGTCCGTGGTCCGGGGGTTGGGTGTTTAAGGATGACCTGATGTTTATCATACAGGGAGGGAGGGTGCCAGGCACTCTTATCAAAGAGAGTCGAACTCCAAAATAACTGTCAGGTCCACAGACAGAGCATCAGGGGATCAACATGGGTATGTGCTCCCCCAACCAGCTGCTCAGAACACTCTAATCTAGCTGTGGAACATATGTACACAGAACTCATTGTATAGACTGTTAAGCGTAGGTCATGGTTGTGCTTTTTCCATCTTTTCTATTGCAACTCACTGTTATCAATTTAGAAAGGGAGAACTTAAAAACAAACAAACAAACAAACAAACAAACAAACAAACAAACAAAAAAACCAGTAGCAGGAGAGGCTGTGCAGGAATTACCCTGTAGGGATAGCACAGCTGAGGAGAGCTGTAATGATTCAGCACCAAGGACAGCGACATGCAACCTGTCCAGCTTCAGGACCTGTAAATCCTTCCTTGGTGGTTCATGGGTGCTGAATGTTGTAAGAATAGCGTTCTCGGCAGAGTCTGTGTTCATGATGTCCTCAGGACTGCACCCATGCCATGCTTGACCAGCCTAGGCTACGACACCTCTTGACTGGTGGCCAGGTGCCTCAGAGTCCATGTATTCCTGTGATAGACCACTTGGAGTTGGAATCCAACCATAGGGTTGCTCCTGCTGTTGGAGCAAATGGGAGGCCATGTTTGCTGGGTTTCCTGCCAGAGAATTGCTTCACGGCTGTAGTTTACTGTCGGCTCCTTCATATAGAAGAGATTTTCATGAGTTTTTCAGGTCAAAGATAATGAACACAGGGCCCCTTCTCTAATAGATCCACAAACCCCAAACTTCCAAAATGGATATATATTTATTTTGCTTATCATTAGAATGGCATTAGTGGTGATATTAGCTGCCAAATTCTGTGGAATATAGAGCGTCACTCATTTAGTACTTGGCAGACCCCTCTGATACCATTTGTGGTGTTTGTCCCCAGCAACTCAGGATAATGGATTTGGCCTTTGACTGACTTTGACAAGTTGATGGAATTTTCCCCACCTCACTCCTGCAATACATCCAGCCTGAGTCAAAAGTGAAGCCATGGCATCTAAGCCTCAGGCACAACTCTGCATATTTTATTACAAGCATGAGCTAAAGTAACCCCTGCTTGAGGGAAATGAGGGCTGAAATTTATTGAAGCAATTCTTGGACTTCGTGGTTATAAATCCCAATCTTTTCATTTCTACTTGGCCAGGGTATTGACCAGCAAGCTTTTATGTAAGAACTTAGTTCCTAGCGGGACCCAGTGTGGGGAGTCATATTTGCTTGGATAGTCATAGCTGAAAGGATTAAGAAGAGGCTTCCCATGAGACCAGCTCACTGATACTGTGTGTGGCATCTCTGACTGTGAAAGGGCTTGGGTGTTCCATCCATTAATTAAGGTGCATAACTCTCCTCCATGGTAGATAGTCTTACCTTAAGACCATTTAGGGACAGGGCCAAAGTCGAGCACAAAGGCAGAAAGTGGTCCTGTGGCTCTCCAGACAAGTTTATTCCTTGCTATCCCATCCTTCCATGTCCTTTGAGATCTAGAGCCCAGGAGGTAGGACGGCAGGGTCATCACCATGTGGTGCTAGTTGAATATGCTGTGTGAGGTGGAACAGACTGGCAAGCTGGGCTTCTCGGGACGTAGGATTGGCAAATTGCTGGGATGAGGGGTGCTTCTTGCCTAGCTTCAGGAGGAAGTTGTCTGGAGTTCTGACAGTTTGGAGAGGTCTGCTGGGAGTTCCTTCCCACTGGATTGGGCACCATTCACCAGAGGCCTGATCTCAGCAGTCAGATCCCACACACAGGCCTATCTTCCCCATCAGCTACAATTCAAACGTGTTGTGCCTTCACCTTAGATTGTTTACAAAAGGAGTTGTTTTCTTATGTCATTAAAGTTAATGAGTACACATAATTTTCTACTTTTTAAACTTTAAGCATCACCACCCATTCTCATAAATGCTGTTTGCCCAGTTGTCTTAGTCTATTTGGGCTGCTGTAACAAAATGCCACAGACTGAGTAGCTTATAAACAACAGAAATTTATTTGTCCCAGTTCTGAAAGTCCGAGATCAAGGGAGGGCCTGTTTCCTAGTTCATTGATGGAGCTTTCTAGTTGTGTCCTCACTGTGGAAGGAATGAGCTAGCTCTTCAGGGCCTCTTTTATAAGGGCACTGATTTTATTCCTATGGGTGGAGCCCTCATGATCTAATCATCCTCCAAAGGCCCTGCTTCCTAATACCATCACTTTGGGAGTAAGGAATTTGACATGAATTTCGGGGGCACACACACATTTAGGCCATGCTACAGTATTCCTTACTGGAAGCAGGGTTATTAGAAAGTGTCAATGGCAGGTGAGGTGAGGTACCCAGAAAGGGTGAATGTTTCTTAAATCTGCTTTCCTCTGTAGAAGGGAGAGAGAATGGAAGAACACAAGTTTAGGACCTACTGATGGTGGCTAAAAGGTTGTGCTCTAGGTGAGTGGTGTCTCACCCTGCCACCAGCACACACACCACTTTCCACCTTCCCCAAATTGAGAGTTTTAAAACCTTACATCATTGTACGTTTGATTTTTAGCCCCAGCTGAAATCTCTAAGCATGTCACTATCAGAGTTTCTGTCTATAGAGACCTTTGGACATGAATCTTAAATACTCCTGCTGTTGTGCCTTCCCATCTCTTTCACTTTGATGCCATTGGCAGTGAGCCATTTTGCTTCCAGAGAAAGTAAATCTCTTTTTTTCAATCTCTCCTTATAAGATTATAAGTAAAATACTCCAGATACATTTTACAAACATTAGTTGCAACTGCAGAAGTGTCGAGATCCACTAGACAGAACACAGGGTGTTGGGGTCTGTAGAGCTGAATTCTAATTCTGACTCTGCTCCCTAGTGGCCATGTGATCTTGGATAAAAGACTTAACCTCGTTGGGCCTCTGTTTTCTCATCTGTAAAATGGGGCTATCTGTCTGGAAACAAAAAAAGGACCCCCGCCCCAGAACTGTCATAAAGATGAAGTGGGATAATACCAGAACCTGCCATCATATATGGTGTTGAATTGCTACTTGATCAATGTAGGTGGAAGCAAAAAAAAAAAAAAAAAAGTGCCTTTCTTGAGTTGGATTTGTTTTAATCAGTCACGATAAACCCACTCAAAGAAAGTTTTGAAGAACTCGTATGAGGCCAAAACACATTCCTGCTCCGGGGAAATGGAGGTTAACCCTGAAGCTTAGATGCAGCAGCCTTTTCTATTCACTAAAAGAGAAGCAGAAGTGGAGTGGTCTCAACAAGCAGGGACAGTGTTCTGGGACAAACATGTAATCTTCAGTGGTTTTTTGTGATGGCAGATCACATCAGATTAATGATTTTAAAATGAGTATTTTTCTGCCTTCTGGCCATATTTAATGTTCTAATGCCTTTTCTTTTAAAACATCAACATCATCATCATCATCATCATCATCATCATCATCATCATATCTAATTTAGTGTTTTCAGTTTCATACGCATGCTGAGCAGTCCAAACCCTTAAATGGATTTGTAATCTAGTACCCAGGGAGTGCCTTGGAATGCCATGGGCTGTTTTTTGTCTGTGTTTTCAAGTTGAACCGACCGAGTACAAGGAAATCGGTGATACAGTCTCTTCTCATGCTTGTGCCTGGTGCTGGGAGTGGCAAATTCAGCCTCCCTCATGGACAGGTTGGCTTTGAAGAGCTGAGCTTGGTGTTAGGCAGGGCTGGGTTTGGGTGTCAGGGCCATGCAATTGGGGCAAGTTCTGTAACTTCTTCTGGCCTCTCTTTTCTGATGTTTGGGAATAATGATAGATAAGGAGCCCTACCTGCGCAGGGCTGCCGTGAAGAGAGAATGTACACAGAGCCCAGATCCGGTAGTCAATGAAGGGCCCCAAAAGCGTTAGCTGTTGCTGTTGTTGATTATATTGCATAACAACACCAAATCCACTGTGTCTCCCCTGAACCGGGAAGTGGGGGGATTCTGAGGATGCATTGGCATTGAGGCGGTTTGTTTGGAGGAGGTTTGGGTTTATTTGGGACCTGCCAGCTGCCTTCTAGCACATTCATGGTCTCCCTGCAAGTTTTCTTTAGAATGTCTTGTGCCATCAATAATGAGGAAACCTGGGATGCAGTGCTTTTTTTTTTTTTTTCTTTTTAATTCCCTGTCAGTCAGCAGTGCCAAGTGAATCAAGAGTGGGTGGTCCTTCATCCTCCCACTTCCAGAAAGTTCTTTTAATGACTGCTTGGGGGTGGAGGAGAAGACTTTTATTTTTAACACAAGTGATGTGTTTTGACAAGAATATATCACTGTGGAGAGTTTATGCTAAAGGGGAAGTGCTTGCAGTTACAAACGGAGCTTGCCTTTCCTTCTGCAAACAGGGCATTGATATTGAGTTTCACCATGCAACATGCAGGTGACAACACATAATTGAGACAGGAGTGGTGTGACATGCACAGTATTCTTTGGTGTAAATGTGAAAACCATAGCAGTAGCCAAACAGACCCTTGGGTTATTGAAAACCCAGACACCTAAGGGGGAAGATAGTTGTCCACAGAGAGTACATGCTGTAGAGCATTGGAGCTTCAGGGTCTTGGGCAGATGACTCTTCTCTGAGTCTGTTTTTTTCTCCTGTAAAGCAGGGAATGAGCACGAGAGCCATGAAGTGGTCTCAGCTCCCTACATGCTTTTCCCATATGTGAGGTGTGTGTGTGTGTGTGTGTGTGTTTGTGTATTCACGCCATGCTGCTGTAGATTATTCTCTGGGGACAATCAGTGCTGCCCTCCAGGTATCTCAGCCCAGCAAATGAACCAGGGGTTACTAATGGCACTGCAGCTGGTGCAAGGGAAAGTGACTTCAAATGGAGCAGGTATTATGGAGCTAGCAGAGCTGCTCATTCCTCAGGGAGAATCAGATCATGTAGGAGACCCATGACGGGGAGGAAGAATTTAAGAATTACGACAGCAGTGAAATAATGTTAACCGCAGCCCAGCACAGGCTATCCTTCAAATGTCTTTTCCCCCATACCTGGGATGAGGAGGCTATTCATGATTATAGTTTTTCAGCATGTAACCTTGGCCAGGCGCTCTGCTAAATGATTCACATTTAATCCTCACAAGAACCCTTGGAGAAGGGAACTTTTGTTATCGAACCCCTTTTACAGGTGAAGGCATGAAGCTCTCATGGTGAAGTGATACTTCCCAGTTATGTGGTGAGTTGGAACCTGGTTTCAGCCCAGGTGGTGGGACTTTATGTCCCTATTCCTTAGAGTCCATGGCTATGGCTGTGGGATGATTGAGGCTGCTCCAGGTGACCCAGCAGCAGAGTCATGCTGTGACCAATTACTCAGTAAACAAAAGCAGGCAGAGGGCTTTTTGCTCATTTTCTTGCAAATTGCATGTTGTAGCCAGTTCTTTTTCCAGGGTTCAGTCTTTTTGGAATTAGCTAGAGCTTCTCCTCTGTCTCTGACAGTGGCATTGGATACTATCATAATAGTAAACATTTGAATTCTAATTACCAGGTGCTTGCTAAAATATTTTCAAACATTATCTCATTTAATCTTCATAACTGCCCCATTAAGCAGGCACTATGATTATTTCTAGTTTCTAGATGAGGAAAAAAGGAGTCACTTTCCTGAGGTCTTGGGACCAGTGGGTGGCTATCTAACCTGGGCAGCCTATCCCTAGAGCTCTCACTGAGGACCACTAGGCTGTGCCAGTCTCAGGAGGGACCCCCAGCCTGGATGAGTTTGTTGCAGGAAGAATATTCTCCTTCGAGGCTGAATTACAATGTGTTGTTGTTGAGAGTGTCAGCTCCATGGCCTGAGAGACCTAGGTTCTAATTCATTTCCTTCACTTATGGACCATGTGGCAGTGGGCAAGTCATTGCTTCTCTGTGCCTCAATTTTCTCACCTGCAAAATGGGAAGAACACTATCTGCCTCACTGGGATGTTGAGAGCTCAGGGTCTGGCCCATAGTTGGTTCTCAAACATGGAAGCTGTCAGAAAAACAAATGTTGCATGTTCTCAGTCATATGTGGAAGCTAAAAACAAATTGACCTCGTGGAGATAGAGAGTAGAATGGTAGATACGAGGGGGCGGGAAGGGTGTGTGAGTGGTGGTGGGGGATAAAGAGAGGTTGGTTAATGGGTACAAACATACAATTAAAAGGAATATGTTCTAATGTTAGGAGAGTAGGGTGACTATAGTTAGCAACAATGTGTTGTATATTTCAGAATAGCTAGAAGATAGGGCTTGAAATGTTCCCAACACATAGAAATAATAAATATGCAAGAAGATGGATACCCCTGATAGCCTGACTTGATCCTTACACATTCTATGCATGGAACAAAATGTTACCTTTATCCCATAAAATGTGTAAATATGACGTGTCGATTAAAAGTAGTTAAAAAAAGTCATAATTGAGAAGCAGGGACATGATGATGGGACCATTTCATAATGGCCAAAGTCAGAAACCAGCCCCAGTTCTCCCTCTTTCCTGTCTCCCACCTCCTTGTCTTTCCAAAATTCTCTCTGGAATCTTCCTCCTGGCTGTTCCTTCCTCTTGTCTTGATTACCATGTGGATGGGGCCTGTCTTAGTCTGGCTCTGCTGCTATAACAAAATACCCGAGACTGGGTAATTTATGAAGAACATGAATTTATTTTCTCATAGTTCTAGAGGCTGGGAAGTCCAAGATTAAGGCACTGGCAGGTTTGGTTTCACGTGAAGATGCGTTCCTCATAGATGGCACTGACTAGGTGTCCTCACATGGTGGAAATGTGGAAGAGAGTGAACCCACTCCCTCAAGCCCTTTTATAAGGGCTCTCATCCCATCCTGAGGGCAAAGCCCTCATGATTTAATCACCTCCTAAAGTACCCACCTCTTAATACTATCACAATGGCCATTACATTCCAATACATGGATTTGGGGGGACACATTTAGACCATAGTAGGGCCCTCAACACTTAGGTCTTCTGTGAAAGGGCCTCCTGCCTGGCTTTTCTCTCGCCGGTTGTACCTACTCTGATCTTTCTCACATGGCCACCCATCCAACGTGGTCACTCCCATGCTAAGTCTTACATGATAACCTGTCAATTACAGCCAGCCCTTGAACCTCGGAGGGCATCCAAATTATTTGAGGGAGGTTTCCTAATATGCACATTCCAGAGTCCCGCCTCCCAGAGGTCCAAATCATTTGGTCTGGGTTAGGCCCAGGAATCAGCCGTCTGGCCGTTGTCCCAGGGCATTCTGATGCATGTGATCTGGAGGAAAACTCTGACTCCTAAGAATCAAGTCCAAGTTCCTTAACATGCCTCCCCACCCTGGCTTATTTCTGCGTCTGTGCCTTTGCTAGACCACTGACCATCAGCTCTGTCCAAAGCTCACTCCCACCCATCTCTGCTTTCCTTTACACCTGGCTACTCTGCATTAAGCTTTAGCTCAAAGAGAGTCTGACACAGAGATGCAATGATAGACACAAGCATCATGTTATGTAATATTTATTGAAGGTGTAGGTGTGGTGGTCAAAACTTTTACAGTATTAAGGCATTACCTTCTCATAGCCATGTGAAGTTGATGCAGTTATAGTCCCCACTTTTGTAAATGTGGAAAGTGGGGTACAAGGAGGTTGAGTAAGGTGCCCAAGGTCCTGTGGGGCTAGTGAGCTGAAGAAGCTGCTCAGGTAGTCCAGGTCTAGGGAGACGTGGGGATGGTGATGGTGGCAACATTTCTTTGGACTTTTGTGGTGCAGCGTTGGGTTTTCACAGGTTTGGTGGACACCGTTGGTGTTTAATGTCCAGGCTGAGGGATGTCAAGCATCCTTCAGTGTGTACAGCAGCCCTGCTTGTGGGGAATTGTCCCACACCCCTCATGAGCAGCAGAGATCCTGCTGGACATTTATGCAAGTGAAAACCCTGTTCATAATTATTTGAAGCTAGAACCTAATCTAAACACACATTTTACAATTTCATACTTTTAATAAACACTGAATTTTCCAGGAGCACGACTGCCATTGATCATTGAGTTAGTGTGTTGGAGGAGTCACATCACCGAGGACAATGTTGGTGGCCATCAAGATATGCTTGTGTGGTTGGCATTTGTAGCTGTTGAATTTTCCTGATGCTCTGTAGAGGTGGAAGCATCTGACTGTTTTGCCATGCCTTTCAGTATCATTATGCCTAAGCATTTGTCTACTGAAATACGTATTACTTTATTCTAAACCATTTGCCTTTGATTCTCTTTTATATTATAGGTTGGACATACTATTGATTTTAAAAAATATTATATGTTGATATTATCTAACTTTTATTTCAGGATAGTAAAGAAGATGTCACAAAGTGATTGGTTAAAAAGGCAGTCTTCATCAGATGAAGAACCACTCTGTACAAAATAAGGCCTCTTAAGGGGCAGGAGGGCAGTGAGTTCTGGGAAAGACACCTGATGGATGGATCTTCACAGGGAAGCCGTTAAGTTAAAACTTGAGTCTGGAAAGCCTTTGCTAGACCCCAGCTTGCCTCCTGCCCACGTCACAGCCCTCCCAGTTCTCTTTGAGATGTTAATTTGTTGCTATGAAAATTATCTTGTCACTGACAAACGGAATCTGGAAGAATCAGCTCTTCTTATAAAGTGGTTCCTATGGTATATGCAGGGCTTTGTCAGTTTGCAAGTTATGAATATTTATGTTTCAGAAAAGAGTCCTCATTTAAATTGCGTTTTCTGTAATTTCCCACTTAATTTCACATAGAAAATAATGACATTTCCAGGCTTTGCCTAGGTGAATGTCTTTGGAGATGGCAATTTTTGCACATGGGCTCAAGGGGCATTGGAATTTACTGAATTCCAAATGCAGATGCAGTTCTGCTGCCCTGCAGTTGCTTCTATGTAAGATAATGCATGCGTCCGATACATTATCGACGGAAGATAAATGCCAGACATGATTATGGTAAATTAGACCTTTTGCATTATTTATGAGATCCAATGTAAAACGTGTTTTACTTTCCCCCACTAATGTTTATATAAAAGCTATAATAGGACTTTTAGTAAACAATTTTAAAATTTATTACACAAAGGGACAAAGTTTTTCTTAAATTTTATCTTCAAGATTTAAATTTTTTAAAGAGATTGCATCTCTGTTTGTTGTCCAGGTTGGTTTTGAGCTCCTGAGCCCAAGTAATGCAATGCTCCTGCCTCATCCTCCTGAGCAGGAAAGGGCCAAGTTTTAAAAAGCTGTTCTAGTCTCAGTTGTCGCTGTCTCCTTCCATCAGCTCTTCAAGCAGAAAAGCAGAACTATGGAAAATGTCATGGGACATGTATTGGGTGGGCCTGAGAAGGGCCTTGGAGAAGTCGAGGCTTGGGGGATGGCAGGAAATGTCTTCCTCGTGACCTCAAGTCTGCTGCCATAATATTTAAGCATCTGTAGGAACATGCTGACAGCCTACTTCAAGTCCTCCTCTCCTTTCAGTTTTCAGGAAACTGTGTACTGCCTGACTTCAGTGTGGGTCCACCTCTGGCATCTTTATAGTAGCAGAACTTATTCGAAGTGAGTTTTAATTTTTATTTTTGGTACCATCTTCTTTCTCTGGTTTGGTACTGATCTCTTGAGGGAAGCCGGGAGGATGACTTGCAGGTAAAATTCCTTCCCTGAGCCGTGTGTGTTGGTTTCTCACAGCCAGTCATCATAATATCTCACACTTGTTTAGGAACTTGGCACCTTTTGGGAACTGCTCTTGTGTATGAGGGCCTTTGATCTGCAGGCGGCTGGGAGCTGCTGTCTTGTGAGCTGTTACAGTCTGTGAGGGGAACTGAGTGGAACAGTCGCCTATCCTTTCCATATTCTTCTCTCCATTTTTTGGTTTTCTGCACGTTCTTTGAAGGCTACGTCTGAAATTCCTCCTTCCCCATTTCCTATCTCCAACCTGAAGTTAAAAGTTTCTAGCTTTGGGGTGTTAGAGACCACTTGGGAGCTGCTTTCTCTGTGAGGTGAAGCATCTCTGCTGGGGCTTTGATTAGGAAGGTGATGTTGTATGTGTCTTTGGACGTGATGAAAGTAAAAATAGCATGCGTGAAGTTCCAAGGAAAGTGAGAGTCAGAGGCCAGACTGCTGCCTTGTTCTTATCAGACTTTTCTTTTTTTCACCTTAAAAGATCTAAAAGGCTGGTTCTGTTCTTTACTTGTGCATAACAAGGACGGGAGCAAACCACTGTCTTTGTGTGTCTTGTCTTTGTAATACCTAAAAGAGCCCCCATCCTCTAATAGGCTCCTTGTGGCTCTGCCTATCTGAGGACAAGAGGCCTGACACAGTGAACCCGCCATTGCCTGCAAGGCCTGACTCCTGTGTGCCAACTTGGGCTTTCTAAGGGCAGTTTCATGTATCTTGAACCTTCTTCTAGGAGCTACCTAGGGACAACAGCCTGATGTGAGGCCAGAGCCTCTGGCTTCCCGTGGCCCCGAATATTTCCGTATACCAGCTGGGGTCTCTTGGCCAGGCTACCTCAATAGAGTATTGATGGGCCAGCCGCTCTGTGGGGCTCTGTTCATTTGTACCATTTGCCCACTTTTTATGCTTCAGTTCCAGTATGTTTGGACAATGAAATTAAATTGGTCAATTTTTAGCACATCAAATGGCTTTGTTCTCCTGCTTTGGCACTGAGCCTCGTGTGGAATTGTTTAAAAGGAAGACACTCAGCTTGGGAGCACTGTGGGATTCAAGGTTTCATATCTGTGGATTCTAGGCCATGCCACTGTCCCTCAGGCCCCGGGGGGTTACTGCCTCTCTGGGTTTGCCTGGTGGCGTCCTTGCAGCCCCAGGCTTTAGCCAGACCTCCCTGCAGCTAGACGCTGAGTGCACAGGTCTGGTCGGCACAGGCCATTCTCAAAAGCCTTTGTTCTTCCACGGATTTTTCTGTGCTGAGTGATGGCCGTGGCCGGGAGCTCCTAGATGTCTTGCTCCTTAACGTTTGTTGTGGAAAAGAAGGCTGCTGGCCTGAGGACATTTATTCCATTTCTTTTCTTCCTGTCCCTATCCCTTTTCTTTTCTCATCATTTCTTTCTTATAAACCCCTTATTTCTGGCCTTCACTTCTTGTTTTCCTTCTTCACCTTCTCCTTGACTCTCCTCCTAAGGCTAATGATTGTATGCCCTATTTCAGTATAATTTTCTTTCAACAATTTTTATTTTATTACATCTTTAAACATATACAAAATATAGACTAATAAAACACCCAAATTCAGTAGTTACTAACTCTTTGGCAAATCTGGTTTCCTCTGTATCCCCACTGCCCTCCTACCCTGTCCCTGTGTAGTTTTGAAGCAGTTCTAAGTCATCTTGTCATCTTACCTCTCAATATTTCGGTCTACCTCTCTAAAAGAGGACTCTTTCTTGCTTTCTCTTTTTAAAAATTTTATTTATTTATTTTTGAGACAGGGTCTTACCATCACCCAGGCTGGAGTGCAGTGGTGTGGTCTTGGATCACTGCAACCCCTACGTGCCAGGCTCAAGCGATCCCCAGCCTCCTGAGTAGCCGAGACCACAGGCACGTGCTACCCGTCCCCTCCGCCTCCCGCCACTAATTTTTTTATTTTTTTTTGTAGAGACAGGGTTTTGCCATGTTCCCCAGGCTGTCCTAGAACTCCTATTTTCTTCTTTTTTAGATGAGAGAATCTTAAGGGAGAACATCCTAGAGCCTTTGCTCTTCAGAGGCCCTTAATGGTCATTGAAAGAACATTTATCCAAGTGCAGCACATGAGGTGATAGCATGCAATTGTTAAAAATAGTATTTTGTGTTTGTTTCCCTGAATACACTAGATTTTATGGCAAATTATGTTGGTATTCCATGTATGATATTAACACTAGGTAAAGAAAGGGAGTCAATTTTAAAATAAAAATATTTGATAAATACAATATTTGCAGGGGTCAGAAAACTGTGATCTCAGGGTCAAATCCAGCCCACTGCCTCTGTTTTAGTAAATAAAGTTTTATTGGAACACAGCCTCTCATTTGTGTGTGAGCTAGGTATGACTGCTTTTGTGCTATCCTGGCAGAGTTGAGCAGTGGGATGGAGATTGGCCTACAAAGTGGAAACTATTTAATATCTGGCCCTTTATAGGAAAAGGTTTACCTGTGGAATCGGAGGTATGTGGACAGAGCAGATACCATGACCTTGGCACATCAGTGGCTGAAGTCTGGAAAATTCCAATCAGACCCAACCTCTTGCTTTGTAGCTGATGTAGCTGAGATCCAGGCAAGGGAGGAGGTTGCCCCTGGTTACACAGCTAGTGGGTGGTTGGGTGGGTAGTCCATCCTGAAGTCCCCAGTGCCATGCCCAGGCTCTGTGTTAACATATCTGAGTGTTGCAGATTGGGTTTAGACCTCATGCTGGGTAGCTGTTCCAGAGCAGAAATAATTTGTGGTTTTCAGTAATTTCTCACAAAATGCTCTATTAAGTTTCTGTTGCCCCAGCCCCTTAAATTATTACACCAACTAGGAGAAAAGTAATTTCAAAGAAGTAAGGAGAATATTTGTGAAGTGGAATAATTTACCATCAAATAAAATACACCGAGTGCCTCCTAACATAGAATGCTGAGCTGATTTTTCTCTGTGGTATCAGTTCCATCTCCAGCTTTAGTGGTGGATATCCAGCTGGGAGGAAAGCATCAAGGTAAAATAAAATGCAAACGATCTCTAGCATATATTTGTGATTTTCTCATTTCAGCATCCATTCCTGCTGTAATTGCCAGAGTAGGAACAAAGCTGCAGGGAGAACTGTTCTAGGGTATTGCATTTCATAGCATTTGATTACTTAGGATTGAATAGCTTTGAGATTATATTGACCCTGTAGACTTGTCTCCTGTTTCCCTATTTTCTAAACATTTTAGACAAGTGCTTTGGAAAATAGGAACTTTTTTGTTGTTGTTGAGATTTTAAGATGAAAATATTTCTTTATGGTTCAAAATTGTTATTGTTATATTTTGTGGGAGAAGCAACTTGCTGAAATGATCCTGTGGTTTACTTAGAACTGCATTGTCCAATGTGATAGCCACTGAGCCACACATAATGCTACTGAGCACCTGAGAGTGTGTGGCCGGTCTGAAATGAGACGCTCTGTAAATGTGAAATAAGCGCTGGGTTTTGGTGACATAGTACAGCAAAACGAATGTGAAATCTTTCATAATTTCGGAATACTGATTATATGTTGAAATCACGTTTTGTATATATTGGATTAAACCACATATATCATTGGAATTATTTTCACCTGTTTCCTTTTACCTTTTAAAGCAGCTACCAGAAAATTTGAAATTACACATTATAGTTAGCATTATATATACTTCGAAAAGTGCTGAATATTGAGATGAGATAATTAAAGAAATTTTAAACAATTAGAGCCATGATGGGAAAGCTTGGCTTATTTGAATAAGAATATTGCTCTAATGTTGGAAGTTACGGTAACAAAAGAAGTATAGCATTAACTCAAGAATTATTGATTGATGGAAAGAACATTTCACGTAGACTCCAACCCTTATGGGTCGTGTTCAGTAAATGTTTACACCTTTAGGTGTCCTCAAATCACTTATAGGGAATTGTAAGATTATTTAGTAAATAGTCTACAACTGACTATTTGGTAGAAGATTTGAGTTTGAACCTCATTTTATATTATACCCCAAATAAATTCCAGATAGATTAAGAAAATAAATGTAAGGAATGAAATTATCGAAAGACTGTATCATCATCTAGCCAAATGTGTATTTGATTTTCAATTTAAAAGCAATAGAAGAAACTGTAAAGGAAAAAATTGAATTGACAACAGAGAAATCGTTTCATTCTTTAAAATAAATTTGATAAAATAAGTTGGACAAAGGTATAAAAACAGGGAACTCATCCCAGCAATTCCTGACCCCTTGACCATATCCAGTTCAGAAAATGACATTTAATGCACATCAGAACTCTGTGAATTCAAAAGAATTAATGAACAGTTTTCTGTTCATTAATGGGGTTGCCAGATTAAAGAAATTAAACTATGGGGCACTCAGTTAAATTTGAATTTCAGATAAATAACACATAATTTTGGATATAAACATGTGCCATGCAATATTTGGGACATACTCTTAATAGAAAATACTGTTGTTTATATGAAATTCACATGTAATTGGGCTCCTGTGTTTTATCTGGCACCCCTAGCCTGGGAATCCACCCTACAACGTGCAGAACGGGAAGGGAAGCGTGGGAGTTGAATAGTCATGTGACTGCACTTGGTGCAGAAGGGACCTGGGACCAGCTGCCCTGAAAATAGGCATTCAACCAATTGTCCCCTTTGACCCTGCAACTCACTGCTGGTTTCTGAAATGTGGGGCACCTCTGTGTCCTAAGCCTGTTCAGGATTCTGTGAGCTCATCTGGCTGTCTCACGCTGCAGGCAGTTAGACTGGAAGAATCCAGCCCCAAGTCCCAGTTACCACGTCTTCTTCATGCCATCTTCTAAAATGCATGAATCTTGTTTGTTGCAGTTGCTTCCCCATTCCTTATACTGTGAGTTGATATACCCATTTTCTTCCTTCACTGTTTTTTAAAATGTCATTTTAGGGAGAGGAGAGAAGTGCTTGTGGTCTATTTACTATGATTAATAGAAAGGCAGCCTTAATCAGGACACATATTTTAATTATCCAGTTAATGCATGGATTCATTTTGGTTGAAAGAGAAACAATGTATACAAAGTGAGAGTTCTGTTGATTCCCCAGTTCCTGGCAAAAAAACCCAGGAAACTGGGGATAATAGACATAGGTAAGAAGACCATATATGTCCCAGGAGAGTCCTGGTTTATGTCTGATGTCCTGAAAGTTATTAATAGTTATTAATTGTAGTTATCAGTAGTGTCCCTTCTCTCCCCACTACTTGACTCTCCAAAGAGTCCATGTTTGGAGAGGAAATTCTGCTGTCAAGCAAGGCTTAGGGGAGAGTGTATGTTAAGTGCAGAAAGTGAACTCACCGGGTCAGGGTTGGGAGGATTTTTCTCTGGAGAAAACGACTGTGTCTGGGGATCATGGCTGGTGACACACATGTAGAGCTTCTAGTCAGCTTTGGGTGCTATCAGCTGCATGTCAGCCCGACTGGCCACGTGGTACCCAGATAAGCATTATTTCTGCATGTGTCTTTGACAGGGTTTTTGGATGAGATTAGCATTTGAATCAGTGGACTCAGTAAAGTAGATGGCTCTCCCCAATGTGGGTGGGCACCATCCAATCCTTTGAAAGCCTGAACAGAACAAAATGAAACGGGAAGGGTCCCCTTGTCCCCCTCGCAGGGCGTGCGATGGGGGTGTGGCTCGCTTCTTCACTGCCTTGTTGCTCAAACCTCTAGGGGAGCATACAGATGGGCAGGCTGTGGGGCTCTGACTCCATGGCGGTGTCTAGGGGTGAATGTTTACAGCTCCTGAAGCCCTTGTGGGTGTGTGTTACAGGGTGCTCCTTTAGTTTGTCATCTGTAGGCAGCTTGTGTTAGCTCAGTTAGACCCTCTACCTTGTTGCAAGGACAAAGGGCTTTCTGTATCCCGGGTTCTTGCCTTGGTATACTGGAAGAATCTGATCACACATGAGCTTGGAAAATGAGGGCAAAGTTTTATTGAGTGGAAGCAGCTCTCCGCTGATGGGGAAGCCAGAAGGGAGATGGTTTTCCTCTGGAGTTGGGCCACTGTGTGGCCCCAGTTCTCCTTCAACTCCCTCGGCCAAACTCCGTCTCATCCCGCTGGTCAGTGGCCTGCCTGTGTGCTGGCATCTGTCGGTGTGCTGTTCTGCCGACGTGCTTCCTCGATGTCCTCTCGCTGTCCGGCCGCTTGTGTCTTCTTCCGCTGATGTGCCTCTTGACGTCTGGCTGCCTGCGTGTCTGCTTGCTAGGGTCTCAGATTTTTATAGGCCCATGACAGGGGTATGGCGGGCTAGGGTCGTCTTGGAAAATGCAACATTTGGGCGCGAAAGCAAGAGTGCCTGTCCTCACCTAGGTCCCTGGGAGTGGGACCCTAGCCAGGGACCCGCCCTTCTCTACTGTGCACTTCCTGCCTGCTCCTGTATCCAAAAGACAGAATAAGGAGGAACTCACACCTTTTTTCTTGCCTCACCCTTTGAGCTGAGACATCTCATACCATTTTCTTTGGCCCTTGGATTGGGATTTCTACCATTGGGTCCTCTGATTCTCGGGTCTCCAGACTTGGTCCGAATTACCCCACCAGCTTTTCTGGGTCTCTGCTTTATAGATGGCAGATTGTGGGACTGCTCAGCCTCCATAATCACATGAGCCAATTCCTCATAATAAATCTCCATATATATATACACATACACATTCACATATGTATGGAAATATATGTGTGTGTGTGTATATACCATATATATAACCATATGTATATGGCTCTGTTTCTGTTTTCCGGAGAACCTTGGCTAATATAAGTGCCCAGTCCTATGTGCACAAACATCAAGGATAACCAGACCTTGAGGAAAGCCACGAATGTGAAAGAGAGAGGTGAAAACAATCAGAAAAAAGGAATTCCAGGGAAATGGAGACATGGGGCCAGGCACGGTGGCTCACGCCTGTAATCCCAGCACTTTGGGAGGCCAAGGTGGGCGGATCACGAGGTCAGGAGTTCAAGACCAGCCTGGCTAACATGGTGAAACCCTGTCTCTACTAAAAATACAAAAAATTAGCTGGATGTGGTGGCACATGCCTGTAATCCCAGCTACTTGGGAGGCTGAGGCAGGAGAATCGCTTGAACCCGGGAGGTGGAGGTTGCAGTGAGCCAAGATCGCAGCATTGCACTCCAGCCTGGGTGACAGAGCAAGATGCTGTCTTGAAAAAAAAAAAAAAAAAAAAAAAAGAAAAAGCAAAACAAAAGAAATGGAGACATGGAAGAGGAGAAAAAAATGGAAAAACTTACCATCTCCTCAAAGATGAAAGAATATATTGCAGGTAAAAAACAAGAACAGAAAGTTTTTTAGAAAAAAACATAGAGAATAAGAAAAAGGACTTGGAAATGAAAAGTGATTGCCATTATAAAAAATCCAGTAGATGGTCTGGAGATAAAGTTAAGAACATTCCCCATAAGTAGAATAAAATAATGAAGACATGGAGTTAGGTAAAAGATGAATAGGAAGCCAGGAGATTGATCTAGGTGGCATGACACCTGACTAACCACGGCTACGTGAGGATAACAATAGAGGGGGGAAAGTTATCACAGATATAAAAAGCAGCCTTCCAGAACAGATGGAATGTCAAGATGGGGAGGACTCACCTAGTGTAATGGGGGATGGGATTTTTTTTGTTTTTTATGGTAGAGACGGGGTTTCACCATATTGGCCAGGCTGGTCTCGAACTCCTGACCTCAGGTGATCCACCCGCCTTGGCCTCCCAAAGTGCTGGGATTACAGGTGTGATCCACTGCACCCAGCTGCAAGTGAAAATTTAAAGCAGCTCATAACGCTAAGAAAAGCAAAGTTGTACAAGGAAGGAAATATAACTATGGCCTACTCCCTGGCTTAGCAACGAAAATGTGTTTATGGCCAGTGTTTACATTATTGAATGTTTTGAAAATTATGATAACTCTGTTGGGGAGATGGAGGGAGAGGAAGTAGGGCATTGTTGTGAGAGCTAAACCTTCATTTACCACAATGGGCATCACTTGATAATGCCTATAATTGATGATAAGCCATATTAACATTCTTGATATTTAGCAACTTGGAGGCAGACACCAAGGTAAAGAGCAAAAAGAGTTGAAAGTAGTCCCTCTGGGGCTGGAATGGGGTGATGCTGAGTCGGGGAGGAAGGCACAGAAAGGGAGGTAAGAAAGGGTTGCGGTGGAGGATGTCCTCTTGTATTAAACAGTCAATGTAGTTTATGTTAGGGTTGCCAGATAAGATGCAGGATGCCTACCTAGTTAAATTTGAACTTCAGATAAACAGTGAATATTTAAAATTGTAAGTACGCTCATGTGATATTTGGGATGTACTTACATCAAAAATATATCTGGTGTTTATTTGAAGTTTAAATGTAACTGGGCACCCTGTATTGGTTGCTTAATCGATTTGGCAAGCCTGTGTTATATGTATGTATTACCTTGATGAAAATAAATAGAATGTATAATTATTTATACATAGAAAACGTTCGAAGATGGTGCACCTTAGTTGTGGGCACTTCTTGGGTACTTCATTGGGAAAGGGGAGTGGTCTCATTCTCTTTTCGCATTTCTAGAAATGTTCTGCTGCAAGCATATATTAATGTAAAAGTAAAGAAAGAGTCCTAGAAATTCTGAACAATGACAGTGCTGGCTGAGGGTCCTGAGGCTATGAGACACTGAGAAACGGTGGCTCTGTCTGTATGCTCGGGGATGAGGTCAAACAGGTTTAACCCAGGGGAAAATTTTGAGCTGAGCTCAGATTATTATGAGGTTAGAAGACTAAAACTCTATTGAGATGGTGTTTAAAAGAGTTCTAGAGACTCTGTGTCCTGGGAGGAAGGTCTCATTACTACTGGCTTTTCCAAATTATAATGGTTCTCTCCCTCACACGCATTCTCCTGAGGCATATTGATCAGCCTTAAAAACTCAAACAGTGAAACCCTGCCGCGACCCAACCTTGAGAGGGTGAGGCTAATGCTAAGCTATGTAGCAGCCATGTTGCACTAAGCTATACCAGTAAGCTTAGTTTGGTATACTGGTGAGCTATACTAGTAGGCTTACTTTTATGCCAGTAAGCTATACCAGTAAGCTTGGGGTTTTTATTTCCTTCCTGCATTTCCTTTTCCTGTTTCCTTTATTTAGGGATTTGGCTACTTCTGATAAATGAAGATTCATATAATAGCTGAATTAGTCAGGGTAACTAACTCTGGCTGTTGAAACAACCCCTAAATTTCAGGAACTTAACATAATACATAATTTATTTCTTGGTCATGACTATCTGATGCAGTTCTCTTCCAAGGAGTGACTTGGGGACCTGGGTCCCTCTCATCTGTAGGCTCCATTCTTCCCTAGGGACTTCCTATAGCCCCTGACAGGGCATACTCTGCCAGTCAGCCATGAACAGTGACTAGACACAGGGTAGGTGATAATGTGGTAGGAGTCAGGCCTGCTTCTGCTGCCACTCACTGGCCAGAATCCCTTCATCTGGCCTTAACTTCACTGCAGAGGAGGCTGGGAAATGTAGTCTTCTTGGGTGCTCAGATAGAATGGGCCTTCTAGGCAGTGTCTGCCACAAGAGCTAATATGTGCTGAGTGCTAATTGTATGCATGGCAACAAATTAATTTACATGTACAGTCTCACTAATGCTGGGAGACGTGTGCTAGGGTCTTCATCTTCCTCACCAGAAAAGTGAAGCTCAGAGATATTGCCACTTGCCAAGGTCACACAGCTAGCAAGTGGCAGAGCTGGGCTTGCCCGTGACCTGGAACCACTGTGTCCTCTGTGTGATTTGACACCACTGTAATCCGGGTGGATACATTATGCTTTTAAGACCATTTAAGACCAAGTTGAAAATCTCTCTTGGACTTATTGGTAGGTATTTTTTCATGTTGTACCTGAGGCTTGGAGGGATACATTTCTCTCCCTTGCACAAACCCACTGCTAACCTTCCTGGATGAATGGATGTTGGTGTAAGATTCCAGGTAGCAGTCTTCCAAGCCAGCAGAGAGGAGAAATGTGCATTTGTCTGAGTTACCTCGGGAATGTCACGGACTGGGCTCTGTGCACATTCCACCATATGGGGAGTGGGCCATGGAGCGTGGTCACTAGGGAGTGAGGAGGGTGCTTATGGCAGGAGGGGAAAGTGATGAATCTCTTCTCTGTGTCACTTCATCATGGGAGCCACGAGATAGGGCCGCTTGTCAGCAAGCATTTCCACAAGATTACTTTGGATTAGCTATCTCGGTGCATCTATTCTCATGACACTTATCCATTATCCAGAAAAGTGATCTACAGCCCAGCTGGCTGAGTGACTGCCTCAGTGTGAATCCACATCCCCTGCCACTCGAGTCCAGTGATTCATGTCCCCTTTGGAAGTTTGAACAGCTCAGTGTTGTCGATTTGATTTTGTGATACATTTCTTACTTTTCTAAAATGGGTGAGTAGTGAGTGTGTTCTGGTGCTCTGTTTGTTGTTTGATCTTGTTCATGGAACTGCCTTTCTTTTTGAGATGGAGTTTTGCTCTTGTTGCCCAGGCTGGAGTGCAATGGTGCGATCTCGGCTCACTGCAACCTCTGCCTCCTGGGTTCAAGTGATTCTCCTGCCTTAACCTCCTGAGTAGCTGGGATTACAGGCTTCTGCCACCATGCCTGGCTAATTTTTTTGTATTTTTAGGAGAGATGAGGTTTTACCATGTTGGTAAGGCTGGTCTCAAACTCCTGACCTCAAGTGATCTGTCTATCTCGGCCTTCCAAAGTGCTGAGATTACAGGTGTGAGCCACCACACCTGGCCAGAACTGCCTTTCAAGATGTGGGTTTGCTTCAGGTACCTGCCTGATAGAGCTGGTTTCCAATAGCCCTGGGCTGGAAGGCACTTATGGTATGGAATTGTCAATCTCTGAATGGCCTCTGCCTTGGCCCTGGAGAGCCTGCAGTTCTGACTAGAGACTAGGGAGGCCTAGTCCCTGTGTGGCCTTACCAGTGCCAGCCCCTTGTCACTCTCAGGTGTCTCTCTTCTTGATGGAGTATAGCCGTGCTTCTTTTGTTTTGGACAGGCACATCCAGTTCTGGTCTATATGGGTCTGCTTTCCTTGTTTTAGAGCATCACTGTGTAGGTGGTCATTAAAAAACCTTTTTTTTTTCAATTATCACAATGTATTTGGTGTTGAGAATGTGGTGAGGAGGTATATTAGTCAGTTTTCATGCTGCTGATAAATACATACATGAGACTGGGCAGTTTATAAAGAAAAAGAGGTTTAATGGACTCATAGTTCCATGTGGCTGGGGAGGCCTCACAAACATGGTGGAAGGCAAAAGGCACATCTTACATGGTGGCAGACAAGAAAGAATGAGAACCAAATGAAAGGGGTTTCTCCTTATAAAACCATCAGATCAGAGACTTATTCACTACCATGAAAACAGTATGGGGGAAACCACCCCCATGATTCATTTGTCTCCCACGGGGTCCCTCCCACAACATGGGGGAATTATGGGAGCTACAATTTAAAAAGAGATTTGGGTGGGGACACAGCCAAACCATATCAGAAGGGAAGTCTCAGAATGTGGTCAGTTCACTGGAACCAAGGACTCACATAATTTTTGGAAGATTTCAAGATAGGCATCGAAATAATTGGAGACCCTGGAGGATGTAACAAAACAAGATTGGGAGGTCATTTGTGTCCTTAGAAGAGTTTTTCAATAAAGTCAGTTGTCCAGCCAGCCTCACCCTCCTGGCCCTTTGTGTCTGACGATCTTGCTGCAGACTCACACTCTAACTGGGGCTGGGTCTCATAGATGTGAGAGAACTTTCAACAGAACTTTCAGCTAATGAAAATAGAGGTCAAAAGTAATTATCCCTGTACCGATTCTGTACGGAGTGAGGCTGAAAGGAGTTCACGCATTAAATTACATTTTCAGTGTTCTGTTCCAAACGTATGCTCCTTTACAACTTTATTTAAAGAAAAGCGTAATGTGAAAGGCTTTTAACTCTGATGGAAGAAAGACAGGAGCCGTAGTCAGTAATGGTAGAATCTCTCATCTCATTGTCTGCTCCAAGAACAAAGATTTTTCAAACCTGGACTCAAGCAGTTCCCTTGGATTATATTAATGGAACATAACCTTAATAGCCTCCTCCAGAGGATGTTCTAAAGTATACGTTGGCTGTCTAGAAACGTCTTTGATCTTAAACTTTTTATTATTTTGCTGTATAAATTTTCTGTGCTCTTTTTGCCACCACCATGTCATCAGATATCTAAGCAGTTTGTTTAGAAATCGGAATCCCTTTAGAGATGAATGTTGCATGTGTATCTCTTTTAGTTTATGGGGATGTTTGAGAATGGATTTGGGGTAGATTTTACACATATTTATAGGGCATCTACTATATACTGTTCCAGGCCTTTAGGATCTCTCAGAGAACAGAAAAGAAGATCCATACCTTGATGGGGCTTATATTCAGTGAGGGGAAGGCAACAAGCATGATAAATAAGAAAACACAACGTTTGTTAGAAGGTTATAAGTGATATGGAAAAAAAGTAGAGCAGTAAGGAGGATGTGGGGTGGTGGGGAGAGGAGTGTATGAGCCCAGAGGTGGCACCTGTGGCCCGGCCTCTGAGCTGTGACTTTCTATCATGTCAAACTAGGATGATGAGAAATTACATCTAAGGTTTGGGAACAATGAGGTGACCTTCTTTTAAGAAAAACTGTCCAGTAAGTTTAATCAAACAGTTCTTAGGTAATAAGATTGCCTAGTGTACTTCCTTGTAGGGAATTAGCAAATCTATTTTAAAAATCTATACACTGTGCAAAGTTTTTGTGTGTGTGTGTGTGTTTGTGTGTGTGTGTGTGTGTTTAAGATAGCTCATACTGGTGTAAGAAAAAATATGTTTAAAAATCTGGGAGTATATGTGAACTTGGTAAGGTCACCGGACTTCTGCAGACTTAGTTTCCTCATCTGTTAGACAAGGATTGGGTGCTGGAAGAGTAGATGAGGTAATGGACTTGGAAAGACAGTGAAATGCGGGCCATCATGTCCTGGAGGGAAGTGTCCTGGGATTGGCAATAATTTACACAAGCGCCTGGGAGAGTTTATTAAGTGTGTGGAGATTTGGTCTCCTCAGCCTTCTGTTGTTCATTGTTCCCCTGAAGAGTCTGCCATCCAGGTTTACCCTTGTGCCTCCCTGACCTGTGCTGAGACTAAGAGTCAGGCAGAGAGAGGTGGTGAGTTCTGGTAGTCCTTGGTAATGTGTAAAACACTGCCAGGCTGCATCCTGAGAAGGGGGACTGGGTACCCATGTTTTAATGGAGGGATATGTTAACTGGACTGGATATATAATGACAGGGTGTACATGAATATTGTTTAACTTTTAAAAGAGGTAGTATATATATGTCTTAAGCGTCAAACAGGTATGAAAAGGAACACAGAAAGCTCATCTCTCACCTCTTTTCCCTTTGTCCAATAATCACTCTCCATCCAGATAGGTAATAATTGATATTAGTTTATCCTTGTGGATATATGTGTATACAAAGACAAGCTACTACTAATATATATTCTTATTTCCCCTCTTTTTTTTTAACATGTGATAGCACACTATACATGTTGCTACAAGCTTTGCTTTTTTTCCATTTAAGAATACATTTTGGAAGTCTTCCAATATCAAAGCAAACACTTCCTTGGTTCTTTTTATAGCTGCACAGTAGGACATTGTGTGAATGGTTGTTATAATTTTAACCAGGTCCCTTTGAGAGACTTGTCTTGTGCTCTTATCCACAGTGCCGCCATGAATACCCTGCACATACATCATTTCACCTGTGGGCACTTTTATTTTAGGATAGATTACTGGAAGTGAAAATGTAGGGATAAAGGCTGTGTGTGCTGGTAATTTTGATAGATCCTGCTAAACTGACTCTTAGATGGGTTGCAGCAGTTAATACCCCTACCTTGGAACCTTACCCCTGAATGACACCATTACCTGCTCCTTACTACGTGTATTCTTTAATACAAAACTTAATTAGACTCATATTTTTTGTAAAGTGAATACTTTCTTCCTACTATTCTTAATTGCTGTCCTTAGTCGACAAGGACTCACTACTTTCATTTTATCGTTCTCTGTCGTTTGCTTCTTTACCAGTGTACGTAAACATCTATGAATTAATGCTTTGTGAAAGGGAAACTGTTATTTAAAGATATGTAAGAGTTATTTTATAAAAATATATTATAAAATGTAACTTATTTTACTTCCCCTAGTTTTTTACATTTTAGGTTTTTAGGTATTAGATTTGTTTTAAAAATGGAGAGCAAGGTGCACAATGAAGCAAAGGCAAAATTGAAATAATATGAGTTTATTTAGCTAGTAAGACTGCAGAGAAGGGACAGAAATCTCAACTTCACCCACCTCTCTCTTGCCAAGAAACCCTGAGATACCTTGAGGAACAGAAGGCTCAGGAAATGGAAAAAAAAATCCTGACCAATAGTTACTAGTTTAGAGTTGTGAACCCAAAAGTATCTGAGACAGGTCTGAATCAACATAGAAAATATATTTTGCCAAGGTTAAGGATGGACCCGTGACACAGCCTCCGGAGGTCCTGATGACATATGCCCAAGGTGGTCGGGGTACAGCTTGCTTTTACGCCTTTTAGGGAGACATAATACATCAATCAGTATCTGTAAGGTGTACATTGGTTCCATCTGGAAGGGCAAGACAACTCGAAGTGGTGGGACAACTTGAAGTGGTGGCAGGAGGGAGCTTCCAGGTTATAGGTAGATTTAAACAATTTCTGATTGGCAGTCGGTTGTAAGAGTTAAGTTATTATCTAAAGGCCTGGAATCAATAGAAAGGATTGTCTGGGTTATAATGATAAGGGGTTGTGGAGAACAAAGTTTTACCATGTAGATGAAGCCTCTAAGTAGCAGGCGTCAGAGAGAATAGATTGTAAATGTTTCTTTTCAGACTTAAAGTCTCTGTTGATGTTAATGCTGGTTGGCTTTTCCTGAATTCCAAAAGGGAGGAGGGTATAATGAGGTGTGTCCGACCCCCACTTCCTATCATGGCCTGAATTAGTTTTTCAGGTTAACTTTGGAATGCCCTTGGCTGAGAGGGGAGGGATCCATTTAGATGGTTGGGGGTGGGAATGCCTTAGAATTTTATTTTTGGTTTACAGAGTCAGGAATGTCTGTCTTGTACTCAGAGCTGATGGAGGGCAGGGAGGGTTCAATCTCTGCCTTCAGGCTTCAGTTTCCTCAAGTGTGAACTGGGGATACTGACAAGACCTGCCCCACAGGACATTCTAGAGGATTAATGAGATGATGCTGGAATGTGGCGAGCACATTCCAGGCCTCCTAATTGCCCTTCTCTATATGTGAGCTCATGTATTTCCATGGTTCCTCACAAGTAGCCTTTAATCTGTGCACATCAGGTGGGCTTCTGAGCTGATGAGCCAAGGTCAGAATCTCCACCATCAATTGTTTATTGTGACCAATAAACCAGATGACCCCCCTTCAGTGGCTGGAAAGGGTGACTGGAGCTAATGAATGCATCCACAAATGGCTCTTGATCACTGAAACTGGGTCAAATTTCCTTCCTTTTGGAAAATGCCCAGGTAATTTGCTTCCTGAAAACCTATTTTATTTCTTTTAACCTTTTTGGAAGGCTGTTAATGGGATAGTTTAAATAGAAATAAGAAAACCTCTTTTCTCCAGGCCTTCTCTGGTTGTTTTAATTAGTACATTTCTATGATGTTACTGTGGCTATTCACCAGTATGGCTTTGAGCCATTAAAGGCCACCCCTCCTGCCTTAACCCCCGGGGAACATCGATAATACAGGAACAATTGCTCTCTCAGTATTCTTCCTTAGTTGCGGCTCATCGTCCTTTACTGGATTTCTCCATCAGTATCTGTCTGGGGAGGATAACAGTCCTTTCTTTCTTCCTGTGGTCCTCACCTGAGGAGCATGCATTTCCTTGCATTGCTCAAGGGATGGTGGCTGAATTAAGGAATTCCTTGTGGCCTGCCACTTTCAGGTTGCTGAATGCAGGGATGAGATGTGGACCCACTGGTCTCATTTGACATCACAGGGGACAGAGTAAAATAGCATATTGTGCAGTTGTCAGGTTTTCTTCTAATACTAGGAAAAGATAAATATGGGGATTCATAATGCAGAACAACAGGAAGATGGAAATAAAAATGAATCAAATGAGGGAGATTATTTATGTTCACTTAGATTGTTGTGGAGAAAGCTAATGGCATTGATACCTCTGGCCTGGAGTCCCTCTTGAACACCTTGCTGATAGAGCCCATTCAGTAGGAAAATACCGGGAGGAGAGAGGCCCAGGAATCAGTTGAGTGGTTGGTCCACCACTGGGTCAACCCTACTGTAGTGGGGATGCCCTGAACCTTGGCATTTTAAGTGGAAATATGGGGATGCAGGTATTTGCTGAGATATCTTAGTTGCTGGAGGTCAGGTCTTGTTGGCATGGGGCCTTCAGAGCATCTCGTGGTGACTCATAAATACCAGAGATGCCTCTGACAGGAACAAAGCTGGCAGATTCTCATATTCCAGAAGACTCTGACTGAATTAATCAGTTTGAAGTCACACACACAAAAAAGAAAAGAGTAAGCTCAGAATAAAGAGCTTAGACCTTGAATGGGATGTGGCCACTGACCATGCCTCAATATCCAGTATTTACATTTTGTCAGTTACAAGTACTTCCACATGCCATATTCTTGATATTTTCAAGACCTTTCTTTTGCTTGGTAAATACAAAGAGGAGCTCTAAAATTGACCTTTGCATCACAACCTTCGAGGGAGACAAGCAGAGGCCCCTTCTCCCTGGTCCCTAAGGGACAAGATCTGGAGCCAAAGGGCAGGACCTGGTTAGTACACAGTGGGCTGCCCCTGAAGGTAGGTTGAAGAATTGAGTAGATTTTATCTCCTGTGGTCCTCATCACTGGTGAACCAGTGCTTTTTGCTGTAGATTGCATGAGGAACTGACAGAGAGGTGTGGTTGGTGCTCCTATTGTTTTAAACAGCTCAGTTAGGTGCTGAAGCATCCTGCCAGGGTGTGGAGAGGATGCCCCAGCACAGTCAGGAAGAGGCAGCTCTGATATATCCCTGTCCTGTGCCAGTGTCTAGAGGTGACAACGCCAGACCAAAATGACAACACTGGTGTTTTCATGTCTTATCACACCAAAATACTGGTAGTAAGGACAGAGTGAGACGTGCTCACCATGGTTCTTCCCATTTGGAGCTCAGGGGTTGAGTGCAGCAAGGGCTGAGATACAGCACCCAGGCCCTTTGCCCTTTGGCTGGAGTCTTTCCAGTAAGCCTGATAGGGGAAAACAGTCTTGAATAAAGCACAATACCCCAGAGTAGGGGTCCTCAGATGTGACATCTTCCAGGCGTCAGTCAGCTGAGATGTGGCTGTGACATCATCCTGTCCCCTCCCAGGCCCTATTGTCCACACTCTCCAAGTTGATGTCAGCTCCTCAGGAGAGTAGCCATGGGAGCCTAGGGCCTTTTGGGTTGTGGAGAGAGAGAAAAGTTCTGTCCCCATTTTATCTTCATTCAAATATCCTACCCCCCAGCTTTATTAAGGTATAATTTACAAAATTGTATATATTTATGGTACACAATGTGATGTTTTGATTAATCTGTGTCTACATTATGAAATGATTAAAGCAAACTCATTAACATCTCCATCACCTCACATACTTCTCATTTTTTTGTGGTGAAAACATTTAAGATCTACTGTTACAGCGTTTTTAAAGCATACAATACAGTATTATTAACTATAGCAGCTATTCTGTGCAATAGATCTCCAGAATGTGTTCGTCGTAACTGAAACTTTGTATCTTTTGACTGCGTATCAGTCCCCCCATTGCCTATTAAAATTATTACACACATGTGGGTTTGGCCTTTTGATTTTAGAAGCCAAGATCTAGCTTGTCTTTGTTCTCTGGGTTTGCCATGCATTGCCCAGGAAATGTTCTCTTTTCCAAGTGAACGGCGATGTGAGGGTGGGAGGTGGGGCCATGCATCCTTTACTTTTTAACCTGTTACTCAGCCGCAGTGCTTAGAACAGGCTTTCACATGGAATTTCCAAAGTCACCGGCTCACAAAATCACCCTAGTGCCCCTAGGTGTGAAATTTATTTCCTCTGGTCTCAGTTGCCGGAAGAGAAGTAAGGATAATGCAGGGAGGCATTCATGCCTGGAAACCTATCCCATTCAAGGGCTAAGCTCTTTATTCTGAGCTTACTGTTTTCTTTTCTTTTCTTTTTTTTTTCTTGTGACTTCAAATATCCTTTCTCTTATGGAACGATCGTGATTGTGGAAGGTATGCATGTGTATGTGTACATGTGTGTCCTCTTTAATGTTCTTAGTTGGTTAAATAAAAACCCGTCAGTCCTGTGTTGGTCCCCCGAATTAGGTGGTCTTCACTGTTCTTGAGCGGCTGAGCCCTTTGAGAGCTTGTGCGCTGTGTTCCTATGTATCCTCTGACACTACCCTGCAATTTTAGTTGTACGTGTGTGTGTGTGTGTGTGTATGGTGGGGAGGGACAAGGCAGAAGCACAGTTCGAGAAGCCTGACACCCACTCTTTGCAGAGGGTATTTTACAACTAAGGAAGCACAGGCTTTGAGAGATGGAATCTTTGTATTGTGAACTACCAAGCTTTTTGGTATCAATCTTCTTGCAATAATACACTTCACGTTTCAGTGATGTTTAAAAGTGCGTGTTTTGATTATCTTTAAGTATTCCAGGTATATGTGTGCTTTCTATAATAATAAACAGAAGCCAATACTTGCATACTGGTTGAAATCTGGTGCTTTTTAAAGTTTGCATGGACAGGTTGTTATCCAGTTGCCATCCAGCTTGTCCACCAGGTGTGTTAGGGATGGGCTGTGAGCACCAAAGTGCGAGGCCTATAGTGGAACTGATAGAGTAATATCAACATTTTAAACTAATTAGATGAGGAAAAAGCATTTCACAGAAGGCGTGATGGCTTCTTGCCCTCCAGCTGGAAGGTGGCAGAGCATAATTGGAGTTAGAAAGCTTTTTACCATCAGTGATTTAACTGAGCACACTTGAAGGACACCCAGGAGTAATGCATTAACTGTTTTGTTTTTGTCAAAAATAAGCCCAGGTGTAAGACGGGACTCCTCAGCCAGAACTTAAACCATCCTAGTAAGGAGAAATCAGGAAACCAGCCATCTAGCTCTTATTTTTTAGAGCACCTGCTTGTGTGTGCTTTGAGGATGCTGTGGGGCCAAGTTCAGCCAGGGCCCCTTATTTTGTGGAACTTCTGTTTGGTGGGGGGAGATAAAGAAGAACTAAGTAGAACTCAAAGAGTAATTCCAGGCGGTGACAAGTGCGTGGAGAAGGTAAACTGAGGCAGCGAGTGCTGTTAGATGGTGTGGGGCGGTGAGAGGCAGCCTCCTGACTGAGGAAGGCCCACGGGACTGAGAGATAGGAGCAGCCCAGGTGAACAGTGAGCAAGGCACAGTGTGCAGTGAGCAAGGGAGAGGGCTGCAGATGGGGCCTGGGAGGGAGGAAGGAGTGTGTTTCTGGTGCGATGGTGAAGCAGCCAGAGGCGTGTTCAGCAGAGCAGTGACCTTATGGGGACAGGCATGGTCTCTGGGCCCAGGGGGGCTGGCTTGGGAGCCTCTGCCGCCTCCTCCTCCCTGCAGCCTCAGCCAGTGGCAGTGTCCCTTCCCCTGGGTTCTGTCTGAGCTGCCTCCCACCCTGCCCTGGGCTAGGGAGTTGATGGACACCATAGTAGGCTGGACATGACCACCTGGAGATACCAAGTCCTAATCCCTGGAATTTGTAAAGGTTATCTTATTTAGAAAAAGTGTCTTTGGAGGTGTAATTAAATATTGTGAGATGAGGAGATGACCCTGGATTATTCAGATGGGCCCTAAATGCTCTCACAAGTATCCTTTTAAAAGAGAGGCAAAGGGAGATGCAGACACACAGAGACGAAAGGGATGTGAAGACAGAGGCAGAGATCAGAGCGAAGTGACTCCAGCTGAGGAACAGCAAGGAATGCCAGCAGCCACCAGAAGCTGGAAGGGGTGAGGAATGGATGCTGCTTTGGAGGGAGCCTTTGGAAGGAACATGGCCCTGCTGACATGTTAATCTAAGATGCATGGCCCTCAGAACTGGGAGAGAATAAGTTTCTGTTGTTTTATGTCAACAGTTTGTGGTAGTTTGTTACAGCAGCCCCAGGAAATTAATATAGGCCTGAGAGACAGAGAGAGACAGAGAGAGAGAGAGACAGGTGTTAGGGAGAGAGGTGTGTTAGAGAGAAAGAGATGTGTTAGAGAGGTAGAGAGAGAGGTGTGTTGAGGGGGGTGTTTTAGAGAGAGAGAGGCGTGTTAAAGAGGTGTTAGAGGTGTATTCGGGAGAGAGAGAGAGGTGTGTTAGAGAAAGGTGTGTTAGAGAGAGAGGTGCATTAGAGAGAGGTGCGTTAGAGAGAGAGGTTTGACTCCCCAAACTCCTGGAAAGCCCAAGGGTGATGGAGACCACGCTCCCACTTTGTGGGACTATCCCCTTCACATCTCTTCTCTTTGTGCTTCAACCAGGCCTGGCTTAACAGTGGGCGTCTCCCACTGTCACACCCCAGGGGCTGGACTGGCCACCTCTTGTGGATAAGGGTGGCGTGCAGGTGGACTGTGACCACCTAGACTGGCACATGCATGGGGCAGCTGCATCCGTCTCAGCTGATGCTGCCCTGTGGGATGTGGGACCAGTGGGGTCAGATGTCTAGTTTTCTCAGACAAGCCTGAAAAAAATATGATTTGTTTTAAAACATGACCTGTCTTGGTATTGAAAGCTGGCTTAAGTTTTTAAATCTGCAGGTCCAATTTGACCCTAGGGTGAGGTGAAGGGTTCTGTTTTGTAACTTCTGTCTTACAGTTTTTATTTCTCCTAGATGTTAGCATATTAACCCCCCAACACATTTGTATGACTTGGGACAGGATTTTAGTCAGTGTGTTAGTTTCTTTTTGCTGCTGTAACAAATATCACAAACCTAGTGGCTTAAAGCAACATGAATTTATTATTTAGTAGTTCTAAAGGTGAGAAGTCCAAAATTGATTTTATACAAGGACTAAAATCAAAATGTCAGCAGATCTCTGTTCCTTCTGGAGGCTCTAGGGAAAAAGATATTCCTTGCTTTTTCCAGCTTCTAGAGGCTGTCCTTGGCTTGTGGTCTCTTCCAGCGGTGGCATTACACCAGCCCCTGCTTCTCTCTCCTTCACTGTCATCTCCCTCTCTCTTATAAGGACCTTGTGACTACACTGAGTCCACCCAGATAATCCAGGATAATCTCCCTATCTCAAGATCCTTAATCCCATTTGCAAAGTCTCTTTTTTCATGTAATATTACTTACATATTCACCAGTTCTGGGGATTAGGACATGGACATCTTTGGGGGTATATGGTGCCCTCCACAGTTAGTGACCCATATTTTCCTGTAGATCTCATGCCCTGCATATGAAAACCTCTTATGGCAGCCCTGTCTCTCTCTTACCCACTTCAATGCATGCTGGAGCTGCCTCGTACCAGCTCTCAAGAGCTGATTGTGCTTATCTTTTCCCAATTTTGTGTTCAGTGAAGTGACTTCATGTTGGTAGCTTGAAGGTGGCCAGAGTGAAACTATTTACACCTTGGAAGTCAGCAAATGCTATGGCTCAGGGCTTCCTACCTCTCCCCCTACTCTTTAACCTGGAGAGCTGGACACCATTGACTTGCACCTATTCATTTGGGCTGGGATTCCTGCCTTTTGGGATATCCGCTCTGTTTTTCTAGGGACTGCCATCTCATGTTTGGGGAGATGAATGTGGATGTTTAGAAGCATTATGGATACCTCCTTATGGAGACCTTTATTGACATCTGCCTGAACTCTGTAGGTTTGGATAGTGAACCATGTACCCCTTGGGTTTCTCTTCCTTCGGGGGGATTTTTGCTCATTTCTACTTGGCATTACAATCTTTTTTTTCTTCTCATACAAGGGACGCGTTACTTATGTACTGGCTTTCAGCAGGTGACCTCCCTGCATAAGCATTTTGGGCTTATTTCCTGTGTGTTTCAGTGTTAGAGGACCTTCCGGATCCCTCTCTGTGTTTTGACATGGATAGATGGTGTGTTGGTGCATTTGTGTGGTGGATTTAGTCCTGTTGAAAGCTTGGTGGTTGTGCTCACTCATAATCTGCAGAGCCTGGTTGAATAGGGCATATCTGGAAACATGCTAACAAGGTGGTGGCAATTAATTAAGAATTCTTCTTAATTAAAAAAAAACTACTATCTTTCCTTACTAACCGAGAGATACTTGTAGAATAAATATTCAATGAAAACCTCAAGCCTGTTTTTGCACTTGGCATTTTATTGTGCTAACTGTGCCTTTTGAATCTCTAAAATTGTGTTTGCTCTTCTGTTTCTTAATGGAATTTCAAGCAACGTTTTGATTGAGAACTTCCATACAAAGGACTGCTTAAAATATGAAAAAAATTGTAGTTTTTTCCTTTTATGTCAATAATTGGTTAATTGTTTCTTGGTGGGTCCTAAGAATGTGTCTTCCAACTTCATTTCAGTCGGTCTGCTCTGATAGCACCAGTATTTTTCTCGCATGGATTGCAAGCGCATTTGAGACATAATTGCTCTTATCAGTTAGGTTTTCAGTAAAGTCTCATTAATTAAGCGTGTGATTATTATCTAACATTCCCTGTATATAGAAAGTTTGTTAAAATAAGTTTTCAAAAAATGAAAACTGACCAACATACAGGTGAATTTACAAAAGCTGAGATGCTAATGTAGCACTAAAAGAATGACAGATGATCAGCTTAGAAAACGAAGCCACACTCGAATGGGACAACTGGGTCCAAAAGGGCTCTCTAGCTGGAGGACTAGCAGGGCTCAGGCATGTGAACTTCTGCCTTAGTGCTCTTCCCACCATCCCAGCAGCCTCTTCCAGGCTGGGCAGCCTGGAGCCTCAGCACCCCCACACCTGCTGCTTCCTCTGCATGAGGCCCTTCCTCTAGCTTCAGGTCTTAGCCCCCATCGTCCCTGTCCCAGGAAACCCTCCCTGGCTACTGAACCACTTGTCTCCTCCTGTAGCTCTGGTTACAACCGTGACACGTTTGGGCTGTCACCTCTTCTTCCCTGTCTTCTCTCCAGAGCCAGGGCTGAGGGTGTCCTGCTCAGCTATGCTGCTGAGTCCAGCACAGTGCTTGGCCCAGAGTAGGTTCTTAGGGATCATTTATAGAGTGCGTGACTGAGTGGCTTCCTGCCTTTCCTGCTGCTGACCCTAGGCTCATCTAAGATGCTGAGATATTATGCTGAATTTGCCTACGAGGCCTTGGGTGGGAATGGAGGGGGTGAGAAAGTAGGTGGCTGGCTGGAGGTGAGGAAGAATTTGCTATTCAACCAGCAGACATTTATCCTGTCTCCTCCATGCCAGGCACAGGCAAAGCGCTTTGAGTGCATTTCCGCATTTCATTTTCACAACCACCCCAAGAGGTAACCTTTAATTTATGCTGTAGATATTAGCACCCACCTGTGGCAGGCATTTTGTTGAGTGCTGAAGATACAGTAATTAAAATCCATGAGTCTTTGACTTCACGCAGCACATACTCTAAAACGTTCAAATGTTAGTGGTGAGAGGGTGGGATCGTGGGAATGGTACCGTCATGACTAAAAATTCCAATTATTTAGTTTCCATTTGAGATTACCAGCATATTTTATGATTATAGTTTATTCTACTTTGGATATTTAAAGTTGATTAACTCAGCCTCTTTCACAATTATTTTCACTAGGTACTGTCATAATTTTGAATGTCTAACTGGTAGCTTGCCTTTAACAAGAACCATTTGCGGTTGTTCCAAATGTGAACATTACATCTCTAAGAGAGTTAATCCAAATTGAAACCTGCTGAAATACATGAATTATTAAATTAACATATTATAGATTAGGTCATTGTTTTGGGGAAGTTTTACTAGAGAGATTTTTGTAATTTTTAAATTCCCATGCCAGTACCCAAATTCACAGATGCTAAAGTCTTTCATACAAATTGGTGTTGTGTTTGTATATAACGTATGTACCTTGTCCCATATACTTTTAAGTCATTTCTAGATTACTTATAATAACTAATGGAGTGTAAATGCTATGCAAATAGTTGATACATTATATTTTTAGCTTGTTTTTAAAATTATTGTACAGTTACTTTTTATTTTTTTTTCTGAAAAAAAATATTTTTTTGAGATGAGGCATTCTTCTGTCATCCAGGCTGGAGTGCAGTGGTGCAATCATAGTTCACTGCAGCCTTGAACTCCTAGGCTCAAGTGATCCTCCTGCCTCAGCCTCCCAAAGTGTTGGGATAACAGGTGTGAACCACTGCACCTGGCCCTCAATATTTTTGATCAGTAGTTGGTTGAACCCACGGATGCAGAACTTGCAGATACAGAGGGCTGATTGTATTATGCTTACTTATTATTTTAGTTAAAAATTTGTATTTGTGAGAGTTTTTCAGAGAAGCAGAATCAATATAAGGAATGGGCTTATGCAATTACGGAGGCTGACAAGTTTCAAGATCTGCAGTAAGCAAGCTGGGGATCCAGGATAGCTGATGGTGTAGTTCCAGTCTGAGTCTGAAGCCCCCAGAACCAGGAGAGCTGGTGATCTATTTCTTTCTGAATGCTAGTAGGCTTGAGACCCAGGAAGAGTTGATGTTTCAGTTCAAGTGTGAAGGCAGGAATAAGCCAATGTCCTGAAGGCAGGAATAAACCAATGTCCCAGCTCAAGGCAGTGAGGCAGAAGGAGTTTTCTCTTATTCAGCCTTTTTGTTCTATTGAGGCCTTCAACTGATTGGATGAGGCCTATGTACATTAGGGAGGGCAATCTTCTTTACTGAGTCTGCTGAGTCAATGTTGACAAATAAAACTAAACACACTAACCCTGTGCCCCAGTCAAGTTGACAAATAAAACTAAACATCACAAAATTGTTTCTAATCCCACTACAATGTCTTTATTGACCTTAGGGTCATTTATAACACTCAGTTTCTAAACATTTGTGGAATTTTCTATTTCATAAGTTATTGATTGCTACCTTAATATCACTCTGATCAAAATTTATTCTGATTTCAATCCTTTGAACTTTGTGAAATTATGATATAAATCAATAGTGACAACTTTTCTGAGTCTCTGTTTGTGTTTTTTATTTTAAGGAATACGTAGTTAAGTTTTGATTTTTAAGAAATCTGTAATATTTTTAACTTTTAGAGAATTTAATGTACTTATAATTAATGGAATTACTGATATGTTTGAGTTTAAATGTCATATTATTGTTTTTCATTTGTCCCATATGTTCTGTGTTACTTTTTCCTCTCCATTCTTGCTTTGTTTTGGATTAATCAAGCATGACTTTATTCAGATTTGTTTACCTTTACCACCTTGTTAATTAAATCTTCTTATTTTATTCTTTTGATGCTTACCCTAGATATTACAAAGTGCATATTTAACTAGTTTAAGGTACTTTACTGTATTCATAGGTTGTTCAACAATGGGCATATGTTCTGAGAATTGTGTCGTTAGGTGATTTTGTCATTGTGCAAACATTGTAAAGTGTACTAAACCTAGACAGTATAGCCTGCTGCACAATAGGCTGTAGTCTATTGCTCCTAGGTGACAAACCTGTATAGCACGTTACTGTATTGAATATTGTAGGCAGTTGTAACACGATGATAAGTATTTGAATATCTAAACATATGTAAATGTAGGAAAGGTACTATAAAATATGGCATAAAGGACAAAAGATGGTACACCTGTATAGGAAAATGATAAATGGAGCTTGCAGGAGTGGAATGAGGCAGTGGGGTGAGGAGTGAGTGAATGTGAATGCCTAGGACATTACTGCATACTACTGTAGACTTTATAAATACTGTACACTTTATACAAAATTATTTTTTGGCCGGGTGCGGTAATCCTAGCACTGTAATCCCATCACTTTGGGAGGCCAAGGTGGGCAGATCATGAGGTCAGGAGTTCGAGACCAGCCTGACCAACATGGTGAAACCCCGTCTCTACTAAAAATACAAAAATTTGTGGGGCGTAGTGGCACGTGCTGAATCCCGTCTACTCAGGAGGCTGAGGCAGGAGAACTGCTTGAACCCGGGAGGTGGAGGTTGCAGTGAGCCGAGATCGCACCATTGCACTCCAGCCTGGGTGACAGAGCGAGACTCTGTCTCAAAAAAAAAAAAAAAAAATTATTTTTCTGACTCTAATAATAAATTAACCTTAGCTTACTGTAACTTTCTTCTTAAAAGCTTAAATATTTGAAGCTTTTTGACTCTAATAACAGCTTAAAACACAAACCTATTGTACAGCTGTAAAAAATATTTTCCTTTTTATATACTTACTGTATATGCTTTTTCTATTAAATTTTTTTTTTACTTAAAACATTTTTTGGTTAAAAACTAAGACACAAGCACACACATTAGCCTAAGCCAACATGGGGTCAGGATCATCAGGATCACTGTCTTTCACCTCCACACCTTGTCCCACTGGAAGGCCTTCATGGGCAGTAACACCTAGAGAGCTGTCATCTCCTGCGATGATAGTGCCTTCTTCTGGATACCTCCTGAAGGACGTGCCTGAAGATGTTTTCCATTTAACTTTTTTTTTTAATGAAGTAGAAGGAGTACACTCTAAAATAACATTAAAATTACAGTATAGTAAATACGTAAACCACTAACATCATTGTTTATTACCATTATCAAGTATTATGTACTGTACGTAACTATATGTGCTATACTTCTGTGTGATTGGCATTGTAATAGGTTTGTTTACACCAGCTTGACCACAGACGGGTGAGTAACGCATCGCACTACAATGTTACAACACCTGGGACATCACTAAGTGATAGGAATATTCCAGCTCCATTATAATCTTATGAGACCACCGTCGTATATGCCATTTGTTGTTGACTAAAATGTTGCTATGCAGGGCATGACTGTATATGAATATTTCAAGAACCTTGGAACACTTTCACTTCTTTTGCCTCTCTCTTGTCTTTCGTGTTGTCATGTATGTCAGGTCTCTCTTGTTTTAAATTCCTATTAGATATTAAACTTTAAGATATTATTCTTATTTCATACAAAGTGTGTTTAGATTCACATACACATTTACCTTTTTGGTTGCTCTTTATTCTTTCTCATGTTTCAGATTTTCATAAGGGATAATTTTCTGCAAATTTCTATGGTGGTACTAATGTCAGTTAAAAAAAAAATCTACCCTGCTTAGATTCCCGAAGCTTCCTGAATTTGTGACTGAATATCTTTTTTTTTTTTTTTTTTACTTTATATATATACTTTAAGTTCTAGGGTACATGCGCATAACGTGCAGGTTTGTTACATATGTATACATGTGCCATGTTGGTGTGCTGCACCCATTAACTCATCATTTACATTAGGTATATCTCCTAATGCTATCCCTCCCCACTCCACCCACCCCACAACAGGCCCCAGTGTGTGATGTTCCCCTTCCTGTGTCCAGGTGTTTTCATTGTTCAATTCCCACCTAAGAGTGAGAAGATGCGGTGTTTGGTTTTTTGTCCTTGTGATAGTTTGCTGAGAATGATGGTTTCCAGCTTCATCCATGTCCCTACAAAGGACATGAACTCATCATTTTTTATGGCTGCATAGTATTCCATGGTGTATATGTGCATGACTGAATATCTTTTATCACCTTCTGAAATTTCTTAACCACTGTGTTTTTAAAAAGTGCTTCCTACCGGTTCTCTTTCTCATTTCCCCTTGTGGGACTCCATGAGGTTAGACCTTTTCACAATATCCTCTGTATCTGTTTTGCAGTTTCCTATATGTTTCCCATATGTTATTTTTATTGTGTGTTAATCTGAATATTTTCTGTTGACTTATCTTTTAATGCACTGACATTCTTTAACATTGTATCTGATTTACTGTTAAACACATCTTTTGTGTTTGAAACCTCTTAATTTCTCAGTTCAAGAATATTCACTTGGTTTTTCTTACAGACAACAATTATTTGGTGAAATTTACAATCCTATTTTTTTGAACCTATTAATTATAGTTATTTTAAAGCCTGTGTCTGATGACCTCAAACCTGTATCACTGGGGTTCTGTTTCTATTACGCTTTTTTTTTTTCTCTTGGCCCTGTGTATTGATATGCTCAGCAACTTCAGACTGAGTGGTGGACATTGTACTTGGAAACTTGTAGAGGCCAGGGTCTCTGCATTGATATTTCTCCAGAGAGAATTTTCTTTAATTTCCGGAAAGCACTGAGACTAGGAGCAGTGAGTTCACCTTCACCGGATTGGGGACTGAACTGACAGGAGCCTGGGTGTCAGTCTTTGTATGACTGGTCTATTTCTGACTGGCCCTTACCAGCAGGGTGTAATTCTTCAGTAGTCCAGACTGAAAGCCTGGAGCGTTTACCAGCGTTTCTCAATGTCATTGGCACTGAACTCCAGTGTTTTTCTCCCCAGCATCGTGAGACTGATGATAGGTCTGTTTCGGTTTTCTGCCTTTTGATAGCTACTCTCAGTTAAGCTGTGCTGCCTCTCTAACCATGATACTTGTCCCAGGTAAATATCAAACCCCAGGAAGAGGGAAATGGCTCAGACTGTAAGGTTATCCTCTCTGCAATTCCCCGCCTCCTGCCCCTGATGCTTTTTTTTTTTTTTTTTTTGGAGACAGTTGCTCTGTCACCCAGGCTGGAATGCAGTGGCATTATCACAGCTCTGCAACCTCCTGGGCTCAAGCAATTCTCCCACCACAGCCTCTGGAGTAGCTGGGACCACAGGCATGTGCCACCACGTCCAGCTAATTTTTTATTTTTTGTTGAGACAAGGGTCTTGATATGTTGCCCAGGCTGGTCTCAAACTCCTGGCCTCAAACAATCCTCCCACTTTTGCCTCCCAAAGTGTTGGGATTACAGGCATGAGCCACCATGCCTGGCCTGCAATTCCCTTCTTTATAGGATATTTGCCCCTTGATTCCTGGCTGCCTTGGTAGCTCTGAACTCCAATTCCTGTCTTCCAACCCTGCTAGTCCTATAACACTGCCGAAAGCTCTGTTCAGCTTCTCAGCCTTCAGCCACGTGGCTTTTGATTTATCCAGTGCCTCAAAGAGGAGAGCAATGTAGAATGTTGAGTTCACCTCAGGAAGTTTCTATTTTTTTTCCAGAAATTTGGCCTCTCAACTTCTGGCTGCCTTGATAGGTCTACAGTTCCTCCAAATACATATTATCTGTACTTGATCTAGCTTTTCTAATTGTTCTCAGTAGGAGTGTTTGTCTCCTATAGTCTAGTCCATCATTGCAGTAAGCAAAATTCAGGGATAGCTTTTACTTTTAGTAGGAAGCAGCTATGTTTGGTAGAGAGAGCTCTGAACTCAAGTTAAACACAGAATGAATCTCCTTTGTCCTGGCAGACCGGCAGGGTCATTGTGAAGATGGCAGAACATGTTGATACGTAAAATCTGCTAACAACATGAATAGAACAGTACAAATGTTATGGAAGTCACAGTTGAAAATGAACCAAGGTCTTGGGGTTAACAATATGTTACTGTGTAGGGGCTATGTTTTCACGTTCAGGATCTGGGTGTTTGGCACCGGGAGAAATGTCCAGCACCGGGATTTTGCTATGTGCTAGGCCCCTTTTTGTGCGCTTCCTGGGGATAAGCTATTAGGCCACATTTAGTAGCCTCCTAAAGTTCACTAGTTTACCCAGCTTGCAGTGTTTCATTTGCCCATGAAGTTGTTTACTTAGGGACAGAAAAAAAAATAACAAATTTTTAGTCTTTTAGAAGAGTAAAATTTGGTTTTTTGGTATTCCTCGGGAGAGTGAAGAGTGGAGAAATTTTGCAAGGGGACAAGACAGAGCCAAACATTTCAGCTATTGTCCATGGCTTTTTTGGGGAGGGGGCGGGGGGGCAGAGTCTCGCTCTGTCGCCTAGGCTGGAGTGCAGTGGTATGATCTTGGCTCACTGCAACCTCCGCCTCTCAGGTTCAAGCATTTCTTATGCCTCAGCCTCCCGAGTAGCTGGGATTACAGGCGTGCACCACTACACCTGGCTAATTTTTGTATTTTAGTAGAGACGGGGTTTCACCTCGGCCAGGATGATCTTGATTTCCTGACCTCGTGATCCACCCTCCTCGGCCTCCCAAAGTGCTGGGATTACAGGTGTGAGCCACTGCACCCGGCCTGTCCACGTCTCTTTTGGTCACCTCCCTGCTCCCTTTCATGAAGCTTGACAGAAGCTGTTCTTCTGAGCCACCCATGCTCATCTGAAGCAGAACTGACTTGCATTGGAAAGCAAATGGAGCTCCTTTCTTGGTTGAGTACTTTGTTCTTTGTTCTACCATGTTCTTTGCATGGTCTCGGTCCAGCAGAGCTCTGTGGATCCTCTTCTATTTCAATTTAAAGTTTATGTGTTTAAGGGATTTTGTGTGACCCTTTCCAAGACCAAATTTCTGCCTTGTAGCTTAGACACTAGGGACAGTAGAATAGTGGACTTTCAGAGCTTCCAGAGACTTGGTCTATTCTCCTGATTTTATAGATGAGAAAACTGAGGGCTGTTCAAAGGTTCAGTTTGGCTTCCTTCACAGGATGGTATAGCAGAAACCGGGAATCAGATCCTGACTGTGCCACTTAACTGGTTGCAATCTTAGAGAGACATCTAACCTCCGAGTGAGTTTTGATTGTATGGCCTGTACAAGAATAATGAGAAGGATGAGAATGATACCTGCCTGTCACTGAGAATTACACAGAATGCATATGAATCACCTAGGCTGGTCACCACTAACTGGTGCTAAAAAGATTAAACAAGTATTTATTGACTTGCCAGACTGTGGTGGGAACATGGGCCCTGTCTTTGAGGAGGTGGCCATGGTCTAGCAGTCATCTCTTTAGCAACTTCATGGGGATTCTAGTCTTTTATTTCACACATGAAATTCAGACCTTGAAGTCAGAACCCTGAGAACAAGGACTTGTGACCCATTTTATCTGCAACTTTATTCTTTCTCCCATTATTGCTCTCAGCAGGCCTCTCCTGATCTCCACCAAGGTGTACACTGTGGAAACTGGATAATAGCCTCAGTCTGAATTGGGAGATGACAGAATCACTGTTTCACAGAGGAATATTACTGCCTATATTGTCAAGCATGGAGTCTGGGTTTTCAATTTGGGCTTCAGACATGCCAGAGCGACACAGTGCCCTGCCGCTCTTCTCTGCATGAGCAGCTCACATTTGTTTTCATGGAAGACCCTGAGATCTTTCCAGAGGCCAGTTGCATCAGCACATTTGTGTGTCTCAGATACCTCCAGGGCGCTGGGTATCTCCCGTGGAGTCAGAGCTTCCTTTGTGCTGTATGGAAGATTCAGGAATGAATGCATACGTTTCCTAAACCAACAACACTGCTGGAAGGCTTGATTTCCTTTCTTTCTTGTTTGGGTGCTTTGTTCTACAATGGTGATTCTATTTTCCTTGATCTTTGTAAGGCCTCAAGGGCTCCTGGTTTCTATGAATTTGAAAGTATTTCAGCTAATTAATTTTTTTTTTTTTTTGAGACGGAGTCTCGCTCTGTCGCCCAGGCTGGAATGCAGTGGCGCTATCTTGGCTCACTGCAAGCTCTGCCGCCCGGATTCATGCCATTCTCCTGCCTCAGCCTCCCGAGTAGCTGGGACTACAGGTGCCTGCCACCATGCCCGGCTGATTTTTGTATTTTGTTTAGTAGAGACGGGGTTTCACCATGTTAGCCAGGATGGTCTCAATCTCCTGACCTCGTGATCTGCCTGCCTTGGCCTCCCAAAGTGCTGGGATTACAGGCGTGAGCCACCGTGCCCGGCCAAATTTTTTATTTTTTATTTTTAGTAGAGACAGGGTCTTGCCATGTTGCCTAGGCTGGCCTCAAACTCCTGGCCTCAGGTGATCCTCTCACCTCGGCCTCCGAAAGCGCTGGGATTATAGGCATGAATCACCATGCCCGGCCTAAAGTTTCTGATAAGTTAAGAAACCTTCATGGAATTTGCTATTCGGTCCCCCTTTTTTTCTTCTCTTACTCTGTTTTGCTTGCGTGACAATTCCCCAGTTATAAAAATGCCAGTTTCCCGCTAGAGTATCTGTCGTCTTGGCAGGCTTTTTATGTCATGCACCAAATTTACTGTTCTGGGACCCATTTTGTTATATCTTGTTCAGACCACTCATTTCAGTAGAAAGGGAAATTGTAATATTTGGACACCTGCAGGTTACAGAGGGCTTCCTTCCCTTCTCATCTTGTTGTAACTTCTTGTCATCTGTGTTTTTTGCCACTGCAACATACGATGCTTCTGAATAACACAGGGCAGGAGAAGGATCAGCCATGGAAAAATGTTATGCAAGTAGGAAGCGTTGCCAAAGGTAATTTTAAGTTTAAGCAAAAAAGGAAAAAAGTAAAACAAAAAGAAAAAAATAGGCTTACACACAGTGCTATTAAGTCATTTAATTGTTTTTTTTTTTTTCCATTCTGTGTTTTAAGTATTTTAAAGTCATTAGTGTTCCTAGTTTCTGGTTCTAAAAGCAGACATGAATTTAAAAGGCAGCATAGTTTTATTACAGGGAAATTATGCCAGATTTCATTTTTTTCTTTGTCTTGCCAGCAGAGTATTTCCTAGCTTCTTATTTAAGCTTCCTAAAGATGAAGATTTGAAGTTTGTGTAATTCTCCTTCCCAACTTACCTTACCCATATCCAAGAAGATGTTTTGCAACCTCATAAGAATTATGTAAGGTAATACATGTTTGAATTGGTAAATTGTGAGGGTCATTAATTTCTGAAAAGGCATAATAATTTCTGTAGATAATTTCGAAGAGAATAACTGTGATCTATGAATAAAAGGCTCATCTCAGCATGTAAATAGTTTCTGAGCCAGAGTTAGACACAGGGGATTCTAAAGGCAAACTCTGTTGGACTCTGTGGGAGACAGGTTGCAAATGTTGAGCTTCATTAAGCATGTTATACTTACAGCTCAAGAAATGCAATAATTTGTGTGAGAGATTATTCAGGCCACATGTTACCTCCACAGTCTTATAAAATTCCTTCTATTTTGCCAAGGAATCTAGATATGACGTTTTTATTTCAACAATATTTTATATAGGTAGATGTAGATAAATCTCTTTACAAATGGAGGAATTACAAATGCTAATTTGTTAAATTGAGCTGTAAACATTTTCTTTGCTGCTTAATAGGACAAAATACATAAAGATTAATTAAATGATCAAAAATTTCCAAGCTTCTTTTTAATCGTGTAAATGGGGTCTATCGCCAAAAGATATCCAGCCCTGGTAAACATGATAGATGATGATGGGGACACATGGTGACTTGGATGGACTCCATTTCTGGGTTCTGCCTGAGTGTGTTGGCCACAGGCTGTGGTTTACAAAAAATATCCCCTCTGCTAACATGTGAGCCGGGGTGTGGTGGTCAGCAGTTTGCTGTGATGTCTTTAGGGTGCCTCCCCAGGGAGAGGATGAGGGGAGTGCTTTGTGGCTGGGGATAGGGTCTCTAGGAAGTGGGTGGCTCAAATGTTATTACTGCCGCATGTCTGAGTGTTTCTGTTTGGTGAAATCCAGGGGAGCACCTTGGCTGGGTAGAAGTTCTTAAGCAGGAGTTACAAAGCCTGCCTTCTGGTCCTCACTCTGCCAGCTAATTTCATGGAAGCACAGATCCACCATACCTGCAAGATGGGGCAGTGTTACTTATTTCTCCCTTTCAGGGTAAGTGTGAGGCGCTCTTTGAAGTGATGATTGTCAGAGTTCCTTGAAAAACCTAAAGCAATGTGTTAGTTAATATGTCAGTAAATTCATCAGGTACTCTCTGAGCATCTGCCAAAGAAACAGGCCCTGTCCTGGGCCAGCCTCATGAGCATTAGGCTCACACACGTACATAACTGTGTTTAATCATGTTGTAAGGATGCTTTGAGGTGCTGCTAGAATGCCACCTTGCATCTGAAAGGGATTTTTGTCCAGTTTGTTCACCCATATATTTCTAGTGTGTAATAAACTACTATTAGGTAATTTTATAAAAATTTGTTGAATGAATGAATGTTTTTCACAAGTATTATAATAAATAATACATGGTCTTGTCAAGGCCAAGGTTATTGGTTTCATGTTCGTCATATTCCATTCCGTAGAGGCAGACAGCTGCTCACTGTCCAGCAGGTGCATGGTGAATGGAAGGGGGGTGGTCCTGGGGCAGGGTGGGAGGGGAGTTCACAAGAACCCAGGCAGCAGGGCCAAGGCTATTGCACTGGCCCTTGGCGCAGCTGCCGTTGCTTGTTCCCACATGGTATGGCTTGGCTCAGCCCCCGACTCTGGAGTCCATTGTCTCGTTATTTAAGCATAGGCATGTTTCACAGGAATGACCTCCTCTGTGGCCTTGGGGGCGGCCCCAGCTGTGTAAACACATGTGTATATGTGCATATACTTTATATATATGATACACAGGTGTGCTGTGTGTGTGTCTGTCTAACATGAGGAGTTCAGCTGCAGAGTCAAACAGATCGAGCATTCCAATCCTGGATCAGTCACTGTTGCTGGCTTTATGCTCTCAGAATGGTTACTGAATCCTTTGAAGCTTGGGGGTTTTCAGCTACAGGGAGGTGATGACAGTACCTAGTTTATAGGGTTATTGTGAGCATTAAATGGGTTGTGCTCACAAGGGTTCAGAGTGGGTTGGGTGGTAGTATTTGTAAGAGTGTGAGTGTCAGTTGTCACTGCTCTCATGTCAATACCACTTATTGTAGGATTACTATACTGGGCCCTGGGCTAAGAACCTCATGTGCATAATATTAATTTTAATAACACAACTATGAACTGAGTTTTTAAACTCAAAAGGAAACGTTACAAGCGGTGACTTGCATGAGGGTTTTTGTTTCCTTGTTTTGGTTGAAAGAGCGTCCTGAGCCCCACCCCTGCTTTGAACACATTCCCCAACTCCACCATGCTTCCAGGGTCTGCTCCTTTCTTACCAGTTTAGGTTTTTCCCTGTGTGGCTCTTTGTAAGTCTTTCCCTAATATTGGATAGCCCATTTCTTGAACTGCAGCTGTAGATCACATGAACATTTTGATTTATGGTGGCACAGGAGGCTATAACAAAGTTACAGACTTTAAATTATGCGATTAGAGTAGAAAGCCATATTGTAAACTGTGCCCTTATTGTTTGCAAAGTGTCACGCCCATCAATTGCCTTGGAGTTTGATTGATCTCCACTGGGTGCTGGCTGTCTGCAAAATGCTGTACTGTCATGATTAGTTTAACCCATCTCTACTCCCAAGGAGTTGTCAGTCTACTGCGGAGACACCAGCCAGACAAATAGTTATACGCAATAAGGTGAATGCTCTGACAGTACCAGAAAGACAAATATGGCGGGCTAAGGAGAGGAAGAGTGGTTGGGTGTGTTCAGGAAGGCCCCTCTGAGAGGGAGGCATTTGAGTAGAGACTGGGTGTCCTTTTTTCATTCACTCCACTTTTCTTCTTAGCACTTAATACCATCTGATGCTTTTATGTTCCACTCCCTCCCATCCCCAGAATATCAATTCTGTGCTAACAGGGGCTTAGTCTGTTAGCATTTACTCTCGTATCACCAGGGCCTGGGTCAGGCTGGCATGATGTGGAATGAATGAATGATAGACAGATCCATTAACTGGGAGCCACAGAACAATCACCCACAGACTGTGGGCTGCATAGAAAGGGTTACCAGTTAGGCAAGGGTGAGCACCACACAGAGGGCACAGAGCACCAATGAATGCCACAGGGACAATTCATCCGAAGGCATAGAGCCTCCAGGCACCATAAGTGGATGCGTCCGAGCATATATTTTTAAAGGCTGCCCTACCTTTTTGGCTTCTGTGGCCTTCCACACCATTGGAAACACATCCAATGACATAGCACTGGTGAAGTGGCACAGTGACTCTTTGTGCTTCACTTTCTGAAGGAGTATAGGAACATTCATTCTTTGGGACAGAATTCTTGTAGCATTAGGGAAATGAGCAATCTGAACTTCTTGGCATTCTAATCCAAGGAGGAGTTGCTTGCAAGCAAGAAATCTGAATCCCTTCACAGGTCGAAGAGAAGTTGGGGATCCTTAAGCGTGGAGGGTTTGAAACTATTTGGTCATCATACAGTTTATTTTCAATTGTCTTGTAGGGCTGCATTAGGAATTGATTTTATCTAGAAGACAGAGGATACTGACTATTGGTCAACAATAACACCAAATAAGTTTTCATGAACATTAAAAAAATATATCCTGGAAGACAACCTGGGCATTCATCCTGGACATAGGAACGGGCAAAGATTTCATGACAAAGACAGCAAAAGCAAAAATTGAGAAGTAGGATCTAATTAAACTTAAGAATGTCTGCACAGCAAAATAAACTATCAAAAGAGAAAACAGACAACCTGCAGAATAGGAGAAAATATTTACAAGCTTTGCATCTGACAAAAGTCTAATATCCAGCATCTATAAGGATCTTAAATTTACAATAAAAAAAACTCCATTAAAAAGTGGCGTGAACAGACACTTCTCAAAAGAAGACATACATGCAGCCAACAAACATGAAAAATAGCTCAGATCATTAGAGAAATGCAAATCAAAACTACATTGAGATACCATCTTACACCAGTCAGAATAGCTATTATTAAAAAAGCCAAAAACCAAAAAACAAACAAAACCAAAAAGCAGATGCTGGTGAGGTTTTGGAGAAAAGGAAGCACTTATACACTGTCGATGGGAGTGTAAATTAGTTCAACTATTGTGGAAAGCAGTATGGCAATTCCTCAAAGAGCTAAAAACAGAACTGCCATTTGACCCAGCAATCCCATTTACTGAGTATATATCCAGAGGAATATAAATTATTCTACCATAAAGGCACATGCATGCAAATGTTCATTACAGCACTATTCACAGTAGCAAAGACATGGAATTAACCTACATGCCCATCAATGATAGATTGGATAAAGAAAATGTGGTGTATATACACCATGGAATACTATGCAGCCATATAAAAGAATGAGATCATGTCCTTTGCAGGAACATGAGTGGAGCAGGAGGTTATTAGTCTTAGCAAACTAACACAGGAACAGAAAACCAGATACCACATGTTCTCACTTATAAGTGGGAGCTAAATGATGAGAACTTAATAACACAAAGAAGGGAACAACAGACACTGGAACCTACTTGAGTGGGGAGGGTGAGAGGAGGAAGAGGAGCAGCAAAGATAACTATTGGGTACTGGGCTTCATACCTGGGTGATGAAATAATATGTACAACAAACCCCCAAGACACATGTTTACCTGTGTAACAAACCTTCACATGTACCCCTAAACCTAAAATAAAAGTTAAAAAAAATTCCCGTCTTCCAGATCTTGGTTTCTAATACCATTTCCCTATAAAAGGAACCAAGACTACTTGGAGAAATGGCTGATTCTAGGATGAGGGCAGGGAATTTATGAGTCTGGGGCATTCATAGTGTCCTAAAGTAAAGATGTGCTCAGCAAACCAAGCAAACACAATGATTAGTGTGTGCTAGAGGGACAGAGGGGTCAACTGAGAAGGATCCTGTATTAGTCCATTCTCACATTGCTATAAAAAGATACCTGACACTGGATAATTTATAAAGAAAAGAGGTTTTATTGGCTCACGGTTCCACAGGCTGTGCAGGAAGCATGAAGCTGCATCTGCTCGGCTTCTGGGGAGGCCTCGGGAAACTTACAATCACAGCAGAAGGCAAAGGGGGAGCCAGCACTTCACGTGGTGAGAGTAGGAGCAAAAGAGAGAGATGGGGGAGGTGCCACGCACTTTTAAACAACCAGACCTCGTGAGCACTCACTCATTGTCACAAGAACAGCACCAAGGGGATGGTACTAAACCATTCATGAGAAATCCACCCCCGTGATCCAGTCCCCTCCCCTCAGGCCCTGCCTCCAACACTGGGGGTTATAATTCGACATGAGATTTGGTGGGGACACAGCTACAAACCATATCAGCTCCCAGTGGCCAAAGCTGGAACAATTCAAGCAACAAAATAAAGTGGTATTAGATTGTAACCCAAATTATAAAATAAATACTCACAATATGTATAAATAGGGGGGCAGCAGACAAGGAATTGCAAATAATTTAAGTAGCTGCTCCGGCTTCCGGGAGGTGTGTAACTCCCACTTCTCAAGTGTTGGCTGTGCATAGTGACTTTCTTTCAAAGAGTACAGCATGGAAAGGAAGGGGGAAAAGAGTGACTTGACAGTGGAGAAACGTGACAGCCACCACCTCAGCCAGGTGATCAGAGTTAACATTTATAGTGAGAAGTCACATTAATAGCATGTACCCTTGATAAGATGTGATGAGAGTGACACTTTACCTCTGTGGTCTTCCTCCCCAAAACCTGTAACCTCAGTCTCCTCATGAGAAAACCATCAGACGATTCCCATTTGAGGAATACTCTACAAAATACCTGACCAGTACTTCTCAACACAGTACTGCTCAAAACAAGCAAGTCTCGTAGAAACTGTCACGGACAACAGGAGGCTAAGCAAACATGACAATTAAGTGTAATGTGATATCCTAGATGTGATCCTGGAGCAGAAAAATGACATTAGGTAAAAATGAAGGCTATCTGAATAAAGCATGAACTTCAATTAATAGTAATGTATTAATATTGATTCATTGGTTGTGACAAATACACCAATAAATGTAAGTGGATAACCACAGAGGAAACTGGGCGTGCGACATATGGAAACTCCCTGTATGGCCTTAGCAATTATTCTGTAAATCTAAAACTATTCTGAGATAAAGAAGTTTATTGAAAAATACATACTGAAGTAAACTCTGGAATTATTGTCACTTTTGACTGAACAGCAGGATGTCAAGTCAACATGCCAATATGTGTTCTGTGGATGAAGATTGAGGGGTGGGTTAGAAAATCTTAGCTCAACATATAAAAACTCTGTGCATAGAAGTTGTCAAAGATGTAGAAAATTCTTGCCGGGGTCATCGGGTGACTCTCCAAATAATGCAAAGCTCGTTTGAAATACCATTGTTCCAAGGGGGCCAAACTAAACAGGCCACATGACATAGTGGTCAAGCCATGCTGCCCTGGGTTCATTCCAGCCCTGCGCCATAACTGCCAAGAGATTCTTGTACAAGTAGTTTACACTTGTACAAGTGTAAACTGAACTTCAGTTTCCTCATTGATAACATGAATATCGTAGTATATCATGCCATTGGCAGTTTCAAGGTTAAAATGAGGGTGATAATATCTGTAGCGCACTCAGCACAGTAGTTGGTACTCATTAGCTGTTCCCTAAAGGGCAGCTGTTGTTGTTGCCTGAAACTTCTTTTTTTTTTTTTTTAACATGCAAAACACATTCCATTAAGGGAAGTCTAATGACTCTGCTTAATGGCAGTAGATGATGCCAGTGGCTACCTTGGTTTGATTTCAAGGGTAGGAGGACATTCTTCCCCTACAAAGTGTCTGTTATTAACACCTCTTCCAGTACCCCCTCGAAGAATTAATTGTGCTAAATAATTTGTGTTAAATATGACCATGTCTCTTTCAAGCTGCTCATGTCCCTAGAAGGAATAGGACATCCAGTGTGAAGGGGCTTATAAAGTTTGCCGTGCAGGGGAGCCTTGAAACAGGTAGAGCAGAGGCTTGGAGAGGGAGAAAGCAGTTCAGAGGAGAGGGTAAAACTTGTTTACTTCCCAGACCCACCTAGATCTACCTAGGGATGGCCCCGTTGCTCTTTATCTAAGAAAAATTAGTATTGTGTATTTCCTGCTAAGCTAAGTATCCATGAAGTTTGGATTTATCTGACTTGTACAAATGAAATACAGGTCCAAAGCATTTTTATAGATTTACACGGTAAAGATTAATCTTCACCCAAGCAACTGGATCCCTGGAGCTTGGCTTTTATGAAGAGGAATGTTAGCTCACCCACCAAGACTTCATTTAATGTGCTCAAGTTTTTAATTGCCTTTTTTCTGCCTCTCAGGAATTATTACATCAATTTCATTTACCCAGATTGAAAATCCAAGTGCTTCTGTTGTCAGCATGGGCTGCACCTAAGCATGCTGACTCTGGCTCAGTTTCCCCTTGGCTGCATTTTTCATCTTTTCTCTTTTCTGTTGCAGGATTTCTTCAAAGTTATGTGAGTTCCACAAGTTCCATGGGTAGAGAAGTTTAGGGGAAAAAATGGTTCCATGGGTGAATAAGTTTAGGAAATGCGAAACCAAGTTAAGCAGGTTTCTTTACTGCAGGACTTTTCAGAGACTTGGTTGTGCTGACGTGCTTTGAGTCCCTGGGAGTGGTGTGGTGTGGCTCATCTCCCAGTCACATGAAACCTGTCTTCTTGCAGCAGCCCTTGATGCAGAGGGATTAGTGTTCTGAGGTGCCTACTTGAAAAACACTGCTGCATACTTTTTTCCAATTTCTTTGCATTCATCAGACTTGCCTTTCTATGTCCCCACATTGTCTGTAGCATAATTTACATGTTATTAAATTTTTTCTCCATATCATTCTTCCTCACTGCCTCAATGTATGTTTGTAACTTTTTTAATAGCGTGGCTGAGCCTCTGTGGAACCTTGGGTTTTATTTTAGTCACGTAATCTTTTATGTTGGCATTGAGTTATTAGTGAGTTGTCAATCACCTGTGCATATTAAGGAGGCAGAAGCAAATTGTGGCTGAACCCAGAGGTAGAGCAAATCACCTCAGTGATTGTGCAAAAAAACATCCAATTTGGCTCCTATAATTGCTTTTTATGGCAGTCCCACTATGTGGGCTTATTTTAATAGAAAAACTTGAGAGATTAATGCACTTGCTAAGGTATTTTCCTTCTGTCATCACAGAGCTTCTTATGATTGGGGAGAAAGCAGTAAATCTCAAGTTATCTAGTTTTTAGGTTGTCAGTTTTTATACATGACAGTACCTGGCAGAGAAGTGGATACAATTAAGAAAATATACCCTGTTTTTCCTGAGAAAAGGAAAAATGACACAAAAGGTCATTTCCAATTTAAGTCTAAATAATGTAAAAAAGAGGCTTTGCAAGAGCTGCTATGAAGACCCCTAAACAGAAGGCAGTTATCTCTCTAATGCAGTTTAATCTGCCCATGATGGGGCCAACTGAGACATGGTACAGTGATTCACATCAACTCTCTTTCCTCCTGTGGGTCAAGGAAATTAATTTGCTCCTGCCTCCAAACTGCTTTTGACCAAAACCATAAACCATAGCACTAATAAACTCGTTTGAGGTCTTCAGATCATTTTGAATATTTTATTAGCAACATATACACCAACAGATGTGTTTATTGTTGTAAAATGTAACCATACTGTGGAAGCGATGTCCATAAATGTATCAGTCATTCTTCCTAATGATTGTCAAAATATTATTATTTCATATGTAAAAATAAGTGGGTGTCTGACCCTGTGGCTAGAATATAGGACAAAAGGCAGTATTGTACAGTAATTATTGAGTCAACTAAGTCCCAGCTCTGGGGTAGGACTTGGCTTGAAGTATTGCCAAGGCCTTTCAAAGGCTCTTGAAGAACAGGAAAAATTAGGCATTGAATTTTTGAGTTGCTTTGCTTTCAACTCTGTAAGCAAGAATGCAGTTATTGTACTGGTTAAATGTGGAAATAAATCAGTAAATATTCATAAGGTTAACCACTATCCCAAAGGAAGGGGTGTAGAGCAATGAGCCTAACCTTTTTAGCCTTTAGAGATTTTATAATTCAGATGGAGAGACAAGATATATATTCATGGACAAAGTTTAATGTCAGTTCTAGAATCAAGGAACACTGACGCAGCTCAAGATTTTCAGTAGCTGCATTTGAAAAGCTCTGTTAATATCTGTTGTGACCCCTGTTGCCACATGAGGTGTCCAAGCCAAAAGTGTTGGATCAGAAGAAGGGAGATCATTGTGTGCTAAGGGGGTTCAGGAAGAACAAATGTAGTTCTACTGGGTGCCATGGTTCAGAATCATCACTTCACTTCCTAAAAAGCAGACAATCTGAGTTTGGCTCAAAAATATTATACTAGCATAGGAGATAATAACAGTGTAGTGGGTAAATATCATGGCTTCACACAAGTCAATCTTATGTGGAATTTTGGGCAAGTTATTTTTCTTAGTTTCTAATCCTCTCTTTACTCATCATTAAAATAGTTATAGTTAAAATATGACTACAATAACTATCAACCTAGTTTCTATGAGAATAAAATCAGATAGTACTTTTAAAATAAAATCACTTTACACTAGGCTAGACACTTGGTAAAGTCTTGCTAAGTATCAGCTGCTGTAATAATCACTGCAAACGACACCTGTGGAATCTTATTTCAGGCCAGGAATAAAGTTTGCATAGGGAACAGAAGAATACAGTTAAATAACTTAATTTCTAATGTGGAATATTATTTTGGCATTTATGACAACAGCGTCTGGGGTGGTCCAAAGTATTAAAGGGGCTCTCTACGTAAGAGGGAGTTTGGAATAGTCAACCCATCAAGACAGGAGAAAAGAATTCATTGGTGATGGTCATATTAGGTGTATTTTTGTTGTTGTTGTTGTTGTTGAAGTGAAAACATCCCAGATAGGAGCCACCAAAGGGGCTGGCAGATCCCATTCGTTGGTTTTTGGAGGTCAAAATCCCAGCATTTGGGTTGAAAGATCAGGGATGATAAGCAAGTCTGTTTCCTTCCAACCTTCCCAAGAGAACAGTAATTACTAGATATAATAATGCTTCTCAAAGGCGGTTACTGAAAACCCTCTGCTGCTTCAGCATAATCAGAAAGACAGAAGTTGCAGGATGATTTTCTTTGTGAGAGGCACCTACTCGGAATGCTAATTAGGCGAAGTAAAAGGGATGTGGATCAGCATCCAACAGCGCATGCATTTTCTCCTAGTAAGTGAGGATGAGAGGAAGGAGGAGGAGGAAGAATTTGACTTATCTGTTTTATGGTTCATGATGTGATTCCCCAAATTGATTTCAGGCTCTTAATTCTTCTCATCTGCTGGTTTTGTAAGGAGATGTAAAAAACTATCTAAAAATAAAGTTTGGAGTTTTGTTTTGTTTTGTTTTGTTGTTTTGAGACAGGGTCCCACTCTGTCTCCCAGTCTGGAGTGCAATGGTGCAATGGTGCGATCTCGGCTCACTGCGTCTTCTGCCTCCCAGGTTCAAGTGATTCTCCTGTCTCAGCCTTCCGAGTAGCTGGGATTACAGGCACCTGCTGCTATGCCTGGCTAATTTTTGTATTTTGAGTAGAGACGGGTTTCACCATGTTGGCCAGGCTGGTCTTGAACTCCTGACCTCAAGTGATCCACTCACCTCAGCCTCTCAAAATGCTGGGATTACAGGCATGAGCCACTGCACCTGGCTAGAGTCTTTATACTTTTGTCTACTTTTGCTTTCTTTTGGGTGCCCTCAAAATAGAACTTGAATCCAGTGGCAAATTGGCCCAATAGCCAAGAGCCGGCCCTCTTGGGGTCAGTCTATATCTTTGCTTTTATTTGCTGCCAAACATTCAGTTTCTAAGAGAAATATGAACACTTATCTAGAAAAATCTCAGTGCTGGCCTGCACAGGGCTGTTGTTTAATGATCATGACTGGGGGCTCCCTGCGTGTTGGGCACTGTTGTAAGCACTTCCTGAGCAGAGCTGTATATAATCCTTATAGCCTACAGAGCAGTAGGTTCTATTAGTATCACGAGTACCTCTATTATAGAAGAGAAAAGCCAGCACAGTGAGCTAGGTGGAGCTGGGATTCAAACCCAGGCCATCTGGCTCCAGAGTCCACAGTCTAAGAAAGCCTATTAATCAGCAAAGGGACTGTCTGGTAACTTTGAGATGAAGACACAGCCTCGGAGCAGAATCGGTGCAAACTGGGTTTTCTGGAGACCAATTTGGGTATGCCCAATTCAAATTGCACGCAAGAGACTTGGCTGGTATATGGCCTGCATGCTGGCTCACGTGGCTGTGGTCACATGGATGTGGGAAGTGTAGGGATGGATGCCAGACTGGCAATATCAGGGAAGCTCCTGTGGCATAGGTTGCCAGTGTAGGATAGGGATTAAGAGCTTGGCCTCTAGGGCCACAGTCAGCAGTCACCCAGCTTCCAGTGCTGAGTGTGTTGGTGGTGGTAACTGGTACATAGTTCCAACACAGTTGCTTTTATGTAACCTTGGGTAAGTTACTTGAACTTCCTAAGCCTCAGTTTTTCCATCTAAAATATGATGATGATAAGAATACCTGTGACTTAGGGCTGCCATGAGGATTCAGTGAGAGTTTGTATAGTAGTTCCTCTTTATCCAAAGGGAATACATTCCAGGGCCCCCAGTGGATTCCTGAAAACTGGATAGTACCAAAACCTGTATACACTTATGTGTTTTCCTATACATACATACATACTCATGATAAAGTTGAATTTATAAATTAGGCACAATAAAAGATTAAAAATAACTAATAATAAAATAGAACATGCTGGGCACAGTGGCTCACACGTGTAATCCTAGCACTTTGGGAGGCTGAGACGGGTAGATCAACTGAGGTCAGGAGTTCCAGACCAGCCTGGCCAACATGGTGAAATCCCAGCTCTACTAAAAATACAAAAAACAAAAACAAACAAACAAACAAAAAGCCAGGCATGGTGGTGGACGTCTGTAATCCCAGCTACTCGGGAGGCTGAGGCAGGATAATCACTTGAATCTGGGAGGCAGAGGTTGCGGCGAGCTGAGATCGTGCCACTGCACTCCAGCCTGGGGGACAGAGTGAGACTCAGTCTCAAATAAAAATGAAATGAAATGAAATAAAATAAATAGAATAAAATAGAACAATTATAACAATATGTCAGCACCACCACTCTTGTACTTTGGGGTCATTATGAAATAAAATAAGGGTTACTTGAACACAAGCCCTGCGACGCCTCAACAGTCAATCTGCTCGCCCAGGCAGCTACTGAGTGACAAATGGGTGGGTAGCATATATGGTGTGACTACGCCCGACAAAGAGACGATTCAGGTCCTGGGTGGTATTTCCTCATGCAGCTCAGAATAGCGCACAATTTAAAATGTATGAATTGTTTATTTTTGGAATTTCCCGTGTAATATTTTTGGATTGAGGTTGACTGCAGGTTGAAACCACAGAAAGCAAAACCGTGGATAAGGGGGACTACTAAGAAAACATTAGCAAGTCTTGGAACATGGTCAGTTAGATGGTGGAGGTGGTTGCTTTTGTTTTGCTATTGCTGCTCAGGCAAGCAGGGAATTTTGAAGATGACTGACAGTAAAGCACCTTTAACTATTTGTGAAAATATGGAAAAGCTCTGTAGAAATTACTCTTCTCAATAGCAGAGATACAGGAGGAGATTTGGGTCCGGGTGAATTGCACAGCCAGCCTCAACAGTTAGCCTCAATTGCAATTTCAGATCATAAACCATGTGTCCCTTGATTCCAGATCTCCTCCAAGATTGTACCCCCTGTCCCCACTCTCCAGCTCCCCTGTGCATTTCCCTTCATCCTGTGTTCTTGTGGAGTCCTGGAAACCCAAGGCTGGAAACTACCCAGAAAGACAAGGGGTGGTGTGGGAGACCCGCGATTGCGTGGGCTGTCAAATGTTTGCGAAACGGCAGCTGATGCCAGAAGAATCGGCCAAAAATGGAATGGGTGCCCTTGATTATATTTAGTGTGTAGTCTTCTGTAAATTCACATGTTTCCAAATTATTTTCAGCACTCTTTGTTTTGTTCTGTTTTTGGTCCTTAGCTATTCATGACTTTCCTGATCTCAAAGCCCAGTTGGTGACCCATCTCCACAGCTTGGAAACCATGTGGGGTTCGGCTATTGTTCATGTGTCTTTAACTTTGCAGCACAAATGATAGTATTTCCTTTGTTACACTCATTCCTGAGGCCACTGAAGCATTTGATAGTTCTTACTAAAAAAGATTAGTTGTTAAGAATCAAAAGAGGAAAATCAAACAAACAAACGAAAACGAAACAAAACAAAATGTCCCCTCCCTGCTATACATACAGCGTCCTGGAGGAGGCTGGCCAATTATCTGGCTCCAGGCTCCAGACTTCAAACAACTGGGCAAAAAGCACCCGTGCTCTGACCCAGCTCTGCCGATTGCTAGCAGTGTGACTTCAGACAAGCCACGGATCCCTCTGAGCCTTATCCTCCTTAGCTCTGAGTGGGTAATGACACCAGCCTGCTTTCCTCACTGGATGAATATGGAGATGGAAATTAGAATGCATCTGCAGACCCTTTCTGAATTGCACAATGCTAGTCTGTAGGGGATACAGATATAGGGGGATTTTCCTGGCAGATACAGGAGTCCTGCTCCCCCCGTCCTGTGCTGGAAACAGACCTGACCACCTGATGATAGCACCTTCTCCCTCAGAGCCTAGTAATGCCCCCCAGTCCTTCTCAACATAGAGCGATGTTGGGAGGAATTGGAGAAGTCCTGGTGTCCAAGTACCACAGCACTGCGACCGTGGAGTGAGCGCCCAGCCTTGACAGTCTCCTCCCACTTTCTTTTGGTAGAAGTGGCCCCATGGCTGCAGATGAGCAAAACTAGTCTGGGCTGGTGTGAGGAAGCGCCCCGAATCTGTGGCCTGGGAAGAGCAGCTGAGGAACTGCAAGCAGCTGGTGTTGGAGGTGATCTTGAAAAAGGACATTTCCCCCAGACTTTAAACTAATAGCAATTAGTTGAATGAGACCGCATATGTGCAAACTGTCATCTATGAAACACAGTAATATTTGTTGTTATTAAATCAAAATGTCAAATGCCTTATTAGCTTTAAAAATGACATCATTTGTGCTGCAGACTCACTGGCTGAGGAGTTCCCTGTGGCAGGAGCCAGGGTTCCCACTGTGGCCTCTTGATCTGGGGTAATGCCTGGCTCATAGGTAAGGGCTCAGGGTTTGTTGACTGATTGGCTGAAGAAAAACAAAAAAAGGAAGCATGCATTGAACATGCCAGTAATTTTCAAAAGTAAGTGTCCACATCCAATATCCAGTCTTGTGTGTATGATGAGATCACATGTAGAGGTGTTTACCAAACATTTTAATATTTAAATCAAACAGCAATTTGCAAGACTTTAGCTTCATTGTAAGTAATAATATATTTGGAACCTGTGTTTACAGTACTGTCTATACATAGGTTTAAACCACATATAAATATTTAACAATACAATTAAAAGGTCATGCTTGTCCATGTACCTCCTAAAATCCTCTTGTTCATATCCTCTGGGATCCATTGAAGTTCTAGTAATTATATACTTTTGCCTTTTATGCGGAAGCCAGAACAAGAACTCAAGAAAAATTTAGATGACATTTGAGCAGCTTAAAACGTGTTGGGTGGGTTACAGCTAGGGTACTCTTTCATTCTGATTTACCCAGGACAGTGCCAGTTTACACCTGTTGTCATAATTATTAATGTCATTCCCTTTCAATCTCAACAATGTCTTTGGACAATAAATTATATGGTCATGGTCCACAAGTACATGGTCATAGCCTACAAGTATTAATAGCTGGATTGGAATAGAACACAGTCTTTTTATTTTTTTTTTAAAAAATTTAAATTTAATTTTAAGTTCCAAGATGTCTTTTTATTTTTATTTTTTAACATTGTATGTAAGTGTGCATGTGTATGGGTGTGTGTGTGTGTGTGTGGGAGAGAGAGATTGAGAGAGAGTGCGAGAGAATGAGAATGATTATTCCCTGGGGGACCCCCTGCCTGGACCCATCAAAAGGTGGCTTTTGCTGAACAGAGAAAACAGTCCTGGCTCTCATGGTGGCTCATGTTCAAGGGTTGAGGCTTTTGACCTAAGGCCAGGCCTGCTCTCCCACCATCCATCCAGAGCCTGGTGTTCTGGACTGCCTTCCACTTCACTGACTTGGCACTGGCACTGAAAGCACCTTGGGCTAAAGCATGGGTTCCATCAGTCAACTTTGGGCCATTGACATAGTGCAGTTGTTGCCTGGTATAATGCAGGGCTTGAGAAACAGAGCATCTATTCAGAAGGCCTGCCTTTGGGAAGGTCACACGATCTCCCCCAGTCTCTCATCAGTGTCATCATGCATGAATACTGATTATGGAAAATAGGCTCATCTAAGTATTAAAAATTGTCACCAGTGCCCCCACCCCTTGTTTCATCTTCAAATGAAAATGCAATGCAAGAATGATTACTTTTAAAAGAGTGTATTGTCAAGATTAATTTGGAGTTTGCTTCTCTATCATCATTGTCATCTGGTAGTCCCTGGAGTTCCAAGCAATCTGCCCACTTAGGCCTCCCTAGGTGATGGGATTACAGGCGTGAGCGCCTGCATATCTACATTTTGAGAGCATGTAGCTATTACATACTATACTCTCCCTTATAATCCTCATTTAGTCTTAATTTTACAAACATCTATATATTTGCTGTTCACTACCAGACATAACCTCTGTTGTTCAGTGATTTTGGTTGTTTTGAAGCTTACTCTCTAGTGTATTTCTCAGAAATGGCTCGAAGGAAAAATATTCCCTGAGTTCTTACATGTTGCCTGTGTCCTTTATACTTGAAATTAATTCAAAAATCCATGGCTTATATTTTCTTCCCTTGAGGATCTTAGATAGGTTCCTCTATTTTCTTTTTGCTTACATTGTTTTGTAAAGTCTGATCATAATATTTTTTCCCTTGTAAGTCACATGTTCTTTTTGCCCAGATGCTCGAACAATTTTTCCTTCTAAGATTTAGTAATAAAAGTGGACCTGGGGGCCGGATGCGATGGCTCATGCCTGTAATCCCAGTACTTTGGGAGGCCAAGGTGGGTGGATCACCTGAGGTCAGGAGGTCAAGACCAGCCTGGCCAACTTGGCGAAACTCCATCTCTACTAAAAATACAAAAATTAGCCGGGCGTGGTTGCGGCTGTCTGTAATCCCAGCTACTTGGGAGGCGGCTGTCTGTAATCCCAGCTACTTGGGAGGCTGAGGCAGGATAATCACTTGAACCTGGGAGACGGAGGCTGCAGTGAGCTGAGATTGCACTATTGCACTCCAGCCTGGGCAACAGGAGAGAAACTCCATCTCAAAAAAACAAAAAAAAGAGCCAGAATATCTCAGCATCTCAGAAAGCAACTATCATAAATTTTTTTAACACTGCATGAGAACAACAGAAGAGGGAGCTCTGAAGTGAGAAAAGCTGCTATGAACCAGCTTTGTTCCTAAATGTTTAGGAAAATTAATTTCACTTAACAACAAGGTGTATAAAGGATGGAGGTGTACAACACCACACAAAGACAAAGTAAGTTGGGAGGAAGAATGAGCAGACTAACATCTCTACATCAGCACAACAAAAAGACATACCCACAGAACAGATTAAAACCATATCCTACTCCGGGGCGTGGTGGTTCACGCCTGTAGTCCCAGCACTTTGGGAGGCCCAGGTGGGCGGATCACCTGAGGTCAGGAGTTCAAGATCAGCCTGGCCAACATGGTGAAACCCTGTCTACTAAAAATACAAAAATTAGCTGGACGTGGTGGTGCATGCCTGTAATCCCAGTTACTCGGGAGGCTGAGGCAGGAGAATTGCTTGAACCCTGGAGGTAGGTGGAGGTTGCAGTGAGCCAAAATCATACCATTGCACTTCAGCCTGGGCAACAGAGCACGACTCCATCTCAAACAAACAAACAAACAAATAAATAAAACCAAATCCCACTATTGTCAAAATGAACTAAAACATTAAGAAAGTGATACAAGATATGAGAGAACAATATAAATCAAAACAGAAAAATCTTGGAAATGAGGTGGCAGAAGTGAGGAAAGCATTGGAAATAAAAAATATTTTAGAAATAAAGATTAAACTAGAAGGAACACAAGAGCAAATAAACACAACAGATAATGCCTTAAATTAAGTAGAAGGTAAACATTAGGAACATTGTAAATATAAAAAATAGGAACATTGTAAATATAAAAAATAGACAAAGAATTCAAGAGAAAGGGACACGCTATTGAAGATAGGCAGAGGAGAGCTTGACATATGACTACTAGGCACCCCTGAAAAAGAAAACTAAAGCAGGAAACCACAACTAGTACTTGATCTATAGTTCAAGAGAAATTGCCTGGAATGAAAAGGATTTGAAATTCCATATTGGGATGTCACATCTGAGAATAGTGACCCACAATGCCCAACACCCAAGACATACTCCAGTCTTGTCTCATATCTGCCATGCCTAGTACCATGCCTAGTACCATGCCTGGTGCATAGTGGATGCTCAAACTACTGACCAAATATATTAATATTTGGTAAATAAAATATTCTCGAAAACACCTAGGAAATGTAACAGTCTTTCCTTATGTAACAATAGTTTTCCTTAACGGTGACTGTTACCCTGGATGAGAATGGGAATGTTACTGTAAGCTGTTATGGACTCAGTTGTGTCCTCCCACCTCCAAAAGGTGTAGGTCGAAGCTCTGATTCCCAATGTGACTATATGTGGAGATAGGGTCTTTTAGAAGGTAATTAAGGTAAAGTGAGATTAAAAGGGTGGAGCCTGGCTGGGCTTGGTGGCTCACACCACTCATGCCTGTAATCCCAGCACTTTGGGAGGCCGAGGCAGTTGGATCTCCTGAGGTCAGGAGTTCAAGACCAGCCTGGCCAACATAGTGAAACCCCGTCCCTACTAAAAATACAAAAATTAGCCGGGCATGGTGGCATGCTCCTGTAATCCCAGCAACTCGGGAGGCTGAGGCAGGAGAATCCCTTGAACCTGGGAGATGGAGGTTGCAATGAGCTGAGATTGTGCCACTGCACTCCAGCCCGGGCAACAAGAGAGAAACTCCATCTCAAAAAAAAAAAAAAAAGAAAAAGAAAAAGAAAAAAAAAGGTGGGGCCCTAATCCTAATCCAGTAGGACCGATGTCCTTATAAGAAGAGGAAGAAATACCAGGAATCCACAGGCACAGAGAAAAGACCATGTGAGGACACAGCAACAAGGCAGCAAGCCAAGGAGAGAGGCCATCAGAAACCAACCCTACTGGCATCTTGATGTTGGACTTCTCAGTCTCCAGAACCGTGGGAAAATATATTTATGTTGTTTAAGACCCCCAGTCTGTGGTACTTTGTTATGGCAGACCTAACTGATTAATACAAATTTTAAGGTTTGGGTTACTCCAGCAGATAAAGAACTATGACTAGTTGAGGTGCTTGCTGAAGGCAAAGGGAATACAGAATGGGTAGTGGAAGAAGGTAGTTGTTAATAACTATGACCGTGTGATCAGTTACAGAAATGAGCACTGTAATTATCATGAGTATTTCCATATTTGGTTATGAATATGTACGTGTGCAAGGCAAATATCTTTGGTTTCCTCCCTCTGTTATCCTCTTGTCATGTAATGTAAGATGTATTAACTTTATATCATAGTATTTAAGTTACGGGATATCAAGGAGAAGAATAAACAGCATGGAGAGACTTTGCATCCCTTTCTAGTGTTGGATTTGGTTGTACACAGGTTAGTTTTTATCATACTAGGAAGAAGTATGACCTTGTTGTTGTTTTCGTTTGGAGATTAAGCATGGTTTACAGAGATGCGTGCGGGTGCCAAGTTGACAAGGACTTGAGATGGTTAACTTTATATGCCAAATTACAGGACATTCTTGGATGAGATTAATATTTAAATTGGTGAACAATGAGTAAACAGATTGCCCTCTATAATGTGGGTGGGCCTTGTCTAATCCATTAAAGGCCTGAGTAGAATAAAAAATCTGGCATCCCAGAGTGAGAAGGACTTCTCCAGCAGACTGTCTTTGAACTTTGTCTGCACCAGTGGCTCTCCTGGGTCTCCAGGCTGCCAGGCTACATTTGAACTTGCCAGTCTCGGTAATTGTGAGAACCAGTTCCTTAGAATAAATGTCTCTGTTTACGTACACACACACACACACACACACACACACACCAGGCTACATTTGAACTTGCCAGTCTCAGTAATCGTGACAACCAGTTCCTTAGAACAAATCTCTCTGTTTACGTACACACACACACACACACACACACACACACACACACCCCTCATCCTATTGGTTCTGGTTCAACCGTAATACACAATATTCAACATTCTATACCAAAATTATGTTTTTTTTTTTTTTATGTGAGTGGGACTATTTCTTTTTTTGTCTTTTAATAATATCAAAGTGGTTCATTATGACCCTAGATAACTATAGACAACTCTTTAGTTACCTTTTTGTTTGAAAACAATTATGCCATGATGAAACTTTTGCTATCATGGTGTCCCCTGTGCTTTCAGTGGGTGGTGGAGCACCCAAGACTCCTCTGAAAATGTAATGGGCAAATTCATTTGGTAGGGTTCCCCAGAGAACACTGTTTTTCTCTGAATCATTATGTGCTTTTCGTGTGAAGTCTGATAGACTTGATGGAAAGTAGCTGTGATCAACTAGCCCATTTAGTGTCATTGCCGCAGTTTTCTCTCCTCCTTGATTTCAGGACTGGTTGACTTTGTTCTAATGTACATGCTGGGATTTCCAGGCAAAATCCTGATTTTGTGGTCAGTGGTGAACATGTGGTTGATAAGTGACAAACACAGAACTATAAATCTGGCAATGTATTATCTACCGGACAGTTGATGAGAGAGTAGATTTTAAGTGTTTTCACCACAAAAAAGTGATGATTATGTGAGGTAATGTCTGTTAAATGGCTTGATTTAGCCATTCTAATTATATATATCTTTATCAAAACATCATATTATACCCCATAAATATATACAATTTTTTACTTAACAATTAAAATAAATACTTTTTTTAAGGAGCAAGGTCTTGCTTTGTCACCTAGACTGGAGTGCGGTGATATGATTATAGCTCACTGTAGCCTCAAACTCCTGGGCTCAAGTGATCCTCTCACCTCACCCTCCCATGTAGCTGGGACTAAAGGCTCATGCCACAATACTTGGCTAATTTTTAAATTTTTTTTGTAGAGATGGAGTCTAGACTTGTTGCCCTGGCTGGTCTCAAACTTCTGGGCTCAAGCAGTCTTCCCTCCGTCATCGCCCAAAGTGCTTGGCTTACGTAAAATAAATATTTTTTAAAAAGAACAATAAATTCATTTTATTTACAAAGGTGATAAGCATGCAACTCCTAGGGGGCTTACAGTCTAGGAGAGGAAGGACAAGAAGCAAATGAACAAGAAAATATCAGACAGTGAGTGGTAAGAGCTGGGCAGAGAAAGAGGCAATATGCCAGACAGCAGCTGGGTAGTGAGTTGGTTTGAGTGTTCAGGGAAGGTAGCATTTAATTTGAAGGCCAATGACAGGAAGGAGTAAAGATCTGAGTAAAGAGCATTCTCAGTAGGAGAAACAGCGGGTGCAAAAGCTCCGAGGCAGCACTAGCCTACAGACTATGAGCACAGATAATCTCAGCCATAGACTCTTAGGGGAGAGTGGTCAGGGGTTATGTAAGTGACTTAGGCAGGGTCAGATAAGTAGGGAGGTCAGGAGGAGGTTCAGCTGGGTTTGGTGCCTGCATGACACTGATCTTGCTCCAGTGTTTTGAAAAGAGGGATGGGGTGATATTGGGGTGAGAGAGGAAAGCAGGAGAGCAGTGAAGAGTCTTCTGCAAGAGATGAAGTCTTCTGCAAGAGTAGACTGAGGCCATGTTGCTGGAGGTGGGAGAAACAGAGTCAATCTCTATCATAGGTGCAGGGCATCTCTAACTCTTTTATTAAAGTCTATGTATTTGTATTTTAAAGTTAACAGATAACAAGTATATCTGTATAACTGTCTTAATTTGAAGCCATAGATTATTTTGTTTTGAAGAAGATGACAAACCTAGGATTCCTTTTGGAAACATTATTACTCTCATCTGCCACTGTTTTTTGAGGATCTGCAGACGGTGGCATTGTAGTGAGTGAGAATGAGTGGGAATCTGAAATGTCAACCTATTTTGGTCAAAAGGGCTCTAGGAGCCTTCTCCTCTATACCAATTCCATCTCATCTAGCTCCTACAGTAATTTCACAAATCGTGTAACTTCATTGCCTTCCTAAACAGTGTTTAGTTCTGGCCCTTGACATCTGTATCTTCTCACTTGAATCTAAATAAATGTTGTTACCTTGGAACATGAGTAAGAACTGACATGGAGCAGCGTTAGTAATAAGTGACCTGGTTCCCAGAGGCTAGTTAGATAAATATCAAAATGATACTGTCATAAAACGATTTCACTTATAAGACAGAACAATAGTGTGAAACTTGAAGACCTGCTGGGTTATAGCGAGGCCCTGGTGTTTTACTGTTCCAGCTTGCCTGTTGAAATCTGCTTGGTTCTAGTATTTGTGTGTTTATGTAATTTTTTATTCATGCAGTAATCTTTTTTTTAGAAATTCTCCTTAATTGAGCTCCCAAGATACACTGTGTAAAGTATCTGGATCCCAGTGGTTCCAATTTCTCTTTTTGCAGAGCTAGTTTTTTTTTTTTTTGTACGATACTCTCCGTCTCTCCCATTCCCTTTGTACTGGTTTGCTAAAACACAGGTAGATCCTTGAAGGAAAAATCTTTGTTTTCTTGCAGGATGGGCTAGTGATTAGATTGTCAGAAGTCTAGTCCTAGATTTAGGTTGGGCTTTTTGTAATGGATTTTATACCAGAAATTATTTATAATTAGTCATACTATGGATATACAAGGACTTACTTGTAGAAAACAGCAGCCCAACTCATTACAGAAATATGATAGGAGCATGGGATCAGTTGTGTCTCATTTCTGTGGCCAAGGAAAATAGGCTGGTGTCTT